>NW_025791801.1:0-372839 GCF_000001405.40 Homo sapiens | reverse complement strand
GATCATCCACAGCTTAACACCCATAGGAAATGGTCCCCTGAGAGACACAGAGGAATGGATTGAGGGGACATTGAGGGGAAATCCATAGGCTGAAGGAGGCACAAAACAGCAGAGATGGCTCCTGGCCTAACACCCCAAGGACTTCTATAGGGTACCCTTATATTTTTTATCCTTATACTTCTGTCTATGTAAGTATGTCTATAGGATTAAATTCCTATAGGCGGAAATTATTGGTCGATAGTGTATATGTGGGCATGGTGGCTCACACCTGTTATCCCAGCACTTTGGGAGGCCGAGGCGGGTGGATCATGAGGTCAGGAGATCGAGACCATCCAGGCCAACATGGTGAAACCTCGTCTCTACAAAAAACACAAAAATTAGCTGGGCATGGTGGCATGTGCTTGTAGTCCTAGCTACTCAGGAGGCTGAGGCAGGAGAATTGCTTGAACCCGGGAGGTGGAGGTTGCAGTGAGCTGAGATCATGCCACTGCATCCTAGCCTGGCAATATAGTGAGATTCCGTCTCAAAAAAAAAAAAAAAAAAGCATTTGTAATTTTAACAGATACTGCTGAACTATTTTGTAAAGAGGTTGCACAACTTATTCTTCCCCTCAACAGTGTATGAAAGTGCATGTTTTCTTTATTTTGCTACAATCATGACATTAATCTATTTTGTTTTATTTTACTTTATCATAGAAAGAACACCTAACATGAGAGCTACCCTCTTAATAAAATTTTAGGTGTACAATAAATTACTATGGACTCTGGGTACAATGCAGTACAGTAGATCTCTAGGCCTTACACATCTTGCTTGACTGGAACTTTATGTTCATTGAACAGTAACTTTCCATTTCCCCTTTTCCCACAGCCTCTGGAAACCACCATTCCACTCTTTGATTCTATGAATTTGCCTATTTTAAATACCTTGTATAAGCAGAATTATGCAGTATTTGTCTTTCTGTGATCGGCTTATTTCATTTAGCATAATGTCTTCAGGGTTGAATCTATTTTAGATACCTCATATAAGCAGAATCATGCAGTATTTGTCTTTCTGTGATTGGCTTATTTTATTTAGCATAACGTCTTCGAGGTTTATTCACGTTGCGTATTGCAGAATTTCGTCCTTTTTAAAGGCTGAATGGAATTCCAGTGTTTGCACATACCAATTTCTTTTTGTATTTATCTGTCAACGGACATTTAGGTAGTTTCCACATTCTGGCTATTGTGACTCCTGCTGCAATGACCACAGGAGTGTTAACATCTCTTTGAGATCCCAATTTCAATTCTTTTGGATAAATACCCTGAAGTGAGATTGTTGGCTCATATGGTAATTCTATTTTTAATTCTTTGAGGAATCTCCATACTGTTTTCCATAGTGGCTGCGTCATTTTGCATTTTCCCAACAGCGTGCAATGGTTCCAGCTCCTCTATATCCTCACCAATACTAGTTGTCTTTTTTTTTTTTTGATAGTAGCCATCCTGAGTGGTGTGAAGTGATGTCTCATGGCTTTGATCTGCATTTCCCTTATGGCTAGTGACTTTGAGCATTTTTTCATATACCTGATGGCCGTTTGTACGTCTACTTTAGAGAAATGTCTATAGAAATCCTTAGCCCATTTTTAAATTAAAAAAAATTATTTTTTACAGTTGAGTTGTAGGACTTCCTTATATATTTTGGAGGCTAACCCTTTATCAGATATATGATTTACAATTCTTTCTCCCATTCAGTAGGTTGTATTTTCACTCTGTTGTTTCTTTTGCTGTGCAAAAGCTTTTTAGTAAGACTAAACTTCTGATCTTTGCTAACTTAAATAAGTAAAAAATAAGTAATTTAATAAGCATTTTTGAATTATGAATGGTGTAAGCATGTAAACACACCAGTAACAGTAAAATCCATTAAAAAACACAACACTTATTTAGTGCTTACCATGTACTCTGTGCTAGACACTATTTTACGTGATTTACAGGTATGGATTTTTTTAAAACTTAAATCCATTAGCTAGGTGCTATTGTCACTCCATTGTGCATAAGCAGAATTTGAGGCACAGAGAGGTCAAGTCACCAGCCCAAGTTCACACAGCTAATAAATGATAGAACCAGAATCTGAACCCAGGCAGGCTGGATCCAAAATTCATTGTCTTAAACCTCTACTATGCTGCATTAAAGGATTTTGTAATAGGTCTTGGTATGAGGTAAATAAGGGGAAATTTCCTGCCTTAGCATGTAGATAAAGAAACTCTAGGATCAGGGAACAAAGGGGAGGGGAAATGAAGATAACTTTTTCAGTATTTAGTCTCTGATGACCTTAAGACCTGGGATAAGAATAAAGCAAACTAGGCAGGGCGCTGTGGCTCACTCCTGTAATCCCAGCACTTTGGGAGGCCGAGGTGGGTGGATCACCTGAGGTCAGGAGTCGGAGACCAGCCTGGCTAACATGGTGAAACTCCATCTCTGCTAAAAATACAAAAAATTAGCCGGACGTGGTGGCGTACGCCTGTAATCCCAGCTATTCAGGAGGCGGAGGCAGGAGAATCTCTTGAATCCAGGAGACGGAGGTTGCAGTGAGCCAAGATCAGACCACTGCTCTCCAGCTTGGGCAACAAGAGCAAAACTCCATCTAAAAAGAAAAGAAAAACAAAAAAAGAATAAAGCAGAATAATAATTTAAAAATACTTAAAATCAAACCAAAGTTTCCCAAGTAACTAGATTTTAAAATCCTATTTAATAGAAAAGAAAACGGTGACTTTTTTTTTTTTTTCAAAGCCTTCTGAGGTGGACTTTTGAAATGATAAAGGTGTTTTGGGTTATCCTTCCTCAGACTCTGTTTTCACCCAGCATGTCTGAGAGCCTTGCAGGCACAGTGGTATCAGGACACACTGCTGGTCGTGGTTTGCAGATGTTTTCCTGGCGTAATTCACATCAGGATGCAGTGTGTGGGCAGCTCCTGTTTCCTTAGGTGTCTTCAGAATTTTTCCTCTGCAGCTGGAGCAGGTGGTTGCAGATTAGACTCACACCCTGTGGACCGCCCAGTGCCTCTGCTTCTGTCTCACTCAGAGATGCGTCAGAACGGTCAGACTCAGAGATGCGTCTGCACCGTGGCACCAAGTGATGCTGTTCTGAACCCAGTGTTTCCCCTCTGCCTGAAGAGAGATTACAGCTCAAAATCTTTTAATCCTCAAGAGAGAAGAGGTGGCCCCTGTGAAGGAAGGAGGGCTGCAGGACTACCTCTGTCTTCTCTCTTCATCTCTGATACCTCCCTTCATGCAACTTGGAATATATGTTTATTTTCAGGGGCCAGAAACTCTTTTTAAAGAGGAGCAAGAGGGCCGGGCACGGTGGCTCATGCCTGTAATCCCAGCACTTTGGGAGGCTGAGGTGGGTGGATCACGAGGTCAGGAGTTCAAGACCAGTCTGGCCAACATGGTGAAACCCCATCTCTACTAAAAATACAAAAATTAGCTGGGTGTGGTGGCGGGTGCCTGTAATCCCAGCTACTAAGGAGGCTGAGGCAGGAGAATCGTTTGAACCCGGGAGGTGGAGGTCGTAGTGAGCCGAGATCATGCCATTGCATTGCATTGCACTGCAGCCTGGGTAATAGGGCGAGACTCTGTCTCAAAAAAAAAAAAAAAAGGGAGGAAGAGGAGGCTCATCTGATCATCTGCAATGTCAAGGATGGGCTCCTTCCCACCTACACAGCTGAGTACATCCCAGACACCTGCCTCATGCCTTCCACCTACTGCCTGTTCCTTTGAGACCAAAGAAAATCAGAAGAGCCCTCTGCTGTACGAAGGACTAGGCAGTGTCTATGTCATTATGCAAAATGGACCATGCAGAGCCCAAGCCAGAGACACATATCAAGCTTTGGAGAGGTGTGTCAGGACGCAAAGGATGCAAAGCTTCAGCTGTGATGCTTAAGAATTAACAAGTGTCATATGTTCTGAGACAGAAGGAACCATGATTTTAGCCAATGGGATAAAATCCTGCCAGAGGATAGGGTCAAGAGAGGGTTCCTATTTAGCAAATCAAAGGGAAGAATTTTAATGCTTCAATTCTCTGGATTATAGTGATGCTATGTGTTGAGGCGGAAGATAGGAACAAAGGGGTCTTTGAAGATGGAAAATGCAGATTGCACCCAGAGGCCTCTGAGGGATGGCCTGGCAGGGAGAGGCCCTCTAAGGATTGCCCCAGTAAAGAATGAGTCATAGCTGACCTCAGGGCCGCTGGAGCCACAGCTGACCCACAGTGGGTTTTCCTCTTGGGAAGAATTCCAGACCCCTTATTTCTCCTTGAGAGAATTCCAAGAGCCCAGGTTTCATCAACACCATCATCCCCTGACTCCCTTGTGGTTTTCACGGGGATGCATGTTCAACTTTTTCTCAGAGCAAAGATGTATTTATGCTGTTTAAAAATATATGCACACAGTTTTATGTATAATGTGGCATCATAACTTGTAGGGCATTTACTCTTATTTTATACATTCAGATATGTTTGGTTTTTTTTTTGAAACACTTCTTAAGGCTACACAACAGGACAGAGAAAAATAAACAGGAACATATTCAACAATTATAAAACATGATATGATAAAGAATATAAAGTACTAGTTTCCTTTCAATACTTCAAAAGATACATATATAAACTTTAAAAAAATGCTCAACATCACTAATGATCAGGGAAATGCAAATCGAAATCACAATGCGATACGACCTTGCTCCTGCAAGAATGGCCATAATCAAAAAAATAAAAAAACAATAGATGTTGGAGTGGATGTGGTGATCAGGGGACACTTCTACATGGCTGGTGGGAACGTAAACTAGTACAGCCACTATGGAAAACAGTGTGGAGATTCCTTAAAGAACTAAAAGTAGAACTATCATTTGATCCAACAATCCCACTACTGGGTATCTACTCAGAGGAAAAGAAGTCATTATGCTAAAAAGATACTTGCACACACACATTTGTAGCAGCACAATTCACAATTGCAAAATCACAGAACCAACCCAAATGCCCATCCATCAGTGAGTGGATAAAGACACTGTGGGCTGGGCACAGTGGCTCACACCTGTAATCCCAGCACTTTGGGAGGCCAAGGCGGGTGGATCACCTGAGGTCAGGAGTTCAAGACCAGCCTGGCCAACATGGCGAAACACCTTCTTTACTAAAAATACAAAAATTAGCTGGGCATGGTGGTGGCACCTGTAATCCCAGCTACTCGGGAAGCTGAGGCAGGAGAATCTCTTGAACCTGGGAGGTGGAGGTTGCAGTGAGCCGAGATGGTGCCACTGCACTCCAGCCTGGGTTACAAGAGTGAAGCTCTATCTCAAAAAAAAAAAAAAAGAAACTGTGGTACATATATATGATGAAATACTACTCAGCCATAAAAAGGATGAATTAATGGCACTTGTAGTGACCTGGATGAGATTGGAGACTATTATTCTAAGTGAAGTAACTCAGGAATGGAAAACCAAACATCATATATTGTCACTGATATGTGGGAGCTAAGCTATGAGGATGCAAAGGCATAAGAATGATACAATGGACTTTGAGGACTTCGGGGGAAGGGAGCGGGTGAGGGATAAAAGACTACAAATAGGATGCAGTGTATACTGCTTGGCTGATGGGTGCACCAAAATCTCACAAATCACCACCAAAGAACTTACTCACGTAACCCACCTGTGCCCCAATACTTATGGAAAAAAACCCCACCACTTATGGAAAAAATACCACCTGTACCCCAATAACTTACGGAAAAAAACCTAAACTTTTTTTTTATAAGTAACATCACAGATGCTCACATCTTCACATGCTTTTAAGTATTATTTGTACTCAGTGTAAGGCTATTATCATTTTTCATACATAAAGTTTTTTTTAGCTGTGTAACAATGCAATTTGTAATCCATTCAAGTAAATTCAGCCCCAAAGTTGTTGCTTCCCAGCATTAAGTCCTGCGCCCACCCCTCTTCTAAGATTTTCTAAAACTTGTATTTCAGAGGAAAAAAGTGTAGCTGAAGGGAATGCATATTTGATGCATATTTGGCTACACGATTTCTGTTTACTGTATTTTGCTTCCTATTTTATGTCTAAATCCTATTATTTTCATTTAAAATCTTAATAATGGCTCATTTCCAGTATGTCAATTTCAAAGACTTAAGGTTTTGCTACTAGTATCAGCCATTTACTTTCCCACTAATTGGGATTTTTTTTTTTTTAAAGAGTTTATTTATACTCTTTTAGAGCTTGTCCCATGGTCCTTCTGGTTTCCCTCTACCACTTGGGAGGGATGACTCCTGGCCACACCCCCATTGGTTGACTTGTTTTCCAGCTCTACTGGAAATCTCTGGGATTTGGGATATACAGTCAGAATGTTTCTGTCAACGACAGACCACATATACGGGCGGTGGTCCCACAAGATTATAATGATGCTGAAAATTCCTATTCTCTAGTGATGTGGAAGTGGTTATAATGTCGTAGTGCAATGCATTACCTTTTCTATGTTTAGATACACAAATATTATCGTGTTAATAATAGTTGCCTATGATACTCAGTACAGCAACATGCTGTACAGGTTTGTAGCCAGGTGCTATAGGCTGTGCTATACAGTCTAGGTGTGTAGTAGGCTCTACCATCTAGGTTTGTGTGAGTTCCCCCTATAATGTTTCCACAGTGAAGAAATCTCTTAACGACGCATTTCTCAGGACGCACCCTGTCTTAAATGATGCATATGTTACAAACTAGCGTAACTTTTTTTTTCTTTTTTGAGACAAAGTGTCAATCTTGTTGCTCAGGCTGGAGTGCAATGGCGCAATCTTGGCTCACGGAAACCTCCGCCTCCCGGGTTCAAGCAATTCTCCTCCTCAGCCTCCTGAGTAGCTGGGATTACAGGCATGTACCACCATGCCCGGCTAATTTTATATTTTTAGTAGAGACCGGTTTTCTCCATGTTGTTCATGCTGGTCTCGAACTCCTGACCTCAGGTGATCCGCCTGCCTTGGCCTCCCAAAGTACAGGGATTACAGGCGTGAGCCACCGCGCCCGGCCTAGTTTAACTTTTTAAAGTGCATTTTCTTGTTGTCACTGCCATAGTATTTAAATCTTTTCCTTTGCTGGAACACAAAGACCTTCAGTAATTTTCTTTTCACCACAATTTCTCATCCAGTAACTAAGCCCCTTCTTGCCCTCTCCTTAGGCCCAGCACTGACGGGGCAATGACACCGTTGTTCTCACCGGGGGCCATGATGAAGTGAAAAGAGAATGGGCCTAGCAGACATGAGACTGAATCGAGCCTTTGCCAGTTCACTAACTGTCAATCAGAAAATGTGCAAATGTACTTCACTCTAGTTTTCTCATCTGTACATTGAGGCAATGAGTAACCACCTCATAGGTGGTAAGGGTTAGATAGGAAAGAACACAGTAGAATGCCTAGCACACCTAAGTACTCAATCAATGTTAGTTCTGGACCTTTCATTTGAATACTGCTTGAGCTCTGTGCCCAATCTCCCTTTCCTGGATCAAATAAGATTTTTCTTTGTTAGTGATTTCTTTCTAGATACTTCCTTGGCCAGAACTATAGATCCTCTGTCTTTCACTAACTCTTGTTGATCTATGGTTCTCATTCAAGTTTGTGTAGAACATCCAGAGATTTCAGAGGCATTGTTTACTCCTGATGAACAGGGAACATTGCGTGTCCAGGAACCAGCACACTGCCTGAGTTATGGGGGATATTCAGGAAGCATGCTGAACCAATGAATGAATGAACAAATGAATGAATAGCTGATTCTGACTAGTCAACCAAAACTTAATTAGCGCCATTGCTTCCAGATGTTATTGCTTCTCAAGGGAGTATGCAATGTGAAAGAAGAAAGAAAAAAAGGCGCCTCTCAATCGTCAAATATCAGTAGATGCATTGGTTTTATTAACTGATATTTTCTCTTCAAAGGAAAGGCTGATTCAGTCTTGCACAGGCGAAAGATCCAGTGGGTCCCATTGGTTCTCTGTGTCTCCTGCTACACAAATTACTGACGGAAAGATTTGAGCCTTCATTGTGACCACATCCACAGAGACCATAGTCCAGAGAGAGCAATTGGGGCCTGAATCAACTGCTGGTGTTTGTTGAGCAGAAACAGTGAGTCTCTGACTTCCCACCAACAGCTAACCTGATATGGAAGAGCCAAGAGGCATCTCAGATTTGTCAACATTGCTTTAATGAGCTGAGGAACTTCTCATGGTAAACTCAGCAGCTGAGTAACAGGATGATGGCACCACAACAGGTAGATAATCAAGGCAGGAGGTCAAAGCACTGGAGCCAACACCCGCCCAGGATGGGGTATAAAAGGGTTGGGAGGAGAGGAGGCTTCAGTCTCAGTGGCTCAGCCTTCCCAGCTGATCTGAAGCTCCTGTGCAGCCTCAGCCCTACACCATGACCTCCTTCTACAGCACCTCCTCATGCCCTCTGGGTTGCACCATGGCTCCTGGAGCAAGAAATGTCTTTGTCTCTCCTATCGATGTTGGGTGCCAGCCTGTGGCAGAGGCCAATGCTGCCTCCATGTGCCTCTTGGCCAACGTGGCACACGCCAACAGAGTCCGTGTGGGGTCGACTCCCCTGGGCCGCCCCAGCCTCTGTCTGCCCCCAACCAGTCACACTGCTTGTCCCTTGCCAGGGACCTGTCACATTCCCGGCAACATCGGAATCTGTGGGGCCTACGGCAAAAACACCCTGAATGGCCATGAGAAGGAGACCATGAAGTTCCTGAATGACCGCCTGGCCAACTACCTGGAGAAGGTGCGCCAGCTGGAGCAGGAGAATGCAGAGCTGGAGACCACACTCCTCGAGAGGAGCAAGTGCCACGAGTCCACCGTGTGCCCCGACTACCAGTCCTACTTCCGTACAATCGAGGAGCTCCAGCAGAAGGTGAGGTGTGGGATCGCCTGGGCATGCTGGGTCTGAGAAGGCAGAAGCCTTCGCAGGAGGAATCTGCATAAGGTCCAGAGAGCTTTGGGTTCTTGGTTTCTCTTGGACATGAGCGTAAATACCACACATGGAGTGGGAGCTTAGAGTATGGTGCTTTGTGTGTGAACCGTCTTTCCGTTTTCCTCAGATCCTGTGCAGCAAGGCTGAGAATGCCAGGCTGATTGTACAAATTGACAACGCGAAGCTGGCTGCTGATGACTTTAGGATCAAGTAAGTCAGGATGAGGAGGGTCAGTGTGACTTCTCTCCTGCTGTATTTCCAAGGGCCCGCCCCATTACTCAGTCTATATTGTAGGTGTTCAAAAACAGTTTTTGACTAGAAGAATATTTCTCTCCACACCTTAAATTAGCCTGTTGCTAGAAATGGTCATTATATAGGAGGAAAGAGAATATAAGCATTGAAAGAAAAAGAAGGGCTGTAGTCTAGATTGGTTAGAACCTATGTCACTTTCTCCCATATCTAGAAGATAAGAGGATTTTGCTTTTCAATCAGAAGTAAAATTGAGTCATCACAAAAATAAACTGTCAATGCATAGGTTGTTGCTAGACTCTCTGACTCTTGGCCAAATCCATCAGCTGGAGGAATTGTCATTGAAGCTCCTTGGTAGCTAGAGTTGTGCTTGAATGAAGGGGAAAAGCAAGAAAACAACGAGAAATAATGAATCCAAGAGGAAAAGCAGCAAACTGAAGGTCCAGAGGCTTATTTTTAGCCATTCTTTTTCCTGGCCAAATGACTCCTATTATGGCAGAATAAATGCTGCATTTGAAGTCAGAACACTTAGGATGAGTCCATGCATTTACTATTAACTGGGCATGGAATTCTGAACAACTCGTGTTTTGTTTCTGAGCCTCAGTCTTCCATCTGGTCAATGGGCATAATGTCCTGACTACAAACCGTGTCGCTGCAGGGTTGAGAATAGTGTATACTGCCCACGTGAACAAATAAGGATCCAAGGTGGTGTGGGAGGTAGGAAGCCAGGGCAGCTGAGAGGGGCTATTGGGGCATTCTTTTTGACCCTGTGCCTCCTGTGACGGAAGGCTGGAGAGTGAGCGCTCCCTTCACCAGCTGGTGGAGGCGGACAAGTGCGGGACGCAGAAGCTCCTGGATGACGCGACCCTGGCCAAGGCCGACCTGGAGGCCCAGCAGGAGTCCCTGAAGGAGGAGCAGCTCTCCCTCAAGAGCAACCACGAGCAGGTGTGGCCCTGGCTGCTCAGACTCCTGGGGAGGGCGCTGGGCAGACAGGGGAGCTCCCCGGCCCTGGGGCTCTCAGAGCATTGCCTGGGCTCAGCTGGCCTAAGGATGCAGGGCTGAGGTGGGTCTGAGGGTCCAGAGGGCCTCTGTGGAAAGTGCAGACTTGCCTTGGGCATGAGGAAGGTGTCCAGGTGGGCTCTCCCAAATGCACTCTGGACAAGACTTTCCCATTTGCTTATGTGTGGGACTCCCCTCCTACTGCTTGCCAGGGACGGAGTCCTGGTGCTGTCTGCTCCATCAAAGGCCGTTTCCTTACGCAGGCTGTCTATCGCTTCCATTTCTGCAGGAAGTAAAGATTCTGAGGAGTCAGCTGGGGGAGAAGTTCCGGATCGAGCTGGACATTGAGCCCACCATTGACCTGAACAGGGTGTTGGGGGAGATGCGGGCTCAGTACGAGGCCATGGTGGAGACCAACCACCAGGATGTGGAACAGTGGTTCCAAGCCCAGGTGAGTGGGGGTTACAGAGCCAGGGAGTACCTGGCCTCCATCTGAGCAGGGAGGTGACTGTGTTTCTCTGTGCTCCAGTCTGAAGGCATCAGCCTGCAGGCCATGTCCTGCTCCGAGGAGCTGCAGTGCTGCCAGTCGGAGATCCTGGAGCTGAGATGCACGGTGAATGCCCTGGAGGTGGAGCGCCAAGCCCAGCACACCTTGGTACGTGTCCTTCACCCTCACTGCACTGCAAATGCCCCATGCCATGTCCTGGTAGTAGCATCTCTTAAAGTCTCACAAATCAGTTCCTTCAACATTAAGTCAAGATCTGGGGTCCTCTATACCCGATGGAGACGTCTTGCTGTCAAGTTCAGTGTGACCCAGGGAAATGGTTTCTTCAGAAAATCAAGTCCACTTCCTTTACAACACAGTGCGGAAGTTCAGGCACTCACTCCACAAGATTTTACGAGGTGCCTGCTTTTTGTCAAGCACTGGGGATACAGGGATGAACATGACAGTTCCTTAAGTTAGATTTGTGTGCATGAGAGAGAAGTCATGGTCATGTTGACAGTGATTTCTCCAGAGCTCTGAGAATGTCCTATGACATTTTGGAATTTGCCCTATGTGTGATGAGTTTGGTCATGATTTTCACTGCTGAGTTTTGGGGCACCTGGATCTCTTACCCCATTATTTCCCATTACAGAAGGACTGTCTGCAGAACTCCCTGTGTGAAGCGGAGGACCGCTACGGCACAGAGCTGGCCCAGATGCAGAGCCTCATTAGCAACTTGGAAGAGCAGTTGTCTGAGATCCGGGCCGACCTGGAGCGGCAGAACCAGGAGTACCAGGTGCTGCTGGACGTGAAGGCCCGGTTGGAGAACGAGATTGCCACATACCGGAACCTTCTGGAGAGCGAGGACTGCAAGTACGTGTGATCTGGGCAATTCCTAAGCCACACACATGACTGTCAGGCAATTCCTCAGAGGTAATGGAAGTGCTTGCAGAAGATATCATCTTAACAAACAAGCCTTCCTGTGCTCTCTTGCTCAGTGACTCATTAACCTCTCCTGGTCTGTGCAGACTGGATTATTGAGAAAATGTTCTCTAAATGATAGCCAGGTCCCTAAGCCAAATCTTCCCCAAGGATTCCTGGATGTAGAAAGACACAGATGAGAGAACTGTTGGTATAGATTCTCTGGTCTGTGTGCCTTGTTGGTGGCAGGCCCAGCCTTCACCCTGATCTTACCCTTGTCCATCAATCACTGAGACATCTTTTTAATGTAACTCTTCTTTCTCTCCCTGCAGACTCCCCTGCAATCCCTGTTCCACGCCTGCCTCCTGTACTTCTTGTCCAAGCTGTGGCCCTGTCACCGGTGGGTCTCCCTCTGGCCATGGAGCCAGCATGGGGAGATGATTCTGAAGGCCCGAGTTAGGAGATTGAGGCTGGTTGCACTGGGGTCAGGAGTGCCCTCACCTTGCCCAGTCTTCCTTCAAGACTAGACTCACTGAGGCATTTTCCCTAAATCAACCGGTAGCAGATACTTCCAAGGAGTGGCTCCCTGCCTATGCCTCTAAGCTGTATTTTTTGTTGTTGCTAAAATGTTGTAATTATCTTCCATGAAAGCAATTATTTTTCCTGGTGTCTCTTCTTGGTACTTTTAGTTCTATTCCAGTGTTTCAGAATCTCCAAAAATGTAACTGGGTTCCCTGCATTAAATGGTCAATAAACCTCCTTCCTGCACCAAGTGCTGTCTCCCCGGTGTTGGTTGTATGTGAGATGTCGGAGAGTCCTGGTCGTCAGGTCCTGTGTCCTCACTGGCTCTGACATCTTGCTTCCAGGAGCTCCCTGGGGTGCTCTGGGGCCTCTGGATGAAGGTCCCTTCCTGATGTTGGATGTGTATTCACCTTTCCCAGGGATCCCTATAGACTGGTGGAAGGAAGTGATGCCAGTTGCCAAGTTTGAATTCTTTCAGAACAGCTCAGAGCTAACATGTCCCTACCATGCTTTTGGCATCTTCAGCCTCTTGTTATTTTGTCCAAGAGCAAAATCACATCACTTAGCATTCTAATATCGTCAAAGGAAGGTCGTGTTGAGAATTGTCTGAGCCAAGTTGCCAAGTTTTTCCTCTCACTCCAGTTGGCCCCTTTCATGGAGCCATGGAATTCTCGCCCACTCTCCCAAATGCAGAGGCCCAGATTGGGCACTGGAGACTGGGGTCTTGGTCCTGGGGCACTTCTAGGCTTTAGTTTTCTCTAGAGAGATGCTGCCACTGATGTTTCTGTTGTCTATTCTGCTGCTGTCTTGGAGGTGCTGGCGGTGAGGGCTGCCGCTGCCATCAGAGCACTCCAAGTCCCTGCCTGCCTCTCAGATGTGGCTTTGGCACTGGCCAAGGTGGTTCACAGCCAGATGCAGTTATAAGCAGGTGGAGGAGCAGCCCAGAGAGGCTGCTGCCTCCCACGCCATGCTAGTCAGTTTACGGCAAGCACCAAGTGTGTCCAGAAGAATGAAACTCTTGGGTCTCAGCTTGTCCATGTGCCCTGGTGCAAAGAGCAATGAAAAACTGGTCCTTCTTCATGGTGGCATAGTGTGGTGGAGGTGGATCTTCTCTAGGGTCAGGGAAACTTGGGTTCAAATCCCACCTTGGTGACTCTGAAGTGGGATTTGAACCCACCTTGCTGAGTGAAGTTGGCCAGGTCACTGCATTCTCTTGAGACCTATTCCTTGTTTGTGGAAGTAGGATAGTTGTATTTCCCTCTCACTGTGGTTGAGGGGTAATGCATCTAATGTTCCTGGCATCTAGAAGGTGTTCAGTGGATATTGGTTTATTGGGGCTCCCTAGGAACCAGCAGGTACAATCTCTTCCTCCCAGAGAGAAAAAGGAGCTGAAGAGATAGTAGCAGAACCCACTCTCAGCATCGGGGCCCTAGATTCTACGTTGGTGGCTGGAAAGTTTGGCCATATTCCTTGTTCATGTACATGCAATAATAAAAGCCATCTTCTGTTGTCATTAGGCCTGTTTCTCACTCCAAGTAGCCTAACTGAATCCAAAAAAGCATTCATTGGGCTGTCAGAGGACAAGACTGTTTGGTGGGCTCTTCTAATGAGGAACCCACAAGAGTCATGTTTTAAGAAGTGGCCATGACCCTCCCTGACCCTCAGTGTGATGGGGTTGTGGAGATCCGACCTGTCCCCACCTTTCTTGGCCAGGTCACACCCTTAACAAGCTCTACCTATGAGGTCCCATGGCTAGGTGTGACAGGAGGTGCCACTCAGGTACATAGAAAATGAAGGCTAGAGGCTGGCAGGTGGGTAACCAGTGCAGTCAGGACACCTGGACCCTGGGGTTTTACTCACATTCGTTATCCTAGCCTGAGAGCTTAGGGCTCCCTCTGGTACCAAATCCCAGACATCTTTTCTTGCAAGTGATTCTCCCGCCTGGACATTCTGTGCCTGTCCCTGGCCTCTCTGCCTCACATACTCTCACCGACTGGATGGATATAGCCCTGAATGTGGCACAATAGGCTTTGCTTTGGCCACAATAACTGCAACCAGGTGTCTCTTATTTTCCTTCTCCTGAGGCTTCTGCTCCCTTGGCTGGGGGCCACATCTGGTTCTGAGCCACCTAGTGCTTAGCCCGTCCCTCTTCAGTTCACCAATCCTGCACTGCCTGTGGGCTGATGTGTGATATTTCTTCCCAGCCTTCACGTGGTAACATCAGTTGCGGCTCATGAGGCCCATGCACTTATGTATTTTTTGACACCAAATGCCATTTCTCACAAATTCCAGCAAAGTGGAAAGGAGAAAGGGTAAACAGCTACAGGCTGCTGGGGTGGACACTGCAGTCACCGAGAGAGCTCTGGGGAAGGGCCCACTCCTGCTCCCACCACTGTCTACACTGGGAAGCCAAGAAGATTGAAGTGAATTTCTGGACTTTCCTGAACAGGAGCATTTTTTATTTGGATAGTTTTTTTGTAGACGATGATATGTGATACCTAAGGCTGATGGTGTGTGCCCCACCCTCCCCTCCTTCCCCCCAGCATCTTCTCTTTGTCTTCCTGACCAAGAACAAAATCAATTTCATCTGTTCTCATGGCCACTTATAATCTTCATGAGCTCAGCTTGAAGCTCATGAAGTTCTCAGCCTGTTTAAATTAAACCATTTTTAATGTATCTTTTTTCTACCTAATTCAGTGTTTCATAACCATGCCTTCCCACTTAATAAATGTAAAGATATCTTGCCTTCTCACTTAATGTTTTAACTTTCAAAAATGTAAATACCAAACTCGTATCATGACTAAAAGACAGCTCATTTCAAATACAGGTTATGCTTGTTTTCAAATGACACTTCCTCTAACTAAAATAACTTCCCTGCCATCTGTTTTAGATATTCCAAACATCACCTCCCCACTGGGGCTAGGGGGTGATACACAGACTCTCCCAGTTAGAATCACCGTTCCTATTCAAGTATGAGCCCCTGGGCTAAGCTTACCTGCTTTACCTGCCTGCCAGGTGTAATACGTTTTAGCTTCTGAGGAGGAGGGTTTCTCAGTGACCCAGGCTGCTCTGCCCTGGCCCCAGGCCTTTGTCTGTGACCCCCTAGTGGCCAGTCCCAGGTAGCTATATTTCACACTCATCCTCTCCAAACTTGAATGCAGCTTCTCCCGCTCTAGCCAGCTCTTTCCTTTGACTTCTCAGCTCCCTTGAAGCACACAATTGTCCTAGGAACTTGGGGGTGACCTTGGGGCCACTTTCGGTTTCTCTTCCTCCTTTGACCCCATATACAGTAATTCTCCCTGTCTTGTAGAGTCCTTCTGCAGCATCTATGTCCTTTGTGCCTTCCTTTACTTCAGCACTGCTGGTGGCTGGTTTTGGGTTCCATCACATCCTGCCTGGATTCTTGTAAGAGCCTCCTCCTGCTCTCTTCTGTGCCAGGTTTGTTCTGCACACACCACCAGCCCTTCACTCTTTTGTGTTCTATTTATTGAGTAAATATTATGTACAAGGCACTGTATTGCATGCTAGAGAGCATACGAAATGAAGATGGAGTGTTCCCACTCCAGGGTGCACACTGGGCAGTGGTAAAAGGAAAATGGGGCCGGGCGCAGTGGTTCACGCGTGTAATCCTAGCACTTTGGGAGGCCGAGGCAGGTGGATCATCTGAGGTCAGGAGTTTGAGACCAGCCTGACCAACATGGTGAAACCTCGTCTCTACTAAAAATACAAAATCAGCCAAGCATGGTGGCACATGCCTGTAATCCCAACTACGCCAGAGGCGGAGGCAGGAGAATCACTTGAACCCGGGAGGCGGAGGTTGTAGTGAGCTGAGATCACGCCACTGCACTCCAGCCTGGGCGACAGAGCGAGACTCCGTCTAAAACAATAACAACAACAAAAACAAAACAAATAAACAAACAAAAAAGAAAATGAAATGTCAGGGCTTTCTAAATTTATTATGCCGAAGTGAAAAATTAAGCCTTGGAAACTGGGTCATGCGATATAGCTGTTCTTCTTCTCTCCTGCAAAGACAGTTGCTTCCTGACTTGTGTGTTGACATGTTGCATAGTAACCAGACTCCCTTGTCTGTATTCAAACCTAGAGTAAATGACATTGGAGAAGGAGGCCCTTGTGACTGCTACCTTTTTACAATAGAATGTTAAGCAACCCCATGAGAGTGTAATCAATAGCGGTCAATCAGATCTTACATCTGTACACTAGCCTTTGTGTGGAAAACGTCGTAATTCTGTTCAGCACCTCTATTTTTGCCTATATAAGTGATCTTCATTTTCCCCCTGCACTGGGAGTACTGATTGCCATTCTTCGGTGTTCGTGTGTCCCCAGAAGACGGCTCTCACATGCCATGCTTGAAAAAACTCTTTTTAACCAGATCCTGAGCCTTTTGATTATTTTAGGTTGACAGGCACTGGATTAATTTTCTAAAATTTCTCCTTTGATTCTCTCTTTCATCTGCTCAAAAACCTCCAGAGGACTCTGTTCTGTTTCTAGCTCTTCAGGCAAGTTGTGTGGCCCAGAGCAGGAACTTCATAGCTATTTGTTGAATAAATCCAGTTGGACAGCTGGCGTCTAGGAGTGTTGGCCTTGTGTTCAGTCCAGAGTCCACTATCTGGCCCTTTCTGGGTCACTGGGCAGAGCAGAAAGAACTTGGGCTTCAGGGTCAGGCAGACCTGGGCTGACATTTCAAGGCCCATACTTTTCATTCCAACTTGGTGAGTTCAGACAACATCCCTAACTGCTCTGAGCTTTGTTTTCTTTACTCTACAGTGGGATACTTGTAACTGCTTTGTAGTGTGGTTATAAGGATGAAAAGACACAACTATATGGGAAGCATATGGTATAATACTTGGTGGCACATAGTAGGTGGTCAAATAATAACACAGTAGGCCGCACATAGTAGGTGTCTATCTAATTTGCGTGTATAGATTTGTGAATGTGTGAGAGAGAATTAAGTAAAATATTGTATACCAAGTGCCAAGCTCGGTTCCCTTCACATAATAGATGTCAATAGATATTACTTCATGTGACCTTTATCTGTCCTTTATGAACATTGTTTTTCGCGTGGACTGGCCTCTTCCCCACAGGCATAAGCAACACAGTGTGCATATTTTCCTTTTTGTCTCTCCTCTCTCCTTCATCCTAGATATCCTCCTAAAACAAACCTCAGCAAAGAAGAGCAAACTAGGAAAACAAACAGAACTTGCTTATTACATTGGAGAAAACTGCATGCTAACTGATTTGAAGTACAGTAATCCAAACACTGGCTCCTCTTGAATTCATCAAATCCTGTTTTGTGACCTGGTGCTTCATTCACCTAGGATGAAGTCACCACAAAACTTGTCTATTGCTATGGAGCAGTGATTCCGTCTTCCAAGGGTGGTCCCCAGACCAGCAGCATCAGTGTCATGTGGGAACTTGTTAGAAATGCAGACTCCCTGGCCTGACCCCAGACCGCTTGAATCAGAAACTGTGGTGTGGGGCCTGAAAACCTGCATTTTTTGCAAGCCCTCTGGGTGATTCTGATGCTGGTTAAAGTTTGACCACTGGTGGAGATGTTATGAAAATAGAAGCAGACAATATTTTTAGCATAGAGGAGTACAAACTTCACTCTTACAGGCTTCAGAAATGCAATTTGGCTCTTTGGGTTGACATTTTGTGTCATTCAAACTCATTTCTTTGGGGGTCCAGTACTTGGGACAGGCCTGTTGTTGGCTGTTGCATTTCTGAAGTTGTACCCAGTTCTCTTGAGCCCACTTCTGCTTCTGAGTGTTTTCTTGTGTTCATCCTCTTTTTTTTTTTGTCACCCAGGCTGGAGCACAGTGGCTCGATCTCGGCTCACTGCAACCTCCACCTCCCAGGTTCAAGCAATTCTCCTGCCTCAACCTCCCGAGTATCTGGGACTACAGGCGTGTGCCACCACACCCAGCAAATTTTTGTATTTTTAGTAGAGATGGGGTTTCACCATGTTGGCCAGGATGGTCTCGATCCTTGATCTCGTGATCCGCTTGCCTCGGCTTCCCAAAGTGCTAGGATTACAGGCGCGAGCCACTGCGCCTGGCCTGTTCATCCTCTTTTTCTGGAAAACTGTCTCCCATCTTTCCTGCCCATCCAAGTCTTCCCAATCTTAAGTTCCAGACAAAGTGTCTTTGATGGCCCCTCTATATCTCTAAGCTCCAGTCACTTCTCCCTCCACTGAGTTACGTGACCTCTTTTTCTGCTCTCAGCTTTTTGAGGGTGGAAATTTCTCCTTTTCATCTCTGCATCCCCCATCCCCTTGAGAAGGGCTTTGGTATAACAGGAGTTCAGGAATATCAGACATTCAGAGTAAGTCACCAGGATAAGGCAAATCATGCCTTGGAGAATATCACCCACATCTGTATAGAGTTACAGAGAAGGGTCCCCATGCGTCTCATTGACTGTATATGGGACCAACTGGTGGCTGGCTGGTTGTCATGGCTGAATAGCCAGTGGCTCCAGCATGGTTTACACAAAAGTCCTGGGCAAGAAGGTTTTCTGGCCATCTACTGGCAGCCTTTCAATCTAAACTAATCAGAAATCCCACTGTACAGCCCGCACTTAAGAGTGATAGTAACTGTTACATCATGGAGCATGTCCAGGGAAACATTCCTGGGATGGCAAGGGGACTTTGAACCATGCTGAATGCAGAACCAGGAGTAAGAAATCTCACATCTGCCACAAAGAGCTGAGAATATGGCAGAATGATTAGATTTATCCTGTATGGGACACCATGGGGGAGAACTGGAGAGTAAATGAACTAAAGGGCCAACTCTCTGACTTACTTGCCAATGTATTACTAGCCTCCAGCTCAGCCCCTGGTTGGCACAGAGTAGGTACTTCATAGCTATTTGTTGAATGAATGAATGAATGACCCAACAAAAGCTATAGGGAGAGGTAACACGAAGGTAGATTTGTGAAGACTTTCTAAAAATTCTCTATAATGTGAGTGCCTTAAGGCTGAGCTAGCTGCTGTTAATTTTCTGGATACCAGTGTCTTGCACAAAGCCTGGGAAGCTGTTTGTAAGCCACAGGAACTGATGGTGTAAGCTCTCCTGGAAAATGGTGGACTAGATGACTAGTTGGAGGAAGGTCATCGAAGGGATTTAATGCAAATGGGTACTAGACTAGAGGACCCTGAAGTCCCTTTCGTCCTGGAGATGCTATGTTGTAGTGCCAGCTGAAACACACTTGCTGCTTCAAGGGCCCTCGTGGTGAATTCATTCATCTTAGGAATGCGGTCAAATTAGCATCTTTGTTAGCATAGACTGGAAGCTGGCTAGCTGCCCTTTTCCAGGGTGTATTGAACAAATGGCCACTGGCTTATTTGTTTTAGAAATAGGGGAGGCCATAAAGGTTCTGATGCTCTGAGTGTGTCTGAAGATTAAGGAAATTTAAATTTTGTTCTAGAGTCTCCCAAGCAATGGATAATCAAGGTAGATGCATTTCAAAGAAATGCAAAAATATTTCAAAAGATGAAAGATCAAAGTTCTTGAGTACGTATCTTCTGTAAACAAGGGTGATGAGGGACTCAGTCTGGTGAAAGGGTCAATAGAAAGGAAAGATGCCTGGGAAGGTGGGTGAGGCCCTGAGAACAGACACCATAAAGTGTTAATCACTGCCTGCCTTAATTAGCCTGTAGACTCCAGTACACAGAAGCATAATTTTATTTTCTGAAAATTGCAAACCATCAGTTTTATTATGAGCCGTTTTTTTCTCACTCCCAAAACGCTTATCTGTTTCACGTATGCACAGGGAAAGTCTTAATTGCCAACATCTGTTTTATAGGTTGTGTATTGATTTTAATTCAGTTCAAAATACTTAAAAATTTTTAAATTAGATTTCTTATTTAACCCAAGGAGTATTAAAAACTGTGTTAGTTTTCAAACACCAAGATTAATTTTGAACTTAGGTTTCATTTTCAGTTTTCTAATAATTTGTGTAAAGGAACTTTCCACCTTTTTTCTGCTACTTTCCTTCAAAAGGAAGCTGGCTATTTATTTTTCCTTATACTTGAAAGTCGTCTTCCAGGGCAGATCCCTACCTTTCACTCACCTTTGCCTCAAGACCATGGTCCTGGTATTTAAGACTTTTCACAACCTGGACTCAATGCAACTTTCCGGGGCTTGGGGATAATGTCTCCATTATAAATACCAACACAACTAGACTATTTTCCATTTTCCAAATGTTTGATTGTGTTTATTTTGTTCTCTATGAGAGAAGCTCATTCCCCAACCCTTTATAAAAAATATCATTCAAAACATATTTGGAAAATCCCCTACTCCATGAAGTCTTTTTCCGGTCTCTCAGTGAGCTCTCTTCCACCTCGAAATCTTTGCAGCTGTCTTTTAAAAAAAAAAAAATACTTCCTTTTACTGTCTTCATAATATCAAGATCATTTACTTTTTTATCTTTCTTATTAAAATCTAAAATCTCCTTCTTACAAGACAGCATAGATGTGCGTTTGTTCCGCACTGGGCACTCTACAAATATCTATCAAAACAAACAAATCATGATTTTTCCCTTTCTTCAATGTGCCTGATTGACTAATATTTTAGGTTTTGCTGCATTGGGAACATTCAGAGGTAGGAAAAGAATGTGGGAGTGAGAGAGACTTGCAGGACATTTTAGGAGCCTTTAGTTCTTGATTATTTCATAGACATAAGCTGACAGAAGGGGAAAGATTTCACAGCCACAGAAAGTGGGCTGCTTGAAGAAGACCTTGTTTTCTCTGTTTTCCAGGACCCTGCAGTGATGGGAAGAAAGAGGTTAGGGCCTCTTTCATGAGCTCATTAACTCTTTATAGGAAACAAAAACCACTGACTAATAGAGTGATTGTATAACAATTGACATAAATATTAATGAGGAAAATGCCAGTTTTCTTGCACCAACACCCACTAAGGCTTATATAAGGTCTACAGGAGAAGGAAGATTTTGGTGTCAAGCAGATCCAACTGTGGGCAAAGCAGGATCTTGCCTTTTAGCACCATGACTTCTGACCATTGCAGTTCCCTCCTCAGCGGGCAGGTTTCAGAGGCCAACGCTGCCTCTCTGTGCCTCTTGGCTAATGTGGCACATGCCAATCGAGTCCGTGTGGGGTCGACTCCCCTGGGCCGCCTCAGCCTCTGTCTGCCCCCAACCTGCCACACCACTTGTCCCTTGCCAGGGACCTGCCACATTCCTGGCAACATCGGAATCTGTGGGGCCTACCGCGAAAACACCCTGAACGGCCACGAGAAGGAGACCATGCAGTTCCTAAACGACCGCCTGGCCAACTACCTGGAGAAGGTGCGCCAGCTGGAGTGGGACAATGCAGAACTGGAGACCAAACTCCATGAGAGGAGCAAGTGCCACGAGTCCAGCGTGTGCCGAAACTACCAGTCCTACTTCTGCACCATCCAGGAGCTCCAGCAGAAGGTGAGGTTTGCGGTGCACCAGATCAGGGGTCAGGAATCTGCTTACTGCCTGTCGGCCAAATCCGGCCCACCACCTGCTTTTGCAAATAAAGTTTTATTGGTTCATGGCCATGCTCATGCATTTGTATGTTGTCTGCAGCTGCTTTTGTACTACAGTGGCAGAGTTCAGTCATTGTAATGGAGACTGTAGGGTCTGCAAAGCCTAAAGTATTTACTATCTGACCCTTTACAAAAAAAGATTACTGACCCTGGGTCAGCAGTGGATTTTTTTTTTCTTTTAATGTGGGAAGAGAATCTCTTGAGTGAAGGTGAATGGGAATTTGTAAAGGATGAGATGTAGAATTTATCACTCTAGGATTCTGAGTTCATGCTTACTTAACTTCAGCACATAAAATTCCTAAATCGTAGTCACAAAAATCATGCTATTTTCATGAAAACCATGCAAAAACCGTGCTGAGTTTATGAAAGTTGCAGTATACTGAAACTTCTGGTGCAGTAAACAGGGCAAAAGGAATATTTCCTAACATCCTTGCCAAGGCAGTGTCTATCCACACAACAGCATCAACCTCTTATGCATATCTATTGTCACCTTTGATTATCCAGTTAAAGCTTCTGAAGAGCCTACATCTTAGTTTTGGAGACAAGAAGACAAGGAATGTCAAAATAGGGGTTACAGAAACCTGGCTAGATTCAGAGAAGACCTGTGGGGAGGTTGGACAACCAGAGGAAAGATCTTCTTTAGAACAGATCCTACTTTATCTAAAACATTCATAGCCAGTCCTCTGTTCTGTGGCCTAGTTTTTTTTTTTTTTTTTTTGAGACAAAGTCTCGCTCTGTCACCCAGGCTGGAGTGCAGTGGTGCAATCTCAGCTCACTGCAAACTCTGCCTCCCAGGTTCAAGTGATTCTCATGTCTCAGCTTCCTGAGTAGCTGGGATTACAAGTGTGCGCCACCACTCCTAGCTAACTTTTATATTTTTAGTAGAGATGGTGTTTCACCATGTTGCCCAGGCTGGTCTTGAACTCCTGACCTCAGGTGATCCATCTGCCTTGGTCTCCCAAAGTGCGGGGATTACAGGCATGAGCCACTGCGTCCGGCCAGATCTTCTTATTTATATTGGGCTAAGCATCATATCTGGCAAAATGAAAGCAAGTCTTTGTTATATGTTCAGTTTGCTACTGTCTTCCATCTCCTGGTTCCTTTGACTCTATGTCTTCATCCTTTTCCAAGAAGTCTCTTGCACATCTTCCTTCCCACACCACAAAAGCATCTCTTGCACGTTTGGGAGTTTGTGTTGTCCAGGCGGATGCTGTAGGTTCAACTTCAGCCAATAAAACTTCCTCTCACCTGAGGCTATAGGTGTCTCTGGGATCAGTAAGTCACTTACTGAGCCTACTTTCTTACCCCAGATTCTGTGCACCAAATCGGAGAACAATAGGCTGGTTGTGCAAATAGACAATGCCAAATTGGCTGCAGATGACTTCAGGACCAAGTGAGTTGGGGTTGGACAGGGATGGGAAGGAGCCAAGTGAGAGTTGGGGTTGGATGGGGATGGGACAATGCCAAGTTGGCTGCTTCTGTCTCATGTGGCATCGGATGTCATTGACCCAGACCCCAACCCAGTAGTTATAGCAGAAGAGAACAAAGGGCATTAAGCTCAAGATCCTGAAAAACTATCCGCTCTCCAGTGGTTTAGCATTAACAGTTTACAACATGTGCTAGAATGCATCATCCACCTGGTAAGCAACTTGTGAAGCAGGCGGGCAGGGATAGAATCTCCTCCACAGGTGGGGACCCTGAGGCTTGGGGTGCTGGTGTGACTTGCCAGAAGCCATGTGGGTACCGAGTGGCAGAGCTGGGACTTGGCCTTAAATTTTGTACCAAATTTTCCTTTCTTGAAGCAATTTCCTGTGAAACTGTTGCCTTAATAAGGATATGTTTCTGTGCTGCAGCTTGATTAATTTGTGAGTGCTGATAATTCATAGCAGAAATCATGCTCCATAGCCTAAGATGAAAACATGTGAAAGTCAAAGGGTTGACACCACCTGAGGAGGGTCTACCCTGGGTGCTGGAAGGGCATTGTGTTTTATCATCTTTCTTCGGGGCACTGTGCAAGTCTCACTCTTCTAGAGCTAAAGAAAGCCATTTCCTTCCTCTCATGCTGGCAATGTGGCTTTTACTCTAATAGGGAATCCAGGGTCCCTTTGGGTATGGGGCTTGTAGAGAGGGGCCTGCAGTGATTGCACTGTGTTGCAAATGCCTGGTTACTTTGCCACCTCCCTTTTGGGCCATTGTGTGTAAAGGCAGGTGCTGGCTGTGTGTCCATCACAGTATCCTCAGTACCAGCTGCTCCCCTTGGTTCATCTCAGGTGCTTAGTATTGACTGAGTGGGGAACATCCTGTTGCTTTCTGGGCTTTGAGCACACTACACAGGATAAGCCAACTCACAATTAGATGGCAAAGGGCAGGCCAGTGGACTTACAGCTGCGAGCTGGGAGTCATGTCCTGGTGCCCCTTCCTGCCCTCTAACTGTCACTCCTGCACTTTCCCTGTTACAGGTACGAGAGAGAGCGCTCGCTGCAACAGCTGGTGGAGGCTGACATCTGTGGCCTGCGCAGGGTGCTAGACAACCTCACCCTCGCCAAGTGTGACCTGGAGGCCCAGCTGGAGTCCCTGAAGGAGGAGCTGCTTTGCCTCAAGAAGAACCATGAGCAGGTGTGTGACCCTTGGTGTGATGCATTGAGACTTTCTGGAGGTGAATTCAGGCTCATCTGGGGGGAAAAAACGGAGGCTTCCTTCTGCTTGGGATTGAAGCTTTGCAGGTGAGCTCTGGCTTTTGGTGGGAGATTGCTTCTCATCCACAGCTTCTGGAAGCTGCTAGGCTGGTGCAGGCAGCGGTTTATCTTCAGAGGAGCACAGGGAAATTACTGGGGAGGATGGAAAGTGGGAGTTGAGAGTTTGGGTGAAGGGCAGTTGGGGGCCCTGCAGGCGGGTCATACTCCTCTGATGCCTACAGGAAGCCCACACTCTAAGGGGTCAGCTGGGAGACAAGCTCCGGATAGAGCTGGACATTGAGCCCACCATTGACCTGAGTAGAGTTCTGGGGGAGACGTGAGGCCAGTACGAGGCCATGGTGGAGACCAATCGCCAGGATGTGGAGCAGTGGTTCCAAGCCCAGGTGAGGGGGACTGCTAAGCAGTGGGGATTGGCCTCCATCTGGGCAGGTAGGTGACCATGTTTCTCTATGCTCCAGTCTGAAGGCATCAGCCTGCAGGCCATGTCCTGCTCTGAGGAGCTGCAGTGCTGCCAGTCAGAGATCCTGGAGTTGAGACGCTCGGTGAACGCCCTGGAGGTGGAGCTTCAGGCTCAGCACACACTGGTGAGTCCCTCTGCACGCATGGGAGACCCAGCTTGGCTCCCACTACCCATGAGTAGCTCTCTGGGGTCAGTACAGGCCTCGAATACCAACCACGGACTCAGCTTAAACCTTGGTTTCAACTCTTTTGGAAGCACTTCCCTGTAGATGTGGATGCTGAGTGAATCAACATTAACTTAGGTCAGAGGGCTCTGATCTTAAAGGTCTACCATGAAGTGTGTTAGTTATTCTGGCTGAAGACAGCTAAAGGGAGTTAGATTGCTCTCTGGACCTGGCAATGTCTTGGGGTGTCACAATCTTAAGAGGTTGGAGATCCATGATTTTTAACTTGCTTCCTCCTTTCTTTGATATTATAGAAGGACTGTCTACAGAACTCCCTGTGTGAAGCCGAGGACCGCTACCGCACAGAGCTGGCCCAGATGCAGAGCCTCATCAACAATGTGGAGGAACAGCTGTCTGAGATCCGGGCTGACCTGGAGCGGCAGAACCAGGAGTACCAGGTGCTGCTGGATGTGAAGGCCCGGCTGCAGAATGAGATTGCCACATACCGGAACCTTCTGGAGAGTGAGGACTGCAAGTACGTACCCTGTTGTCTATGTCAACACCGTGTGCAAAAACAGATAACTTCTCTTGGGAATGACCTAAAAGGAGCTCTGGAGGCCAGGTGGGGGTGGCATTGCAGATCCCATCTTTGGAGACAAACTTGCTACCACTAGGCCTGGTGAGCTAATGCCTGCCTAGGCGTAGGTGAGGGTGTACAGGAGTTTTCAGGTCATGGCATTTGTTTTGCTGACCACGTTGTGCTCCCAGTTGCTGGCTACTCCCATAGAGGGCTAAAATACTGAATGCCCAGCACATTCAGGTTTTGCTAAATTCTCTCCAGGAGAAGTATTCCAATAACGAGTATTCTTTGTGCTCATAGCATTTAAAGTATTGCTAAGGGCATGTGCACTGACTCTTTCATTTTAGTTCCACAATAGCCCTGTGAAAAGCATCAGAGGGCTGATATACCCCTTTAAGCACTAAGGAACACTATGAGGGGCTGTGTTTAAATGGAATCAGTGGCTGACATCTGGACCATTCTTGTTCCTCTGGCCTTTCTGCCTTTCTCTCTGCTGTGTTCCTTCCATATGGGACGTGACCCTGGCCTGGCACACAGGTACACTGAGTTCTGGCCCCAGCTCCACTGTGGACTGTGGGCACGTCATTGCCCCTTTCAGGCTTAGAGGGACCTCTAAGGTCTAAGGTCCTCTTTTGCACTTTAATTCTAAAGTGTCTATAATATACTTTTGTCTTTCACATACTTCTCATGCCAATGTTTCAAACACCTTTTTTCTCTATGCAGATTTCCCTGCAACCCGTGTGCAACCCCAGCCTTCAGCACTCCTAGTCCAGCCCCTGCAGCCTGCGCCCCCTGCTCCCGGGCCACCCATGGGCCCTGCTCATCAACTGGATACTGACACACTCCTCAGCCCGAGGTGCTGGGAAAGGGGAGGTGTCTTCAGCTCGTTAGGCTTTGCTCTGCAGGCCTGCTAACCTGGGCCTTGCCTCCCTGGCCAGCCAGGCAGGAGACTGAAGAGAGACAGTGCCACTCTGTGGATAGGTGTTTGAATCCAGCAGCTCAGCCCCTATGGCTGGATTTGTTTCTTCCCCTCAAGGTGTCCCAAGTGCTCCATTTTCTCTCTTCTGTTGCCTCCTGATCTCTCTGAGATGGGGCAGGCACTTTTGTTTTTATTTTGCTATTAAACTTCGCTTCTGCAGCAGAATGAGCCCAGTGCAGTCCAGCCTCAGCATCTCCGTCCCATGCTGAGAGCCTTGCTGGGAACTCCTTGAGCCACATGCTTCTGTAGACGGGGGTTGTGGCTGGCTCGCCAGAGTGGTTCTGGGAGATGGCAAAGCCAGTGAAGGCTAGAGTTAAAAATGGGACTGCGGCAAAGTGGCACAGAGGAGAGATACCCAACCTTGGACCTCACCAAGTGTATTTGGAGACAGATTTACAGATAGAGCTTTTAAAATATAGACGCTAAGTAAAATTTCCCTTTTATCTGGATAAGCCACCTGGTCCTTGTGTAAAGGAAGAGCTCAAATCTGCGGCACCACAGACCGTTGCAAAACTCTGAAAATATTAACTGATGGTAATCGCCATCAGTCTAGAAAGGCCCAAACAACCTGACCCGTCCAAGCTCCCCAGTAAGCTCCACTGGTAAGTCCTGGCAGCTGTCTGGCTTGGAATTTGTAGACAGTAGAACATGAATCAGAAGCCCCAGAACAGGTAACTTAAATTGAGCTTTTAGGATGACATGCCCATTATGAACAAGGCACTGGCTGGGGCTTCGCCGACATTGTGTCACAGGGCACCACATCAGCCCTGCAAAGAAGAAGCAGCTGTTATTATTCTCAGTTGGTTACTGAGTCAAGACTTGAAACCTAGTCTCTTTGAACCAGATCCAAAGCCCGTTCTTTGGAAGCTTTGAGGGGGAAACAAATTAAACATGAGAAGGTTTAGGACAGTGGTTCTTAAAGCGTGGTCCGCCAGCAGGTAGCACTGGCATTACCTGAGAACTTGCTAGACATGCACATTCTTGAGCACCACCCCTGACTTACTGAACCAGCATTCTGCTTTAGCATGACTTGCAGGTGATTCTGATGTTGGTTCAAGTTTGAGAAACACTGGGTTAGGAAGTTTATTTGAGGAATGAGCCCTTGACTAGCTAGACCCTCTACAGAAAGGGCTGGCCTTGCCGTCCTGATATGTCCTCCAGTGAGGAATCCCTCATACCATCAGATCAGGATAGAGCCTTTCTCTTTTACATTGCAAAACTCTGAAAATGTTACATGATAGTTATTTCTATCAGTCTAGAAAGGCCCAAACAAGCTGACCCATCCAACCTCCCCAGTAACCCCCATTGGTGAGTCCTTATGGCAACTGTCTGTCTTGGAATTTGCAGATGGTAGAACATGAATCAAAAGCTCCATATTTTGATAGCCGTGGCTGAGAATCAGCACATCTCCAGAATTCAGCATCACAGCTGGCCAGAGAAGAGAAGCAGTGAGTTCCCTATCCTTGGAGACAAGCAGAGGCTTCAGAATCACTGATGGGGATGTTGAGGGGAACACTTAGGGAACTGATGGGGCTGGTTGAGATGGCTGTAGCCCCCCTAACTCTGTGCGTCCCTGCTTTCTATGTCTTATTGATCAGTGAAACCACAGGCATTGAAGTGGAACCACCAAATCTACTTTAGGAGCTGGTTTTGGTCTTCCCTTTCCCTCTGTGAATTCTCTGAATCACTGTAGTTTGCTGAAAAATTTACAAGTACAGCTGGTTCTGGTTTAATCCAGGTCTTCCTGATACAGCGGTGTGGTGCTGGAGTGACCACAGTCCCGAGCCCCAAGGCTGGAGGGAGCTTAAGTGAGAATCTTGTTGCTCTGCCTCCAACTGCTCTCAAGCCCAGCGTCCTACTTGTTGGTCACTGCTCATGTACATAGGACTGATCTGCTTGAGAGACACTGGGATTTCCAGCATAGGAAGCCCAAGAAGGGTCAGAGGCTGCCACGCCCTCCCCTCCTCTGTTCTTTTTCTCAAGTGGTAAAACTGTTTTGGCACACGTGACACACCCCTTGGGCACCTACCCAAGAGAAGCTCTCAATAATGAAGAGCCATCTCGATTAGTCTTAATTTAGTACCTGACCCAGCTGCCCTCATCTCCTTTGTACTTAAATAGCTCCTTTCATCCAACAAGTTCAAAGCTGTCTAACAAAATAAACCCACTTATTCTTGCACCATGACGGCACAGGCAAGCATTGTCCTTCCCATTTAAGGGAGAGAGAGAGAAGGTGAGTCATTCAGTGGTTAAGGGATTCTGCTGGTGACATAAAGTGAGTCAGTGGGGCCCCAGGGTGATTGACCTGTGTTTCTTAAGTTCACATCCAGTGCTCTCTCATTTCTAATTAAAAGATTAGCTTTGATGAGACAGTACATGTGTGTGTGTGCACGCACATCTGTGTGTTTGTCGTGTGTGAAGAGTTTCCCTGGAAACCACAGAGGTCATCATTACCATCACCATCACCAGAATCATCATCATCATCATCATCAAATCATATAGCTTCACCATCATCATCATTGTCATAGAACCATATATCCATCAAGCTCTTACTATGAGCCAGGCGCTGGTCTAAATTATAGCTACAGTCATATGGGTAAACTCATTTAATCATTACAACAATCCTAGAAAGCCAATGCTATGGTTTTCTCATTTTGCAGACAAGTAGCCAAGACTCAGAGAGGCTAAGTAACATGCCCAAGGTCACACAGCTATTAGGTGGTGAAGCCAGGATTCAGATCCAAGCAGCCTGCCTCCAGCAACTGTGCTCTTAACTACTGTGCTTTACAGAGGCCAAGTCTCAGATTTTGTCAAAAGGATGATAGAATCATAATGACCCCATTGTTTTGATTCCTTTCCTTGAAGGAAATGAGTATGTTTATGTTAGAAGAAACGTTTCTGAGAATTTATGCCACAAAGGGTGGTACAAGGAATAAAAGTCCTTTAGTATCTCACAGGATCTTGAAGCTTGAGGACTCTGGCAATTTTAATAAACTAGGAGTTGACAAAGAAGCTCAACTCACTTCCTGCCATTTTAAAACCACCTTGTCTATTGAGAAAGAGGAGGAGGGAAACAGAATCCCTATAGATGTTCATTGTTTCACCATTTACAAAACACTTGTTAAAGTACTTTGTGTTGTATCCAAATGGAGGCCCCAAACAACCTTGAGAGAGGGGAACAGACATCACAATCCCCATCGTGCAGTGGGAGAAGTACAGGTGTAGGGAGGTGAAATGCCCCCTCTGCACCTCACAGCAGGTGAGGGGCAGCTCCACGCACTCAACCCCAAGTCTTCTCATTTCTTTTTCCCTGCTCTTTCCCTGTTCCCAACTGTGAGGGCCTTGCTGGAGGTACATGTGGATAAAACTTCACGTTCAGACCACTCTGAAATCCTGGATGGATTTTACGGGAAAGGTATCCTAGGGTCTGGGATCTCCCTAGGGGTGACCTTCTCGGTGCTGTCCCCAATCAGCATTTTAGACTCAGCTTCTGGCCTTTGGCCATTGCCTGGAGGCTCCCCCGTTTGATGCTGGTTATTGCATCCAAACCTCCCTTTCCCTTCCTTCCTCCCTGGTTCTTGGATATCCTATACAACCTGCCTCAGTCATTCACATTGGTCTCCAAGGCCCTCTGCCCTCAGGAGGTTTCTCTGGTCTCAAGGGGGCACAACTGTGTCCACTCACCAGCAGGACTGCGTGCTCCCTCCGTTTCCCTCCACCAGCCTTATTCCCCTTTCTATTTCCTCTGTCAATTTGCTTGATTTACTGTAGGTGCTTTTCTTTTTCTGCCCACACCACATCCCTGGAATGATTTCCTATGCTGCACCTGGCAAAAGCCTCTTTCATTTGCTTTGAAACTTACCTTGATGCCCATGGATCCTGTGGGGATGCCACAGGGCTGAAGCGATGGGCCATCACCACCGCCTCTCCTGTGGTCTCCAAAGCAACAAGAACCAGATGCCAAAACAATTCATTACCCTGCCTGGCTGAAGACTAGATTATTAAAGGGAACAAGATTCTAATGAGAACAGTTCTCTGAATTCTGCTTATGAGTCACTTAGAGAGCGAAGCACAAAAAACTCTTTGGGATCAAGTGCATAACCTGAAATGGCTTCATCCCCTCGCCGTGTGGCTGAAAATCATGAGCTGGATTGGAATGCCCTGAATGGGGTTTGGGTCAGGGGTGGGTGTAGGAAGAAATGGAGTGGGTAGGGGAAGGAGATATTTTTGGGGGAAGGCCCAATCACATTACATTATGCTAGCTGTGGACCTGTCTGCTCAGCAGGACTCAGAGTTCCTGGGGGCAGGGACATGACATACCCCCACTCCCCACCATGTCCCCTGCCCCTGGGACTGTGCCAAGCACACAGTAGATGTTCAACAAGTGACTAATGCCCATAATGTCACATGTACAGTTTTCTTTTTATTTATTTTTAATTTTTAGATGGGGTCTTGCTGTCGCCCAGGCTGGAGTGCCGAGGTGTGATCATGGCTCACTGTAACCTCAAATTCCTGGGCTCAAGCAATCATCCTGCCTCAGCCTCCAGAGCATCTGGAACTAAAATGTGCTCTACCAAGCCTGGCTCATTTTTAAATTTTATTTTATTTTTATTTTTTTAGATGGAGTTTCGCTTTTGTTGCCCAGGCTGGAGTGCAATGGCGTGATCTCCGCTCACCGCAACCTCCGCCTCCCGGGTTCAAGAGATTTTCCTGCCTCAGCCTCCCAAGTGTCTGGGATTACAGGCATGTGCCACCACGTCCGGCTAATTTTGAAACTCATTTTTAATTTTTTTTGTAGACATGGGGTCTTGCTATATTGCCCAGGCTAGTCTTGAACTCATGGGCTCAAGTGATTCTCCCACCTCAGCCTCCCAAAGTGCTGAGATTACAGATGCAAGCCACTGCACCCAGTACCCGTTTTCTATTTACACTGAATACAAACATATTTCTAAATGCCCATCTTACACCTTCTAAATATCTCCTTTCCTTAACTTCTGGCTATTTCTCATACATATTGAGGACCCATCTTGGCCGGAATTGTTCATAAAAAGACATTTTTTTCACCAGAACTATGATTCTTCTGTTTAGTCATATGCTCAGCATAGAGAAGCTGTCTAATCAATGTGTTCTGAATTAAATTGAACTGGATAATGAATGTGGGTTTGATAGCCCATTGACTGCTCAATTTCTCCTTGAATGAAAAAAATTTGCAAATATTCCAACTAGGAAACCAAGAGAATACATGAATTCTACCCCTCGCCTGTGTGAGGTCATGGGGATCTTACAACCCTGGGGTCCCATTTTCCCCACTAATTCAAGGAGCAAATTCACTCAAGCCCATTGAGATCTTGAAAACACTGCAAGAAAGAGGCTAGATTCACAAGAGATGGCAGCATTGTGTTTACTCACCAGCTAGTCTGTCTGTGGTCCCCATCTTGAATTCTTGTGCCATTTCACATTCTGCAGGGCAACCAGCAGGTAGAAAAAGGAATATCTAGGAGTAACCAGAAGATAACAGGGGTTTCTTGTTCTCTCCTACATCTTCTGTGTGGCTGCTGACTGGCCATGACCTGCAGCCAGTGCAGGACTGACTCTCCCTGCTTCATTTCTCCTTTCTTCTCTTCCCACTTCTTATTCCTTCAGGAACAGGCAGTGTCGCTCCTTTTAGACTTTACACTGCCTGTGTGTAGATGGCAGTATATTTCTCAGCCACAAACAATCTCAAGCTTGATCACAGAGGTGATGCTTCGGTCTGGACAGCTTGGAACAATGTCACTTCTTTCAGAGGCCTCAGAAGCTGTAGTCCTGTGTCCATAGATCTTTTATGAGTCAACTCCATTTACGCCTTGCAGGACACTCAGCACGGTGGGCCACTCCTCAGTCTATTGGCTTATTTTGTCTTGGCTTCTTCTCAGCTTTGCATTTTCCAGGTTAGCCCCTCGGAAGCTGGGCTAACTTTGTCTGATTTGCTGCATGATGCTGAGGATTCCTCCCAACTTTTTTCCTTGTCTCTTCTTTTTCTTGTTGTCTCTCCTGGTCTCCGTCTCTTTCCATTTCTCTGATCTCTCTGCATTGTACAAAAATTCTATGTTTGCTCTCTTGTCAATACAATCCTTGAATCTTCTCATACTTAGAGCCTAAACACTCTTCTTTGACTACAGTCTCCATGAGGCTATGCCAGCCAATCAGTAGATAGGAATCAAGAGCTTGGAGAATACTGCTGGCATTTAGTTTGGGCTTAGGTTAAAGCCTGCCTGACTGGGGAAGAAGAAAGGGCTGAGGAAATAGCTGCTTGCTGGAAAGCCAGTGCTTGGAGCAGGCTGACAAGAGTTAGGAAGCAGAAGGCCTATGCTGTCATCTACAAGCTAGTGCTCATCAATCAGATGCACGAGCCTTTCCATTCATCCCAAGCCCAGATGAAATGAGACAGAAGCTCCCCACAGACAGCTGCCACCTAGCCTTGCGTCCTTCCTCTGGAGAGTCTCAGGAGTAACAGTCTGTAGACCCGCCTATTTCTCCCCCTTTAATTGTCTTGTAAGGAAACGAAAGTATTGATTTTATTATAAGTCTAGATCTTCTTTGTAGTGCTGTGGGGCTTTTCATCTGAATGGCATTATAATAAGCAGTGATAATGGTCTTGGGGAGTGTAGATGAAGGACCTTTTATCTGAGACTCAAGCAGAGTGCAACATGAATACCATCATGAAAGCTCAATGGGAGAAGCACTCCAATAAATTGTCAATAAAACGGCAGCTCTGGCTGGCAGCCAAAGCCACAGTGGAGATGGGGGTGCTGCAACTTTTATATATTCAGAACTTTGGCTACCTCTTCCTCAGATCTTCTAGTGCCTTCCTTCACCTCCCAAAGCAACCCCAAATGACTCCAGCTTGCCTTGCAAAACCCCCTTGCTCATGCCGTGCTCAGCATTTTCTTTCCTGGTGCCCAGGTCCTTGGATTTAATTACACAACCACAGAGACCTCCTTTGGTACCTTTAGACCTTTGGTTCTTAAAGCAGGTGGCATCTCCACTCGGGCTGGAGATGGGAAGCCCAGGACAGAATATGGTACATCTTCCTGATGTATCCATTTCTCTTAGAGAATTAAGCAAAGTATTTGAAAGTTTAACTGGAAATTTAAAAGGGGCTTTTTAAAAACATTAAAGCTGGCTGGGCGCGGTGGCTCACGCCTGTAATCCCAGCACTTTGGGAGGCTGAGGCGGGTGGATCACGAGGTCAGGAGATTGAGACCATCCTTGCTAACACGGTGAAACTCCATCTCTACTAAAAATACAAAAAATTAGCCGGGCGTGGTGGTGGGCACCTGTAGTCCTAGCTACTCAGGAGGCTGAGGCAGGAGAATGGCATGAATCTGGGAGGCGGAGCTTGCAGTGAGCCGAGATCGCTCCACTGCACTCCAGCCTGGGTGACAGAGCAAGACTCCATCTGAAAAAAAAAAAAAAATATATATATATATATATATATAAAGATTAAAGCCAACATGGATATATTATGGAATATAGGGTCAATTCATATGAAGTTTAAAGATCAACTACAAGTGATTTCAGGCCGTGGAGGCCCCTTTGGGCTATCTCCTGACTTTCCTAACATATCCATCTACTCTGTTCGGATACTATGGATAACCTTAGGAAATGTTTGACAAAGACCTCCTTATTCCTTTCTCTCTGCCCCTGAATATCTTTCCTAGATTATTTAAATGCATTTTTTTTGTTTTGTTTTGTATTTTGAGATGGAGTCTTGCTCTGTCACCAGGCTGGAGTGCAGTGGCACCATCTCGGCTTACTGCAACCTTCACCTCCCAGGTTCAAGTGATTCTCCTGCCTCAGCTTCCCGAGTAGCTGGGACTACAGGTGGGTGCCACCATGCCCAGCTAATTTTTTTGTATTTTTAGTAGAGATGGGTTTCACTATGTTGGCCAGGATGGTCTCTATCTCTAGACCTCGTGATCCGCCGGCCTCGGCCTCCCAAAGTATTGAGATTACAGGCGTGAGCCATTGTGCCCAGCCTTAAATGTGTTTTTTATGGCTCTCTCGGTTTGCACTTTTCAGCCTCTTTCAAAACGATCTCTTACCCCAGAAACTTCTTGTTCTCCAACTAGTTATCAAAGCCTCTACCTTTAAAATTCTCTCCTCTACAATTTTCTTAAGTAATATGTGGTGGTGGGGGGGAAGTATTACACGGACCCGTAAAACACAAATCGCTGTCTAATCTTTTCAGTCGTGTCCTCCATTGATTCTAATCATCCACCTTAAGGCTTCCAAGGCACAGAATGCTCCATCATTTGAAGATTCTTCTCTAAATGCAGAGGGAAAGACAGTCCACTGTGGCCTCTTAATGCAACTTCTTCCTCAAATCAATCCGTGTTTCTCCCTAGAAACGGCAGGTGGACCAGGACATGAGTATGTTTATGGGCCTGCAGAATTATGTGACACAAAAGAATGTCATCGGATGGATCAACACCTCAATTAATGAGGGCAGATACTTGGGCTGGACTGTGTAGCCTCTTTGAAGGCCTACCACAGAACTCTGATTTCATGGGTGGACTGTCTGCGGAGGAGTCCTGACTTAGCAAGAAGCCCAAGTAAAGAATTTTATGGGAGAAGGGACTCTTCAGAGGAAGGCAAATAACAGACTGAAGGAAAGGGCGTTTGAAAAGAAGTGAAGAAATAAAAAGAAAAAAGACATTACATACTGTGTCCACACCCTCTGCAGTGGGATATAAATGCTCCCTAGAGGAAGGAGACCCACAGCTCTGTGGCTTGGAGAATTTAGACTCTGTCTTCAGCCAGGCACTCCCTCCCTCCCTCCCAGCACTATGCCCTACAACTTCTGCCTGCCCAGCCTGAGCTGCCGCACCAGCTGCTCCTCCCGGCCCTGCGTGCCCCCCAGCTGCCACAGCTGCACCCTGCCCGGGGCCTGCAACATCCCCGCCAATGTGAGCAACTGCAACTGGTTCTGCGAGGGCTCCTTCAATGGTAGCGAGAAGGAGACTATGCAGTTCCTGAACGACCGCCTGGCCAGCTACCTGGAGAAAGTGCGTCAGCTGGAGCGGGACAACGCGGAGCTGGAGAACCTCATCCGGGAGCGGTCTCAGCAGCAGGAGCCCTTGCTGTGCCCCAGTTACCAGTCCTATTTTAAGACCATTGAGGAGCTCCAGCAGAAGGTGAGCGGCATTGCTGTCATCTCCAAGCAAGAGAGTTTGCTGTGATTCTGTCTGTGATAGAGAAGTGTGTTTCTTGCTTCTGTGCTGTCATAATTCTTGCTTCCTCTTTTATTTCAAAATGGCTTAAGTCATTTTTAAAAAGTTGATGATTTCATATTTATTTTCAGTCCTCACTAAGCCACCTCTCACTCCCCAGATCCTGTGTACCAAGTCTGAGAATGCCAGGCTTGTGGTGCAGATCGACAACGCCAAGCTGGCTGCGGATGATTTCAGAACCAAGTGAGTTGTTCGGAATTTGCACTAGTGTCAATTGCTTCTGTTTAATCTTTAAAGAAAAGGGATTTCCATCTGAAAACAGATCTACCCACTTGTTGTGAAGGATTCTGCAGAGGACTGGGGAGAACCAAGCAAAGAAATGCAAAAATGGATGAGGACTCACATCAATCTGTTTGTTTTGGGATGAATATTGGGTATTGATGGAGCCTCCAGAAACCTCTGTCTCCTGGGCCTATTCATTACAGAAAGTGGAAAGATAAGGCACATGAGGTTATCAAAAATCATTCCTGTGAGTCTTGAAGATCTACCAGGTAGTACTCTGACCCTGTCCTTGCGCAGGTACCAGACCGAGCTGTCCCTGCGGCAGCTGGTGGAGTCGGACATCAACGGTCTGCGCAGGATCCTGGATGAGCTGACCCTGTGCAAGTCCGACCTGGAGGCCCAGGTGGAGTCCCTGAAGGAGGAGCTGCTCTGCCTCAAGAGCAACCATGAGCAGGTGAGACTAGAAATGAGAAATGCACAAACCTGTCTCAGCCTCTGGCTCAGGGTTGCTTTAGTGATTTGGGGCAGCAGAATGCAGAGTATGAGTACAAGACTGAGGGTTTCCTTTGAAAACATCACGGTAAGAGAAAAATTGGAGAGAGATAAGACCTGTTCATGTTCCCAGACAGGAAACATCTTTCACTTTAAACTAGCACATTATTTGAGTTGCCCGGAGCAGCTCCATGTGCTTGCAGTTGATCAATAGTTGTAGAATGAGTCCTAGCATTGCAGTGTTATTGCTTTGTAAAGTCTTTTTTTTTTTTTTTTGGCAAAGGCCAAGAAAAAAAATATCAAACCTTATAAATGTGAGTCTCTACTCTTTCAAAGTATTGGTGAAGAGTGTTTGTGAGATTCTTCCTCTCTCTTGGGAGGGGCCATGACATGCTCTTACCTCTTACTTGACAGCAAGAGTTTTTTGATATATGGTCTGAAATTGCACAGCCTATTTTTTTTGGCATTCTGAGGTCCTCACAGCCAATTGTAAACTGGGAAAGTTGAATATCAATTAGTTCATCCTTCAGTGGCATCCAAGCAAACTTTTGGGATTTTTTTCTGAAGCCAAGTGCCATGGCACAGCAGATGGTGGGGAGGGGGCTATGCCACATGGAGTGCCTTGAGCTGTCACAAACTGCTCCACTCAAAGTTTCTTTTCCGAGAAAATAGACTAACAGGGTTTCAACAAGCAATGCCATTCCTTAGAGTTCATTCTTTGCTGAGCATAGTAACTCTTGTATTTTCTGCATCCATAGGAGGTCAATACCCTGCGCTGCCAGCTTGGAGACCGCCTCAATGTGGAGGTGGATGCTGCTCCCACTGTGGACCTGAATCGGGTGCTGAACGAGACCAGGAGTCAGTATGAGGCCCTGGTGGAAACCAACCGCAGGGAAGTGGAGCAATGGTTCACCACGCAGGTGGGCATCTAAGCACGTGGCCCCTCAGGACCCAAGGCCCCCCAGGGCCCCGGAGGCAGGGTCTGATCCTTTCTCCCCTTGGGTGTTTCAGACCGAGGAGCTGAACAAGCAGGTGGTATCCAGCTCAGAGCAGCTGCAGTCCTACCAGGCGGAGATCATCGAGCTGAGACGCACAGTCAACGCCCTGGAGATCGAGCTGCAGGCCCAGCACAACCTGGTGTGTATTGTTCAGACCTGCTGGTGAGCGACGGGAACTTGGGAGGCAGAGTCCCGGGGATGTGCTTGGGGCCACACACTCTCCTTAGCTCTTGGAGCTTGTGACTTCCTTGTAATCCTGTGAAGAAACCCTTTGAAGGAGCAGCTCTCTGACATTCCCAATCTTCTCCACCACAGCGAGACTCTCTGGAAAACACGCTGACAGAGAGTGAGGCCCGCTACAGCTCCCAGCTGTCCCAGGTGCAGAGCCTGATCACCAACGTGGAGTCCCAGCTGGCGGAGATCCGCAGTGACCTGGAGCGGCAGAACCAGGAGTACCAGGTGCTGCTGGATGTGCGTGCCCGGCTGGAGTGTGAGATCAACACATACCGGAGCCTGCTGGAGAGCGAGGACTGCAAGTGAGTACATGGGCAGACGTGTTTGATGAAATGATGCACGTGTGAGTGTAACAGTTAGACACCATGCAAATATTGCATACCTTGGAAAGGAAATTATGCCTTCACACTAGACATGCTCAAACAGAACTCAGACAACATAATATGGCCATCATTTAAAACATAAATGGTTTGGTAGCAAGAGTTGTTTGATGTACAAACTGAAATTGCACTGCCAAGTCTTTGCATTCTAGTATGATAATATGCATGACTGCATGATATGTGATCAATGCCTTACTTTTTACAATACTGTATTGCCTAGTGGGTACATTCCCATAGGCTACCTGATTTGATCTTATAATTACCACCAGGTGGGCTGGATCAGTATTCCCTCCATTCTACAGGAAAGTAAACTGGGGCTTGGAGAAGGTAAATGACTCACCCCATGTCATCAGTTTGGCATGAATGGATTTGAGAGTAGACATCAGAGTTTCAGAGTTTCTGTCTACCTTGGTGCTCTATGGCAGGGAGACCATTAACAATTTGAGTTAGTTATCTTTGTAGCAGGGGAGTCTGTGCCTTTTCTGTTCTAGGCCAGGTCAAGTCCCTTGACCCAGGCATTCTTACCCTTGGGGATATCTCTGGCATATGATTTTAAAATTGCCCTTAACTCACTTTTCCACATCATTCTTTTGTCTCCAGTCTGCCCAGCAATCCCTGTGCCACGACCAACGCGTGCAGCAAGCCCATCGGACCCTGTCTCTCCAATCCCTGTACCTCTTGTGTCCCTCCTGCCCCCTGCACACCCTGTGCCCCACGCCCCCGCTGTGGGCCCTGCAATTCCTTCGTGCGCTAGAACCTAGGGAATGCCAGAGGAGCAAGGATGCAGGGCCCAGGACTCCAGAGCTGTGACCTGGCTCTGGTTCAACAAAAGGGGCCTGAAAACATCATTTGCATGGCTGGAGTTGCCCGCGTAAGGCAGCCAAGAAACTCACCCAAAGCCTGTAGCCTCCCCAACTACTCCAGACTGTCCTGCTCACCCTTTCCTTCCTGGGGGTCTGTTCCTTCCTATGCTCACCCAGAGAACTCTCTGATGTGCCAGTGGGCCTCCCTTTTAACCTCCTAATAAATATCATTTCCTTGGCAAAGCAGATGCCTTTTTCATTTGTATTCATTTGTTTCAACGTGCTCATCACCTGAGTACGCTATAAAAAGCCACTTGAAAGACAGGCCATATAATGGCCTGACTCTTGGATACCAGAGCAGTTTCATGCCTCAGGGGAAGATGGTGAATCTGGTGCCCTGGACCCAGGAGCGAGGCAGGCAGGCCAGTGGGAAGGAGGGTGGAGGTGCTGAGTGCTGCAGTCCCTATCTCCCCTTAGCTATTCTTGGATTTCCCTTCTAACTTGGACATCTCCCAGAGCTGCTTGTATCCTATTCTGAATGGAGGAGGCATGAGCTGCGGGCTGGAAAGAAGCTCTGGAAAACTCATGTTCTTTCAGCAGGAGTTTCAGGTTCAGTGCTGTATTATTCTGGGTTATTGGTGGTCCAGGCATTTCCCAGCGAAGAAACCCTCTGACCTGCCCTGCTATACCCAGGAATTCCTCCTTTCCCTTGTGTGGGTTGATCATTATCAGCCTGGGCTTCCAGCTTCTGTCCTCCCTCCTCGACTCCAGGTCTTAGAGACCCCGTCAACTCTTTATTTGATCCTTTGGCCTTTCTCAATTCAATCCAACCAGTACCTGTTGAATACCTACTCTGTGCAGACGCTGGGTGGTGGGATGGGTAGAGACACATGAAGAAACACACAGTTCCTGACTGCAACTTACTGATAATTTGTTAAAAAACTAGTCCCCAAGTAGTGCTCTTATAAGGCCCAGTCCCCTGGCACTGTGAACAGCTGGTGGGTGCTAGAAGGAACTCTGAGTACCGAAAGGGACAATGCTGGTACCCAATGGCATTGGTGTTTATCAAGAAAGGGCATCTTTCTTTGACTCTCATGAAGACCCATGGAAGTGTTTAAGCATAGACCTCCCGAAAACATAGAGGGCCATTTTGATCTGAAGGGATCAGAGGTCTCTGACTTTTCCCACCACACCAGGCTTTCCCAGCGGGTATCAGACTCCACCTGGGTGAAACATAGTCCTGTGTCCTAAAATGATCAAGTGAATCGGAATTTTATATGTATATATATATATATATAAATATATATAAAAAATATATTTTTGTTTGTTTTCATAAAGCGATGATTCTCTCCACCATAATTTCTCCCTTGATTCTTCTTTTTAAAACTCAAGTTCCAGGATGGATTTGGATTTGTGCTTTGCTGCTTGGCTTGTGAGAAACCTCTGACCTGGAACTCTGTCTCTACTATGATTCACCCTGTGTCTGTGATTTCCTCCAAACCCAAGGTCAAGCTCAGTCCAGAGGCTCTCTCTCATGTTGCTTGTTTCTTTATTCCACATCCTGCTTATGTATATTATTTTACAATAATACAAAAGTACTGCTAATAGCTCCTGTGGTAGACAGAATAATTGTCCCCTCCATCCCTCATCAAAATGTTCATGTTCTAATTCCTGGAACCTGGGAATATGTTAGATTACATAAAAAAGGAAATCGAAGTTGCAGATGGAATTAAAGTTGCTAATCAGCTGACTTTACGATAGGGAGATTATCTCGGATTATCAGGTGGACTCAGGGTTCTTAAAAGTGGAAGAGGGAGGCAGAAGAGTGAGAAGGTGATGAAACTATGGACCCAGGTCAGAGTGATGTGATGTGAGAAGAACCTGCCTTGTCCTTGCAGGATTTGAAGATGGAGGAAGTGGGTCATGAGCCAAAGAATGCAGGTCATCTCTAGATCTTGGAAAAAGCAAGGATTCTCCTCTAGACCCTTTAAAGAGAAACGTAACCTTGCCAGACCTCTGATTTTATTTTTATTGTGGTAAAATATGTACAACATAAAATTTACCATTTTAGCCATTTTTAATGTACAATTCAGGGGCATTAAGTACATTCACATTGTTGAACCCTATGCACAGATTCCCACTAATTTTTGGCAAGTCTCTTCAGGAACTGCCTTTAGATTCAATTATGAGTCACAATCCTATGGAGGTGGTTTTAAAAATGATCCAAATTGATTGTCTACGTCACTCACAAGGTTTCTCTTTGAACAGCTTCAAAAAAGTCAAACCTATCCTCAAAGGACAAAGGTTTGTTATCAGCAAACTGGATATTAAAAAGATACAGACATTAACAAAACAGAACTTTCTAAACGTGCTTTGACTAGAGATGGCATCCTGGAATAAAGAAAAATTCTGGCTGGAGGCAAAATTTATAGGATCTGTAAATTCTGCCATGTTTTTTAAACCATAAAAATCTCAATCGTTGTAGCTATACCTCCCCTTAAACATTTCCATGTGGCTTTCAAATTATTTCCAGGTGCTCTGTCATCATCATCAGACACACGGCAGGACAGTGGTTCTCAACCTTGGCTGTGTTTGAAATCACCCAGGGAACTTAAACAATTTTTTGAGGCTTGAGTCTGCTCTCAGGGAGTCTGATTTGATTGATCTGGGATTCAGCCTGGTCACTGGGAGTTTTAGAAGCTCTACAGGTGATGAGCCTCCAATGAGCTAGGTTGAGACTCACTTACCAGAACCTGGATTCTAGCTCTGACATTTACGACCTTAATAGCTCTGTGTCTTTGGATAAGACATGTGGCTTCTCCTAGCTTTAGTTGCCCCAAAGGTAGAGTGGAGATAACCGTGTCTTCTCTACTTACTTTATAAACTTGCCAAAGGAAGCATGGAAAACTGTTTATGGAAACACTTTGTAGACCACATATTTTTATTAGGATTATTGACAATTTTTATTATTGCCGGTATAGCTAAGTTTCTTAAGGTTAAAAAAGTATCATCATTTTCTTTTTCTTTTTGGATTTAGGTTCAACAGCAGGATTTGCATATTGTCGTATTGTCTTTCACACCATAAATTCTTTCTTCTTTAAACCCAGCTGTGCACCAGAAGTGTATGGTCTGCTCGGCATATTTGATACTTTTTGGCCCCAGGCTCCTCTTGTGATAGGTGGGCGGGCAGCTCCTTTTTCAGTTGTCTGGGCTATTTGGCATGTCTGATGCTCTTTGGTGACCTGTTTTATTGCCTCCTGAGCTGTCTTGGTCTAAACTCTTAGCCGGCAGTATCTACCACTCTCCGACCTTTGACTTTTCCCTAGGCTTATCTCCTGGATACTTTTGCTGTTTCTTTTCCTTTCTGTTTCCCTGCAAATTTTATGTTTACTTTGGGATGGAGCTAAGGCACTTTTTTTTCCATCCTTACATCTGGAGTTAAAGCCATCATTTGAGTTTTTTGAGGCCTGAGGCTGCTGTCAGCATCTGCAGGAAGAACAGCAGGCTGTCCAGGAGCGCTCAGCATTTTCCTCTATATAAGCACATCCCGTTACTTCCAGGAGCCAAGCCATGCCATGATAAGCTTGTGGGATTTGTTACTTTTTTTTTTTGGAGATGGAGTCTTGCTCTGTCACCAGGTTGGAGTGCAGTGGTGCGATCTCAGCTCACTGCAACCTCTGCCTCCCAGGTTCAAGCAATTCTCTTCCCTCAGCCTCCTAGGTAGCTGGAACTACAGGCGCCCACCACCACACCCAGCTAATTTTTTGTATTTTAGTAGAGACGGGGTTTCACCATGTTGGCCAGGATGGTCTCCATCTCTTGACCTCGTGATCTGCCTGCCTCGGCCTCCCAAAGTGCTGGGATTACAGGCGTGAGCCACTGCGCCCAGATGGGATTTGTTACTTTTTAAACTCCCAGTTTGCTGAGGAGTAAAGTGATGTGCAGGAAGCCTAGGTGTGTCTTGTCTGGTGCTCATAGCTGGTATTGGAATCCATGATCTCTCTTCTGCATTTTCTCCCAGCTGTTATGTTTTGTCACAGCCTGGCCTAGGTCAGTGTCTCATCTCTCTAACTCACAATAAATATGATGGGTCAGGCCGACTGAAGCCTGCTTACTTGTGTCATTTTGAATGAGTTAAATTTACTCCCAACATTTCAGATTCTTCATCTCTGCTACATGGTGACAAAAATGGAACCTGAACACTCAGGTTCTGGGGTGAGGATGAAATACTATATGCAAAGGTACCTAGTAGACTATCTGACTAGAAAGTGATTGATTGATATTCATTTCCTTACTACCTTACTGTCTGGGCACTAGTTTTCTCCTCCATAAATTCAGGTCCTTCTAGCTTTAGAGTTCTTTGATTGTAGGAAACTGAATTTACTTCTGAGATGAACTTTTACAGGATTAAAACTCATGGTTAGAAGGGTAGTCTTTCTTCTAAGTTCTAAATCACTTAGGTCATGTGATTATGCATTTTAATTTGCTTAGATATTCAGAAAAGACAATCTAGTTTCCAGTTTGGATCAATTATGCAAAAGGACGATTATTTCCCTGTGGAGAAAAATAAATGAGTAAGACTTGGCCTTAGTTCAGGAAGGTACCATAGAGATTAGCTGGGTGCTCAAAGGCTTGGGCAGAGAGGCCTTTGGAGGAATGATGGAGTATGAAGGGGTGGGGAACAGGGCCCTAGAGGGGACCAGAAGGAAAAACTACGAAGTAAGGGGCAATGGGAAGCAATGAATATTTCCCTCACAAACCAGAGAAACCTCTGTGCCAAATATAAAGGTTTTGTACTGTGTTTAGGTGTTCATGATCAGGAGTCATAAACCTGAATTGTTCAAATCCCTGCTCCACCATTTATTGCCTGTATCTAGGGCAAATGTGGAGCCTTTCCCAGTTTATTTCTTTATCTGTAACATGGGAATAATAGGCCAACTTTATACAGTTGTTGGGAGAATCAAATGAGAAATGTGCCAAAGTGCTTAGTGCCTTGTTTGGCATCTAATAAGCCTTGATGAAATGGCAGAATCATCATCAACAACAACACTGCCATTATTATCATTATTACAAATGCTTGCACAGAGCTATAAGGCTAGAAGATTCCAAGAGGATAACAAAAGCACATTTCAATCCCAGTACCAGAAAAGAGGCTTTGGTGATATTACAATTTCATGTGGAGAACTTGTCCTCCTCCAGAACTACCCCAAATAAGATAACCAAACCCACAAGATCAGGAACTTAGCAGAGAAGATAGAGGTAATGGTTATCTGCAACTTCCTATTTCAACCACTAAGTTAATGTTAACATTTGCATTTTGATGGTTAATTTATGAATAGAGTTCTGTGCCCCTAGTACTTACAAGGTAAGTGGGTGAAGTTTGAGCACCACTGGGTTGGGATGGGCAATGGGCAATTTGTCTGCTTAACGAAGTAGAATTTTCACAAAATTCTTCATCTGAGCCACCTGGGTCAACAATAGGAACAATGAAGTTTATGGAAATAAACATCATCACTCCCTCCCCCAAACATGTTCACACACAATACCTTACCTTTTGCAAAAAAAAACAAAAACAAAAACAAACAAACAAAAAAACAAAACTATGAGGTAGGCAGCATTATTATTATTTCAATTCAAGAGATGAGATAAACAAGACTCAAAAAAGGGAATGAACTTCTCTGAGCTCATATCATAGGTAAGGATGTAAATCCAGGTCATTTAATTTCAAATTCGTGTTTTTTGGAGAGTGACATCAGCAAGATGAGGGAATAAGCAGCCCTGGACCCTCCTCACCGTCATGGGCACACTAATTCAATAATAATACTCAGATAAATTTTATTTGTGAGAAATCTAGTAACAATTTGAGAGGCTCTTGCACCCTGGATGAGTGTAAAACCAGCCAAATCAAAGTTGGTAGAAAGATTTTAAGATACTCTATCACAATAATCCCTGCTTTCTCAGCATAGTATCATATGGTTAGGAGGAAATCCCCCTCCCAGCTTCTTTGCAGGGAGAGGAGGAAATAACTGGACCATACATTCAACATTCAGATTTTTCTGAGAGCTGCCAATGCACTAGCTTCTGTCTTGCCTGTCTTAGAATGCGGATGGAATCCAGCATACTCCAGACGTCTAGGAGCCATTGAGAACAAAGAGGGTAATTTTAACTAGCATATGAATATTCACCACAGCCCTCTCCCCCGGCCAAGTTCAGAGCGAGCCAGTGAAAAACCCTGGGTCCCAGGCTCTCCCTGGAGAGAGAAAGAGTTAGACCTGTGTCCAATATTCTGTCTTTTCTGTGGACAGTATCAGGGATGGGCTTCTGTCTCACCTGTGCCAGAGTGCTATGGAAACTAGCCATACTCAAGATGCCTGGAGGCTGCAAAGATGGTGGTTTGGACTAGCACAAAAATTTGAGAGGTCCCCAGTATCTCTGGCTGGGCTGATTGGTGAAGGTCTTCTCCAGTACAAGGCCAGTCCGTGAAGATTGGGAGAGGTGGCTGTTTTGTCTAATGCACAGACACCAGCACAAAGATCCAAGGATAATGAAGAAACAGGGAAATATGTCCTAAACAAAGGTACAAGATAAATCTCCTGAAGTTGACCCCAATGAAAGAGATATACAATTTACCCGAAAGAGAATTTGAAATAACCATATATTCAAAATAGAGAATTCAAAATAACCATATAATCACAGGCTGGGCATAATGGCTCATGCTTGTAATCCCAGCACTTTGGGAGGCCGAGGTGGGTAGATCACTTGAGGTCAGGAGTTTGAGACCAGCCTGGCCAACAGGGCAAAACCCCATCTCTACTAAAAATATAAAAATTGGCTGGGCACAGTGGTGCGCAACTGTAATCCCAGCTACTCAGGAGGCTGAGGCATGAGAAATGCTTGAACCCAGGAGGTGGAGGTTGCAGTGAGCCGAAATCATGCCACTGCACTCCATCCTGGGCAACACAGCGAGACTCTGTCTCAACAAAACAAAACAAAAACAAAATAACCATAATTAAAGATGCTCTGCAAGGCCAGAAGAACAATACACAAAGTGAGAATTTTCAACAAAAAGGCAGAAAATACAAAAAGTACCAAACAGAAATCATGCTGCTGAAAAATACAATAACTGAATTGAAAAATTCAATAGAGGGATTCAATAGCACACTAAATCAAGCAGGAGATAGGATCAGTGAACTCAAAGTCAGGCCATTGGAAATTATCCAGAGGAACAAAAAGAAAAAAGAATAAAAAAGAGTAAAGAAAGCTTAAGAGATGTATGGGACATCATCAGGCAGACCAACATTCACATTAGGAAGATCCAGAAGGAGAAGAGAGAGAGAAAGTTTAGAAAACTTATTAAAAAAAATAATGGCTCAAAACTCCTGAAACCTGAGAAAGAACATTGACATCCAGATCCAGGAAGCCCAGTGTATCCCAAATAAGATGTTCAGATAAATCAAAGTGATACACATTATAATTGAATTGTCAGAAGTCAAAGACAAATAGGGAATTTTGAAAGCAGCAAGAGAAAAGTGACATCATGTACAAGGGAACCTCCATAAGGTAATTAATACATTTCTTAGCAGAAACTTTGCAGGCCGGAAGGACATGGGATAATATATTTAAAGTGCTGAAAACAAACCAACCAACCAACAAACAAACTGCCAACCAAGAATATCATTCCCAGTACAATTATCCTTCAAAACTGAAGGAGAGATACAGACTTTTATAGATAAACAAAAGCTGAGGTAGTTCATCATCGCTGGACCTGCCTTACAAAAAATGTTAAAGGAAGTTCTTTAAGTTGGAACAAAAGGATGTTAAACAGTAATATAAATGCATGTGAAAGTATAAAACTTGCTGGTAAATGTAAATATACTGATAAATATAGACTACTGTAATACTATAATGGTGGTAGGTAAATCACTCTTTTAATTCTACTATAAAATTTATTTATTTATTTATTTATTTATTTATTTATTTATTTATTTATTTATTTTTGAGACAGAGTTTCACTCTTGTCACCCAGGCTGGTATGCAGTGGTGTGATCTTGGCTCACTGCAACCTCCGCCTCCCGGGTTCAAGCGATTCTCCTGTCTCAGCCTCCTGAGTAGCTGGGATTATAGGTGCCTGCCACCACGCCCAGCTAATATTTATATTTTTAGTACAGACAGAGTTTCTCCATGTTGGCCAGGATGTTCTCGAACTCCTGACCTCAGGTGATCTGCCCTCCTCAGCCTCCAAAAGTGCTGGGATTATAGGTGTGAGCCACCACACTTGGCCCTCTACTATAAAATTTAAAAGATAAAAGTATTAAAAATAACTATAACTATAAAAATAGGTTAATGCATATGCAATATAACAAGATGTAAATAATGACATCAATACATAAAAGATGTGTGTGGGAGAAGCAAAAGAGTAGTTTTTGTATGCAGTGAAAGTTATCAGCTGAAAACAGACAGTTATAAGTTGTTTCATATAAGCCCTATGATGATCACAAAAAAATACCTATAGAAGATACACAAAAGAAAAAGAAAAAAGAATAAAAACATATCGATACAAAAATCCATGCAACACAAAGGAAGACAGCAAGATAGGAAAAGAGAGACAAAAGAACTCTGAGAAAGACAAAAGAATTAACAAAATGGCAATATTAGTCTTTCCCTATCAATAATTTATTGAAATGTAAATGAATTAAACTCTCCAATCAAAAGACATGGAGTAGCTGAATGGATTTTCAAAAAACCAACAAGTACTATCTACATACTATCTAGAAGAGACTGACTTTAGATTTAAAGACAATGTATAGGCTGAAAGTGAAGGAATGGGAAAAAAAATATTCCGTACAAATGGTAACCAAAAGACAGCAGGATGGCTGTACTTATATATCAGACAAAATAGTCTTTAAGTCAAAAATTGTCACAAAAGGCAAAGAAGAACATTATATAATAATGAAAAAATTCACCAGGAAGATATAACAATTGCACACATATATGAACCCAACATCAGAGCACCTAATATATATATAACAAACATTGACAGAACCAAAGGGAGAAATGGACAATGCAATAATAGAAGAATTCAGTAACTCACTTTTGATAATGAATAGAACATTCAGATAGAAAATCAACAAGGAAACAACAGATTTGAGCAATACTATAGAACAAATGGACCTAACAAATAACACGTTCTATCCAATGGTAGCAGAATGCATATTCTCCAGTGCATGCGGAACATTGTCCAGGATAGATCATATGTTGGGTCACAAAACAAGTCTTAACGAATTTAAGAGGATTGAAATCATACTAAGTATCTTTTCCTACCACAATGGAATGAAACTAGAAAACTAGAACGGAAATAAGAAAAAAACTGAAAAATACACAAATATGTAGAAATTAAAAAACATTTAAATAATCAATGGGTCAAAGAAGAAATCAAAAAGGAAATTAGAAAATATCTTGAGACAAATGAAAATGAGAACACAACGTATCAAAATTTATGGGATGCAGCAAAAGCAGTACTAAGAGGAAAGTTTTATATATGTATATACATAAACCTATATCTAAACATACACACACGCCTACCATGTACCTACAAAAATTAAAAAATTAAAAAAGATAAAGAACAAACTAAGCTCAAAGTTAGCAGCAGGAAGGATATAATAACACTTTTTGCTCTAAATTTTATTATGATACTTACGATAAAACTTAGAGCAGAAATAAATAAAAATAGAGACTAGAAAAACAATAGCAAAAAATCAATGAAACAGAGTTTTTTTGAAAGACACAGAAAATTTACAAACCTCTAGATAGACTAAGAAAAAAAGAGGAAACACTCAAATAAATAAAATCGAAGATGTGCTTTTCTGCTCCTCTCATGCTGCTTTTGAAATTCAGATGCAGCCTTCTTTAAATGATTTGTATTGTGTTCCACAAATAATCTTTTGGGACTTCTTTCTGAAACATGACTTTGTTTCCCTGCGGAACAAAGGCAAGGTAGAGTGACAGGGAAAAGAAGTGAGGTAGGGAAGGCTATTCTGTGAAGAGTGATTATTGGGCAATAGAGAGGCTCCCTAGGTTATGCAAGAGTCAAAGGGTAACTGGATCCCAGAGGTGATAGAAGCACACTTATCAGAGACAGTGTCTACTTGTAGGGACAACAGAGTAAATCTGCATTCTCATGGGCACTGTGGCTTGTCCTGGAAGCATCTCAGGCTGGCATAGTCATACCTCTAGGAGAGTTAATACTCTAGAAAGAGGAACAAGTCTAGAAATAAGATGATAGAAATTTCCAGAGAATTTGAGAAAAAGCCACCATGGATACAAAGATACCTCTGAGCACCCTTGCTCCAATTTTCGTTTCTTGGTGAGTCTGCAGTATTATGCTTCATATTCATGCTTCAGTGCTGCCATCTGAACTCTCACTGCTCCAGACTGTTTCCAGCATATTTTTTCTTCTAGATATTTCTACTCTTGCTCATCTTTAGAGAGGCTGTTGCTTTAGTACAAGTTGGCAAATTTTTTAATTTTAGGGCTTTGTGGACACTATAGTCTCTGTCACAACTACACAACTCTGCCACTGTAGCACAAAAGCAGCCATATACAATAGCTAAACAAATGGGCATGGCTGTGTTCCATTAAAACTTTATTTACTGCCGGACGCATTGGCTCACGCCTGTAATCCCAGCACTTTGGGAGGCCGAGGCGGGCGGATCACGAGTTCAGGAGTTCAAGAGCAGCCTGGCCAACATGGTGAAACCCCATTTCTGCTAAAAACACAAAAATTAGCCGGGTGTGGTGGCGGGCACCTGTAATCCCAGCTACTCGGGGGGCTGAGGCAGATAATTGCTTGAACCCGGGAGGTGGAGGTTGCAGTGAGCCGAGATCGTGCCACTGCACTCCAGCCTGGGCGACAGAGTGAGACTCTGTCTCAAAAAAAAAAAAACAGAAAACAAACAAACAAAAACTTTATTTACAAAAATTCAGCAGGGTAAACTTGACGTGTGGGCTGCCATTTGCAGATGCCCTCTTTTAGGTATACTCCCATCCATTCCATTGGTTTCCATTTTACTTTCTCATTTCTCAACCATGAACATGCCATTGTTTTCAGTTGCTCCATGTGTTGGCAAGTTCCCTAAACCCCAACGAATAGTAAGGCTCAGGATCATTTCGGCGAATACAGGTTGAGTTTCTGCTATAAAAACAAATTGAATGCTGAAACATGGATGAATGTGGGAGGAAAGAGCTACTTGGAAGAGTAACTCTCAAAGCTCTCTCTCAGAGCTCTCTCTCTGGGGAGAAAGAACAGTGGCGGAAACTCCTGGGTGAGGAATCCCTGATTCCCAAACAACTCCACCCCATGTCCCTGGCTGTCCTCCCCTCTGAGTAATGCAGACAGCCTTTTGGGGCTGTGATGATTCTATCTCCTATGAAGCCATCTGATGAAACTCTGATTTCACCAACCACTAGCACCCAGGAAGAGCCTGGTGTGACATAAGCTGAATGGAATAATTTTATGGGTTGAGGGGGGACTCTTTAGAAGCATCTAACTAGCATATTTTGGAGAAAAATTAGCTGAAGCATTAGGAAAGGAAACTATGCTGTATGCCAAGCCCCCACCCACAATTAATGGTATAAAAGGACTGCAGAGGAAGGAGAGACTCAAACCTGCCCACATCCACCTCCAGCAGCTTACCTGCTTTTCCATTACCTGTTCCAGCACCATGTCTTACAGTTGTTGCCTGCCCAGCCTGGGCTGCCGCACCAGCTGCTCCTCCCGGCCCTGCGTGCCCCCCAGCTGCCACGGCTACACCCTGCCTGGGGCCTGCAACATCCCCGCCAATGTGAGCAACTGCAACTGGTTCTGTGAGGGCTCCTTCAATGGCAGCGAGAAGGAGACTATGCAGTTCCTGAACGACCGCCTGGCCAGCTACCTGGAGAAGGTGCGTCAGCTGGAGCGGGACAACGCGGAGCTGGAGAAACTCATCCAGGAGCGGTCCCAGCAGCAGGAGCCCTTGCTGTGCCCCAGCTACCAGTCCTACTTCAAGACCATTGAGGAGCTCCAGCAGAAGGTGAGGGGGTTGGCCATATGGGGGGCCAGCAGCAGCTGGCTCTCTTTGAACAGTAAGACATTTTCAAGTTCAAGTGTACCTCATGAGAGAAATTTCTTTTCAGATTCTGTGTGCCAAGGCTGAGAATGCCAGGCTGGTGGTGAACATTGACAATGCCAAGCTGGCCTCTGACGACTTCAGAAGCAAGTATGTTGAACTTCAAGGTCCCTATGGTTCTTTCATGGCCCTAGGGACCTACTATTGCCTGGAAGAGAGGAGAAAGCCATTTCTCTCTATTTCTCCTCCTAGGGCTGGTTATGTAAAATTAGTTTCAAATAGGGAACTAGACTCATGTGCTGCCTGCTCTTTGGTCTATACTGGTTTTTTTTGGAAGTGTTTCTTAAACCACAAAATTCAGAGATTGAAATGAATTGTTCTTTGGGAATTGATTTGGTGGTATATTAGCTAACAAAACCGAGAACACAGTGAGAGACTTCATCTCATGTGTGCCTGTGGGCTCCTCGTGGTGTTAGGTGAGTCAGGGAACCTCTTCAGCCTATCCATGGACAGCTTGACTGAAGCATATGGAAGAGAAGAGGCAGAAAACTGTAAGTTCAAGAAGATTCAGGCCAATTCTACCCAAACAACACATGAGAGGGGAAGGTGGTTTTCTTTCCTGACTTATCCTCCCACTCCGACACGTGCAGGTACCAGACGGAGCAGTCCCTGAGGCTGTTGGTGGAGTCGGACATCAACAGCATACGCAGGATCCTGGATGAGCTGACCCTCTGCAAGTCTGACCTGGAGTCCCAGGTGGAGTCCCTGAGGGAGGAGCTGATCTGCTTGAAGAAGAACCATGAGGAGGTATGAAACAAATTCACAAAAGCAGGCCTCAGAACTAAGCTACTAGCACTGGGAATCAGGAGAGGATTACTGTCTGGATCCCTGGTCTGGGACCCTTCTCTGAGGAACTCAAGATGTTCTCAGAGAGTGACGGTGCTACATCCATATCAAGGAGTGGAGTGAGCTGCTCATTCTTCAGCGGCTGGGTGAGGGTTAGGCAGGTGTTGGAATTACTGAGGAGGGACATCATTCATTGAGCCCTGCTCTCTGCTGATCACTGCTAGGTCCTGAATTTGGTGGTGGAGATGGAGGGACAAAAAAGAAATAAGACATGGCCCTTTTCTTAAAAGAGCTCACAGTCTAGTATAGAAAGACAGTCATATAAACACAGTGATATAAACAAGACAGAGTGAAACAAGTACCATATGAGATGTACAAGCAGTATGCTCTAGAAATAATCCAGGCTGCCCAAGAGGAGATAGGGAACTCTTCTCAGATGCAAAGAGGAGGATTCCAGTACTTGGGTGTTTCAGTCTGAGGGAAGAGGTTGAACAAAGACACAGAAGTGGCAGGGCAGGGTGTATCTGGGTATGGCTGGGCATGCAGTACCTCCAAGGGATGAAAGTGAAGATGTGATGGGAAGCGAGGAAGGACTTGCATATGCCAAGGAGTTTAGACTTAGTCTTGTAGAAGGTGTGAGGTTGTTTCCGTTTCTATGGGACAACAATTGACGTGATCCCTGTTGGAGTTTATTGCTATAAAATGTGTGTGTCACTCTTTGGGAATGATCAGAATCTTCCTTTTAGTGCTTTTTTTTTTTTGACGGAGTCATGCTCTGTCACCAGGCTGGAGTGCAGTGGCGTGATCTAGGCTCACTGTAACATCCGACTCCCTGGTTCAAGTGATTCACTTGCCTCAGCCTCCTGAGTAGCTGGGATTACAGGCACATGCCACCACGCCCAGCTAATTTTTGTATTGTTAGTAGAGATGGGGTTTCACCATGTTGGCTAGGATGGTTTCGATCTCCTGACTTCGTGATCCACCTGCCTCTGCCTCCCAAAGTGCTGGGATTACAGGCTTGAGCCACTGTGCCCGGCCCCTTTTAGTGCTTTCTGGGCAGCATCAAGCTCATTTTCCCAGAGCAGGAAGATGGCACATCTTCCATGGGACAGCAATTGATGTGATCCCTGTTGGAGTTTATTGCTATAAAATGTGTGTGTCACTCTTTGGGAATGATCAGAATATTCCTTTTAGTGCTTTTTGGGCAGTATTGTGCTCATTTCCCTGGAGCAGGAAAATGGCAGATCCATTGCCGTAGGTTCATTGTTTCCCTTTTCTCCAACAGGAGGTTAACACCCTGCGCTCCCAGCTTGGAGACCGCCTCAACGTGGAGGTGGACACTGCCCCCACTGTGGACCTGAACCAGGTCCTGAACGAGACCAGGAGTCAGTATGAGGCTCTGGTGGAAATTAACCGCAGGGAAGTGGAGCAATGGTTCGCCACGCAGGTGGGCATCTAAGCACATGGCCACTCAGGACCCGAGGTGCCCCAGGGCCCTGGAGACAGGGTCTGATCCTTTCCCCACTTGGGTGTTTCAGACCGAGGAGCTGAACAAGCAGGTGGTATCCAGCTCAGAGCAGCTGCAGTCCTGCCAGGCGGAGATCATCGAGCTGAGACGCACAGTCAACGCCCTGGAGATCGAGCTGCAGGCCCAGCACAACCTGGTGTGTATTGTTCAGACCTGCTGGTGAGCGATGGGAACTTGGGAGGCAGAGTCCCGGGGATGTGCTTGGGGCCACACACTCTCCTTAGCTCTTGGAGCTTGTGACTTCCTTGTAATCCTGTGAAGAAACCCTTTGAAGGAGCAGCTCTCTGACATTCCTGATCTTCCCCACCACAGCGAGACTCTCTGGAAAACACGCTGACGGAGAGCGAGGCCCACTACAGCTCCCAGCTGTCCCAGGTGCAGAGCCTGATCACCAACGTGGAGTCTCAGCTGGCAGAGATCCGCTGTGACCTGGAGCGGCAGAACCAGGAGTACCAGGTGCTGCTGGACGTGCGTGCCCGGCTGGAGTGTGAGATCAACACGTACCGGAGCCTCCTGGAGAGTGAGGACTGCAAGTGAGTATGGGGCAAATAATGTCTGGGAAGAATGTGTACAGTGGGATATTGTAGGCACACAAATGGTGGCCATGTTTTCAACTAGTCAGGCAACACACATTAACTGTGTAGCATGTGTCCAGTGATCTGTGATAGCTAAGCAAAGGGAGGCCAAAGGTAAGGGAACAGCCCCTATCTCAGGGGGCTAACAATGGAGGAGTGGTGGCAGGAGCTGGCCAGTTGTAGGAATAACATTTGTGTAAGGCACATTAAGTTCCAGGAGACCTCAAGAGTATGAGATAATATTTTTGAAAAGCACAATTTTTCCACCTCTGCACATGGCATTCTGGGAGAGAGAGAAGGGTTTGGTAGTAATCAGAACTTGATTCTGGCTGGGTGCAATGGCTCATGCCTATAATCCACTTTGGGAGGTTGAGGTGGGTGGATCACTTGAGGTCAGGAGTTCAAGACCAGCCTGGCCAACATGGTGAAACCCCATCGCTACCAAAAATACAAAAAATTAGCCAGGCATGGTGACGCATGCCTGTGATCCTAACTACTTGGGAGGCTGAGGCAGGAGAATCGCTTGAACCTGGGAGGCATAGTGAGCCTTGGCTCCCACTTGCAGTGAGCCAAGATCGCACCACTGCACTCCAGCCTAGGCAACAGAGCAAGACCCTGTCTCAAAAACAAAACAAAACAAAACAAAAAGAACTTGATTCCAACTAACTCCAGCCACTGAGAATTCATAGGTTGTGTCATTAAGCCCAAGGTATTGTGTGCATTAAAACCTCCTCCTAAAGCCATTCTAAACCTCCTTGTCCTCCTAGGCTCCCCTGCAACCCATGCGCCACCACCAATGCTAGTGGCAACTCCTGTGGACCCTGTGGCACCTCTCAAAAGGGTTGCTGTAATTGAAAAGCTTGTATCCTCTTTGAAGACATCTACAAAGCCATTTAGATCAACCACAGGAAGGATCCTCAAGTCCTGACTTTTCTGGAGCTCAGCTGACATCAAGAAACCTCATCTTGCCTCTATGTTATTTCTAGAATGCTGAAAAGCTTTCCTGACCCAAGCAAAGACACACATCATCAACTTCCAATGTCTGGACAACTCCTTCCTGTTGAGGGTCGAGCCTGTTTGTTTCTAAAGATGTTCAGCTCCCTGTAATCTGAGCTCCAGTTACTACTTAAGGTGTTTCCTGAACGTACTACTGCATTTCCTGTTTTCCTTTTTTCTTTGGCATTCTCTGGAATGCAAGGAGGAGACTTCATTTACTTCCCAATAAACTTCATTTCTCTGGCATAATAAATGTTTCTCATTCATATTCATGCATTGTAAATTACTCATCATGGCTGTTTCATAAAAATACCCCTTCATTAGGAGAATAAAATGAAGTAAATGACTGAGCCAAGCCTTTATGCTTCACCAGAAACACTGATGTAGACAGGGAAGGACGTCCTTCTGGGAGACTCCCACCCAGGGTAGGCCATGCAGGAAACCTGGCCTTCAATACCCATGCTTACCTTGCCTTGACTACAGGGCCCTTGGCAATTTTGCAAAGCCTCCCCAGACTTCACTGCTATCTCCAGCTCTCACCCTCATCAGAATAGAATGTTCTGCTTCCCTTTCTCCTAAACTGCCTGAAGAAACTACAGAAACTGCTTCTACAGAAACTGTTCAAAGAGCAGTGATTCTCTCCTCTCAACCTCTCTGCTGCTGCTGCCTTGCTGATATAGATACCTACTCCTCCCTTAAAATACACCTTCATTGATTTCCATAACCCTGCACACTCTGGGTCTTCTTGTAATATCTCTAATTACCTGTTCTCTGTTGTCTTGTTAGCTGTCTTCCCCTTTTTGTCCCAAATGAAGGAAACACCTATATTCTTAGCCCTCTGTCTTTCTCTTTCTACGTCCCTGTTCGTGTAGATCTAGCTCCTCTATGCTGATGACTGCCACATCTCCCTCTCATCTCAGCTCAGTTTCCAGGTTTTCTGTTGCGCATATGACAGCTTCACTTGGTATCAGGTCATTACATCATGTTTAATTGGACTAAAACGTATTTTTCCCAAACTGGTTCATCTTGCCGCCCACTTGTTATGCCTGACATGTTGTCCTCCAGATAGACCCTTTAAATGCAGTCCTTACCTTTCCCCTCTTCAAGTTTATTCTTTCCCCTAGATCTTTGGTCTTATCCATAATGTTCTTCCATAGCCTCTTTATCATTTCATTTTCTATAATTCCAAGAAAGGCCAATGTTCATTAAACATCTCCCCCAAAACATTAATCTTACCCCACACCCCACCCCACTTGCCTCATCCCTGAATTTTTAAAGCTTTCAATTTTATAGGCCAGTCTCAATTATCCATTTTATTTAATCCTATCTGATTGACACAACTGCAATCAATCATCTATAGTGTGTGCTGGGTACTGTGGGCGGTACTGAGAAACACAAATAAGTGAATCCCAGTCTCGGCCCACAGCATGTTTTACAGTTTAGAGTGGATGAGACAAAGCTACAGTCATCATAGACAAATATCAGTGTGGCTCAAGAAAGGTGCAGATAAAGAATTACGAATTTCAGATGTGTGAGAGAATGAAAAGAAGAGGCTCCAAGAAGGAGGGAGCACTCAATCAAAGCCTTGAAAACCCAAATGTTCTGTTGATATAAATTTTGTCTGCCTGTCTTGTTGACTGCAGGCCCTTCAGCAGAGGCAATATCATCACCTAATTAAAGACGATGTAAACCATGGAATACTGTAAGTGGAATAAATAAGGAAGAGTAACACTAATGAAAATTCATGAGAAGGTTATTAAAACTTTATATACTTCCCATAGTTTCAACTTCAATCAATGATTACTGTATGATATTAGCATAATTCTGAAATAAAGTTTGCTGGGAAATGTCTGGTCAGGTGAGTGTGTTTAGGCCATAGAAGAGGGAAAGTTTTGGCCAGGTGCAGTGGCTCACGCCTGTAATCCCAGCACTTTGGGAGGCTGAGGCAGGTGGATCACGAGGTCAGGAGATTGAGACCATCCTGGCTAACACGGTGAAACCCCATCTGTATTGAAAATACAAAAAAAAAAAAAAAAAAAAATTAGCCAGGCATGGTGGCACACACCTGTAGTCCCAGCTACTCAGGAGGCTGAGGCAGGGGAATAGCTTGAACCCAGGAGGCGGAGGTTGCAGTGAGCCAAGATCGTGCCACTGCACTCCAGCCTGGATGATAGAGTGAGACTCTGTCTCAAAAAAAAAAAAGAAGAGGGAAAGTTTTCCTGAGCATGAACTTTGCCTGGAGGAGTTATGAGGTGTGTTTAGAAATTGACAACCCAATCCCTAGCCTAGAACAGAGGGTAAGTGTGGTTATAGGAGATGAAACTGCAAGGTAGTTAGGTACGGCCATATTTGGAAGTGCTCCGAATGATTATACATGAGATTTTCTTGTAAGGGAGTTTGCCATATGATATATCTGGCAGCTGTGTACAGGTTGGGTTGTGAGGAGTCCTAGAAGCTGGATGAAATAGAAGGAAGATCAATTAAGAGGTGAGAGACAATAAGGACTGAGATAAGTGGAGGAGAGTGAGGCCAAAGAGGGGTAGGTTTTAGAGGCATGGCTTAAATATGGAAGCTGAGTAGAGATAGAGGAACAATGGAAAGAAAAGGAAGGAAACTAGTACTGATCACACACTGTATTAGGGTTATCCAGAGAAACAGAAACAGTAGGCTATGTATAGATACATAGAAAGAGATTTATTATAAGGAATTAGCTTATATGATTATGGAGGCTGAGAAGTTTCATAATCTGCTGTCTTCAAGGTGGAGGCCCAGGAAAGCCAGTGGTATAATTCCAATCCAAACCCAAAGGACTGAGAATCAGGAAGGCTGGTGGTGTAAGTCCTGGTTTGAGACTGAAGGCTCAAGAACTGGGAGCATTGATGTTAGAGGGCAGGAGAAGATGGATGTCCCAGCTCAACTCTATTCCCATTGGGAGTGCAGGACTGAGTGTAAGAGAAACAGTGATGGCTCTGGAGAGGGTTTGTGGAACTAGATCCCGAGTTCCGTTTTGAGGTGTCCGTGTCTGTCTTTGCTCAGCATAGCTTACTACTGACCTGGCCTATTCTCCAGACCCTCTCCTGCTTCTCCCTTACCGGTCAATGAGAGAAATAATTTGCCTTTCTTCTACTTTTTGGTTCTATTTGACTACCCACATTGGAGGACACCTGCCCACATTGGTGAGGGTGATCTTTACTCACTCTCCTGATTCAAATGCTGATCTCTTTTAGAAACACCTTTACACACATACCCAGAAATAATGTTTTACCAGCTATCTGGGCATCCCTTGGCCCAGTCAAGTTGATACATTAAATTAACCATCACAAACACCTACTATGGGTCTGAAGATTTTCAGCCTGAGAAAATGAAACAACAATGAGTTTCCATTGGAGAGACCTGGAGAAGAATAACTAGATTTGAGGGAGATGTCGGAGAGCTGGGTAAATAAAGATGATAATTAGAGCTATAGGAATTGTTAAGACTGTCCAATGGAGGCTAGCAGGGAATAGAAGAACCTTGAGGACCACTGATAGAAACCACAGACTTCAGCTGGGGCTCTCCAAAGTCCCTGATGTGAGGTTCAGCCTTGGTTTTGCCAGATCTTGAGGACAGAGATGACATCTGGTTGCAAGCAGTTTGAGAGGGAAGTGGAGAAGCACCTTAAAGGACACAGAAGTCAAAAGAAGTTGGAGCTCTAATGAAAGAGTTGTCAACAGCATCCAGGGCAAGGATGGTGAGAATCAGACAAATCTACTGGTTAAAGCAATGGGGAGACTCCTGGTGATTATAAAGAGAACAGAGTCTGTGGGAGGCTGAGGGAAGAAGCTGTATTTCCATGTTTTTTTCATGTCTGTCTCAAATCACCAACGTGATAGTGAGTGTAATGCAAAAGTTCAACACAACACATTTGTACTCAGCTGACTTTGCTTTATCTTCTGTGTACTGTCAAAAGGTTTTAGCATCTGCCCTCTCCCTTGATCTGCAGAGCAGGACACATATATAGGTTTTCATTCCATCTCTGAGTGGGCCCTGGATCCAGCTTTTTCAGGAAGACTAGCACCATTAAATTACATCGTCCTGGATTGTGTCATGCTCTTGTCTATTCTAGACTGAGTTGATAGTCTAGAGTAGTCAAAAACATAGCATAGATCTCGTGGGAGCTGAATGATGAGAACACGTGGACATATAGAGGGGAACAACACACACTGGAGCCTTCTGGAGGGTAGAGGGTGGGAGGAGGGAGAGGATCAGGAAAAATAACTAATGGGTACTAGGCTTAATACCTGGGTGATGAAATAATCTGTAAAACAAACTCCCATGACACAAGTTTATCTATGTAACAAACCTGCACTTGTATCCCTCAACTTAAAATAAAAGTTAAAAAAAAACACATAGCATAGATGAACTTTGTATTTTTCTGACTTGGCTTGGTCCCTGAAGACTCCAAGACTCCATTCCCATTGGGAGTCCAAGACTGAGTGTAAGAGAAACATGGTGGCTCTGGAGAGGATTTGTAGAACTACCTCCTGAGTTCCATTTTGAGGTGTTTGTATCTGTTTTTGCTCAGCGTAGCTTACTGCTGACCTGGCTCATTCTTCAGCCCCTCTCCTGCTTGTCCCTTATCAGAAGCCCCATTGAACAGGGCCAAACTTGTTGGCTTATTTCCTGAATTACCCCTTCAATTTCTCCTCTCAATGTCCTGAGGCTGGAGGATTGATAAATTGACAACAGTTGCCTTTATGGAACAGTTTGTGGAAGCCCTATCTTCTGCTCTTCTAGGAAGCTCTAACAGGCTGGCCCAAAACCATGGGCTGGGGTTGTTATTGGACAGTCTTTCTGCTTTTCTAATTCCCCTCTGGGATCCCTCTTTGGCAAAAAGTCCATCTTCTTGCTCTGTGTGCATGTAGTGATACTGCTCCTGGCCTCTCCTTCTCATTTGTACATATTAAAATATAATTAATTTTCAAGTAGCCCAATGTAACTTCGTATTTCTAAAAGAATAAATTTTACATTTCTCACGGTGACAATTTCAAGCACCAGAGCCTGGACATTGGAGAAGATGGCTTTGGGAAGAAGGAGGGAGGCCTCCTAATGCCTTTGAAGTCCCACAATGAGGAAGGTGGCCTCAGCAGAAGCCCCATCCTATGTCCACTCCGTGGTTAAGCATCGCTGGTGGGTTGGCATGTGATCTCTTCTATGGAAATAGCCCGGGCTTCCATAATAAATAGCATCCTTAAACCTCAACTGCAATTTGCTCACATCTTAAGACCAGAAGCCTCAACCATAGCATCTGCCGCTATTACATGGGCATGTATAAAACCTTTCGGTTTGTTAGGATTTGACTTACTTGTCATGTTTAATGAAGGGCCATTGAACAGAGACAATAGCATCACCCATGTAAAGATAAGAATTCACAGTACACAGCAAGTGGAGTAAGTAAAAAGCAATTGCCTTCCAGACTTTGTGAGAAGCTAATTGAAACTTGGCTCTTTTCTCCATAGACCCAAGTTCTTCCAACTATTAGTACATAATGGCCAAGTAGCTGTGCAGAAATTATAGTTACTTCTACTCAAGATGTGGGAATAGTTGTGTTTTCTAAACTCTGACCTCCACTTTTAAAGACACAAGGATACTTATCTCTGGATTATTCCACTGTGACTGAGGTAGAAGCTACAGCAATGGTTATAGGGATCCCTGTGGACATATTTACCAGTCTGTGACACACTATTCCTTCCCTTTTCTTTAAAAAGTGCCATTGTCAGATTTTTCCTTTTGAAGCTTGGGACGTAGAAGAAGGAGAGAAGAACACAAGGTAATTAGAGAAAAGCTAATGAATTCAGCTATTTGCTTTATGTTATTTGATCTCATCCAATAGGACTTTAATGGTTTGGTACTGATTTTAAACCAATATGCCCATGCCACATCTCACTGATAGTGGAATCATTTTAAAGGTAGAGATTCAGGCCGGGTGCAGTGGCTCACTCCTGTAATCCCAGCACTTTGGGAGGCTGAGGCGGGTGGATCACCTGAGGTCAGGAGATTGAGACCAGCCTGCCCAACATAGTGAAACCCTGTCTCTACTAAAAATACAAAAATTAGCCAGGCACATTACAGGTGGTGCACGCCTCTAATCCCAGCTACTAGGGAGGGTGAGACAGGAGAATAGCTTGAACCTGGGAGGCGGAGGTTGCAGTGAGCTGAGATTGCACCACTGCACTGTAGCCTGGGCAATAGAGCAATAGAGTGAGACTCTGTCTCCAAAAAAAAAAAAAAAAAAAAAAAATTAGAGATTCAGGCAGGAGGGGCAGAAAGTTGTGGATTGTGATTGTAGGGGAGGATATCAGTACCTTCAATGCATTCACCCTGGAAGACCACATGTTTGCCCCAAAGCTGCTGTCCTTTATAAAAGCATATTTGAAGCTTCTCCTTGGAAATGACTTCCAGAGTCACCCAAGAAAACACACATTATTATTTTGTAGTCACAACCTGTTTCTGACCCATTAAAGATGCTATGCAGCTTGGTTATTCACCCTATGCACTAGGTGTGGTTTCAAATGACTTCTGGCTGGTTCCAAAAATAAACACACCCATAGAAGATGAAGATTGGCCTTCAATGAGGATAACCAAAAGAATGTGTCCCAAGCTGTGAAGGCAAGTTTGAAGGAAGGGTGATCTGAGGAATGGCAGGTCACCTGTAGGAAAAGAATTCTTGTATGGCAAGACTTAATATGTAGCTTCCAAAAGGAACAACTTGGAGGAGTATCTTTCAGAATTTGAGCACTGATAGATTAAACATAAAATCCTCATATTTCATAGTTCCATCTGGAATGCATGAGAGTAGAGCATCTGCTTGCCAAAATGTGCCAATGGTCATAAAATGCCACTTCATGCACATGACATAGTGGTGGATTTTCAGGGTCATATCCTTTGGAGAGCTAGGCTTGGGTATTTCTCCCTCAGATCAACCAAGGGTTTCCTTTTTTTTTTTTTTTCAAGCTTCTAGTGGGTATGAGGCATTTTCACTTAGTAAACTTCCTTCCTTCAGCATAGAAGTGACTTTTGGTTCTTTAATAAGTAAAAAACAGGCTTGTTATTTTTTGGCCCATTCTAATTTAGGATATTGTCAGCACTGATTGAGCTCAATGGAGCTCAATCTGTATTTTTTGCATTATTGCATCTCAGTACTGAAAAGATTGGAAGAGAGAGACATGTAATATGACAGAGTGTGGACATTGGAATTAGAGAGATCTGTATTTGAACCCTGGCTCCATCATGTAGGAGCTCTGTGACCTTGGGAGACCTCTCAGAGGCTTAGGGTCCTTATCTACAAACCCTTGCAGCATTTTGAGAGGACTGAAGGAGCTGGTGCATATGAGGTGCCTGGCACTGTGCCTGGTGCACAGTGGAGGCTCAGCAAGCAGGACCCATCACCAATGACAGAGTCACGCTGTGCACAGGCATGGAGCACAGTGCTTCATGCAGAGTAGGTGCTCCCAAAATTTAGGTTTCTTAATGTTCTGTGAACACTGAATACTAGTAGAAACGGAGGTGGGTGGCTTCCTGCAGCCCCATAGGAAGAGGGTAGAGTTGCCTCCATCTGCCTGGATGGAACTGCAAATGGGCCTTGAACCAATGGCCTTGTAAGTCCTTTCTCATTTCAGCTTCCAGGATTCCCTATCACATAGTCTAGTTTCTAGACGGGTTTCCTTACATGGCTTTTCTCACAGAGTCTTAATTGAATATGAACTGGATGAGACACAAGCCTTTCCTCATTTAGGAGAAAGAGGCACATATGTGCCCCCTACTCTGGGGACAGGGCCCAGCTGTCACTCTAGCTCAATGTCCCATGGATAAGCACTGCTACAGGCAAGGTTGGTCACTTTGAAGCCAAACCATGAAGCTCTTACTTAACCAATCAGCATGTTTTGTGAGGAGTCCTGACTTAGCAAGAAGCCAGAGTAAAACATTTAATGAGGTATAGGACTCAGGTGAAGTGGCTAAATAACAAATGGAAAAATCAGCAAAGGAGGTAAAAAGGAGGAATACTTGACATGGTTGCCACACCCACTGCTAACAGAATATAAAGCCCTGGAAAGGACCAAGGCTTATCCCAGGGAAAAGGAATCAGGTTTTGAAACTGACTTCCAGAGCTCCACTGCCTCCCTGCACCATGCCCTACAACTTCTGCCTGCCCAGCCTGAGCTGCCGCACCAGCTGCTCCTCCCGGCCCTGTGTGCCCCCCAGCTGCCACGGCTACACCCTGCCCGGGGCCTGCAACATCCCTGCCAATGTGAGCAACTGCAACTGGTTCTGCGAGGGCTCCTTCAATGGCAGCGAGAAGGAGACTATGCAGTTCCTGAACGACCGCCTGGCCAGCTACCTGGAGAAGGTGCGTCAGCTGGAGCGGGACAACGCGGAGCTGGAGAACCTCATCCGGGAGCGGTCTCAGCAGCAGGAGCCCTTGCTGTGCCCCAGCTACCAGTCCTACTTCAAGACCATTGAGGAGCTCCAGCAGAAGGTGAGGAGGTGGGCACCACACTGCCAGCTTAATGAACTACTTATCTATATTTGACATACTAAACTGTGAATGGATCTAAGTCTGTTCACAGTAATGCTGAGAATGATAAAGACATAGATTCACTGGCTTAGGTATGACATCAAGTAGTCTTAGAAAATCTGTTGTAGAGCCACAAAGGAAGGATGCAGGCTGGTGTTAGAGTGAAGCATTAGACCAAAATCAGTCATAGCAATCTTATATGGCGTCTTACTCCAAACCAGAATATCTGATTTTTTGGTTTGATTATGATACCCTGGTTTTGTTTTCAGAGCATTACCGCATTTTCAAAAAGTATGCACCTGAATTATTTTCTATGCTAAGAATTTCCTAAGTAAATCTTCAAATATTTAAAGCCTTTCAAAGCTGTAGCAAAATATAGCATTTATGGCAACACAAGAGAGCTGTTGACTCCAGCAATATCTACAGACACATGGACCATCCTCTAGAGCAGCCATGTGTACAGATGACAATATGGGGCCATCTGTTCTGGAAGAGAAGTAGATATAAGTAAAGAGTCCACAGAGAATTGGGACTGAATACCTGGTGTAGGTTTGGGAGGGATCCCAGAAGAGGCAATGTCTGAGTGGGGTTTGAAGGATGAGTGGGAGTTTATATCCAATTGTACAAGCCCTTGATTCTGGGAGGGAATTGACTGCCCACTGTTCTGTAGATCTGGAAAATTAGATGCCAGAAAGGGGTTGTGCTATTTGAATATCATTCATTTATTTACCCAGAGTTGGAGAGTGTTAGGCACAGTGCTGGGGTGGGGGATAATGTACTGAGTAAGACAGTCTCCTTCCTTCAGGAGCTCACAGTCTAACAGGGGAGATAGATGTGGAAACAAAATGATCACACAAAGGTCATAAGAAGTGTTATTGATTAAGTATGTGGGTTACACAAGGGGTCTTGCTAGTGGGTGAGGGCATTCTGGGTACAGCAAGAAGCTTTTTGCAAAGGCATGAACAAGGGCAATATGAGGGGAGAGTGGAGAGAAGTTAGCAGGTGGAATGTGTTGGATAACCAAGTTGTTCTGGCTTGCCTGGGATTTTTCCCATTTTAGCATCCCAGAAACCCCTCAGTCCTAAGTTAACTGGGATGGTTGGTCACCCAACCGAAGGGTTGGATACCCAGTAACCTAATTATTGCAGGAAGCCAGAAGCAGATAAGAATAGAATTCATGATGAATTCACATTGGTTGTCCTGGTTTTGAAATGATCAGTTTTATGATCAAATCCTCCTTTTATCTCAGAGCTGAAAATCTGAAAGGACTCAAAGCTATTTGGGAGGAATGTGGCTGAAAGAAAATAGCATTTCACTTTAAGGCACAAGGCATTTCTTAGTATAACCCATTTCATGATTAATCCTATCCCCAGATCCTGTGCAGCAAGTCTGAGAATGCCAGGCTGGTGGTGCAGATCGACAATGCCAAGCTGGCTGCAGATGACTTCAGAACCAAGTAAGATTTTCCTAACCATCAGAGCAGTCTAGTAACGGACAGGCTGAATTACAAAGTGATGAGCTCCCTATCCTGGAATGTGGAAGCAGAAATTTCTATTGGGAGGATTCTTGCATTGGGTTAGGATTAGGTTAAATGTCAAAGCCTCTTCAATAGGTGCTCAGATTCTGTGTTTTAAGTTTTTTTTTTTAATTTTTTTATTTTGAGATGGAGTCTCCCTCTCTCATCCAGGCTGGAGTGCAGTGATGCAATCTTGGCTCACTGCAACCTCCGCCTCCCGGATTCAAGTGATTTTCCTGCCTCAGCCTTCCTCGTAGCTGGGATTACAGGCATGCGCCAGCAGGCCCAGCTAATTTTTATATTTTTAGTGGAGACCGGGTTTTACCATGTTGGTCAGGCTGGTCTTGAACTCCTGACCTCAAGTGATCCACCCGCCTCAGCCTCCCAAACTGCTGGGATTACAGGCGTGAGCCACTGTGCGCAGCCCTGTGCTTTAAGTTTGATTGTAAGACACCATCCATTCTTACTCCTTTTCAACCCAACGTCTGGAGTAAGTTTGAAAGTGATTTTCACATTGGTCTCTTTGTATACGTTAGTCACTGTCAACCCCCCAAAAAGAAGTTATTAAACCACAAAAACAGGAGGCAAAATCCATTGCCTTTCAGAGAATCAATCAATACTTTTAGGTATGACCATTATTACAATCATGAGAATCCTTTGCATTTTCCTGGGATCTTACATTTTACAACATAATTTTACATATATCATCTTCAGTCCAACCCTATAAGGTGTTAGTTTTGTCTTCATTTTACAGTTAAGGAAATCAAGCCTCAGAGAGATAAAGGTATCTATCTACAGTCATTTAATGAGAATACTGGCTCTAACTCTGAATTCAGTGTTTCTTCCACAACACTAGATTGCTTCTTGGCAAGGCTGGAAAGGATGACAGGACAACCTGGAGCAGGCTTATGAAGGGCACTGATTCACTTGAGATGGCAAAAGCAGCAGGGCTTAGTTGATAGTAACTTGTAAACGAGAGTCTTAGAACAAACTTAGTTTGTGTTAGACTAAACTATCCACAGGCATTCCACCAATACCTTTTCTGTGTGTCTCAGTGACAAAATAGGCCTTCTCACTCAGTACAGGAGTATTTTCTCCCTTAATTTTTTAAATTCAAAATATTTCAAAATATAATAAAATTGACTAAGTCAGCCAAGTAAAGGCCGGGAAACAAAGACTTTTTTTTTTTGGACCTCTTTTGACCTCTGGCTGTGTGTGCAGGTACCAGACGGAGCAGTCCCTGCGGCAGCTGGTGGAGTCCGACATCAACAGCCTGCGCAGGATTCTGGATGAGCTGACCCTGTGCAGGTCTGACCTGGAGGCCCAGATGGAGTCCCTGAAGGAGGAGCTGCTGTCCCTCAAGCAGAACCATGAGCAGGTAAGAGTCCCAGCCCCCAATATCCCAATACTGAGAGCTCTGTGATCCCCCTGAATAGGATAAGGTAGGATTTGATTTGCTAAGCACCCTAGGCCTAACAACATTTTGCTGGTTGCTCAAAACATACTTTGGGGCTTGTTGGGGAATGAGTGACAGCTTACCTTTTTTACATAAAGGAGTGTGGTAAGCTGACCTACTTCCCCTTGGGACCAGACATGTATGGCTGAAAGGTCACACAAATATCTTTAAACTACTGTCTACTGTTTGATGCTATCTATTAGCTTCTGAAGAGGTGCCAGGTAGGTTAATGACCAAGACTGGAAGGAGATAGAAAACATTCTTACACTCTGTTTCACCTAGATAACTAGAACTCAAGCTAGATAAATGGATAGATGGATGAATGGATGGATGGATGAACTGATGGATGGGAAAAACGGGAGAAATGAAATAACTCAAATAATGGTTGATTCAGATCTCATGGCTGAATGCAATACTACGAAATCAGATGCATGTCTCAAACATTAGACGTTTTCATGATGAAAACATGTGTCATACTCTAGTAGTATCCCATGAAATAAATAGGAGGAATGAAACCTGGTTTCTCTATATTTAAGTAGCAACAATTGTAAGCCAATTATCATGCCAGGCTTATCACTGAGCAAAGGGGAAATAAGAAAGAAATGATAGAATCTTGGACTGGGTAGAAATATTAGCAATCATTTAATGAAGCAGCCGTATCATACAGATGAGGGAAGGGATTCAGAGAAGAGGCCAGAATTTCCAGAGGTGACAGCTGGGCTTCAACTCATGTTTCCTAAGCTGCAATGCAATCCTCTTCCCATTATATTGAACTGCCTCAAAGAAGTTATTGAAAGACTTCTTTCTGTGGGTTTATTTCTTCCCTTTTCTCCATTAGGAAGTCAACACCTTGCGCTGCCAGCTTGGAGACCGCCTCAACGTGGAGGTGGACGCTGCTCCCGCTGTGGACCTGAACCAGGTCCTGAACGAGACCAGGAATCAGTATGAGGCCCTGGTGGAAACCAACCGCAGGGAAGTGGAGCAATGGTTCGCCACGCAGGTGGGCATCTAAGCACGTGGCCACTCAGGACCCGAGGCCCCCCAGGGCCCCGGAGGCAGGGTCTGATCCTTTCTCCCCTTGGGTGTTTCAGACCGAGGAGCTGAACAAGCAGGTGGTATCCAGCTCGGAGCAGCTGCAGTCCTACCAGGCGGAGATCATCGAGCTGAGACGCACAGTCAATGCCCTGGAGATCGAGCTGCAGGCCCAGCACAACCTGGTGTGTATTGTTCAGACCTGCTGGTGAGCGATGGGAACTTGGGAGGCAGAGTCTTGGGGATGCCCTTGGGGCCACACACTCTTCTTAGCTCTTGGAGCTTGTGAGTTTTTTCGAACCCCATGGAGGAACCCTATAAGGAGCAGCTCTCTGACATTCCTGATCTTTCCCACCACAGCGATACTCTCTGGAAAACACGCTGACAGAGAGCGAGGCCCGCTACAGCTCCCAGCTGTCCCAGGTGCAGAGCCTGATCACCAACGTGGAGTCCCAGCTGGCGGAGATCCGCAGTGACCTGGAGCGGCAGAACCAGGAGTATCAGGTGCTGCTGGACGTGCGGGCGCGGCTGGAGTGTGAGATCAACACATACCGGAGCCTGCTGGAGAGCGAGGACTGCAAGTGAGTACCTGGCGGACGGCACCCCTGCAAGGGACAGGCACTGTTCTACTGTAGGATAAAACAGAGACTTTGAAAATCAAGTTTCAGATGCCAATCTGTCTGTAGAGGCGAGAGTTTTATATTACAGCCGTGGGAAGTGTAGGATATTTGTTGCTAACATTATCTGGGCTAAAGATACTTTCTTTTACAAAAGATAGTCATGGGACTTGACTCCTTCCTCCAGTAGAGATTTTTTGGATGTTGATGGCCAAATAAATCTTTCTGTCTTCAGGACTGTCTTGTCACCACAAAAAGGAAAATGAAACTGTAACAATGATCACTTTTTCTGATTTAAACAGAACTTTCAAATCCACCGTTTCATTAATTCTTGTTAGAATCATCTGAGGCAGGCAGAGTGGGAATCATTATCACCTTCTTATAGATGAGCATTTGAGTGTCAATAGGGTTGATGATCAATAACTAACAGTACAGCAGTTGCCAGCGAACATAATATTTTTATGAACACAGTCTTGTGGAATTTTCATAATCCTGTGTGGTTGGTACTACCAGTCCTACCTTACAGGTGGGAAAGCTGAGGCTTAGAAGGAGGAAGTGACTTTCTTGTGTGTCTAGGGTCATACAAGGAAGGCTGGGATTCCACCTTACATGTTCTTTGCTCATTTCTGCCACTGTATCAGAACTCTGTAGAAGGAGTGATCCAAACAAGGCATGGCTTCCTAGGACATCAGAGAACGGGTTCTGCTTGTTTCTGTGTCTCTTTGGATTGAGTCTCCCTTGTTTGAATCACCCTTCTCATGCTGACAGTCTAATGCTTCTGCATCCCAGGCTGCCCTCCAACCCCTGCGCCACCACCAATGCATGTGAAAAGCCCATTGGATCCTGTGTCACCAATCCTTGTGGTCCTCGTTCCCGCTGTGGGCCTTGCAACACCTTTGGGTACTAGATACCCTGGGGCCAGCAGAAGTATAGCATGAAGACAGAACTACCATCGGTGGGCCAGTTCTGCCTCTCTGACAACCATCAGCCACCGGACCCCACCCCGAGGCATCACCACAAATCATGGTCTGGAAGGAGAACAAATGCCCAGCGTTTGGGTCTGACTCTGAGCCTAGGGCTACTTGATCCTCCTCACCCCAGGTCCCTCTCCTGTAGTCAGTCTGAGTTCTGATGGTCAGAGGTTGGAGCTGTGACAGTGGCATACGAGGTGTTTTGTTCTCTCTGCTGCTTCTACCTTTATTGCAGTTCCCCAAATCGCCTAATAAACTTTCCTCTTGCAAAGCAGACATGATTCTCATTTGTATTCATTCTTTTCAAAGTGTTGACTCTCTGTGTGCTTCTTATAAAGCCACTTGAAAGCAGAAGGAGGACTTTATAGGTTAATCATCTCCTAAAAGGTCTTCATCACCTTCATTAACATTCATTAAGCACAGTGAGTCCCAGCATCCACTTAGGCCAGCATAAAACAAGTAGGATCACTAGGACAAGAGGCCTCGTCTGAATATGATAAACATATTTCTCATGGGACCTTACTCAGTAAAATGCAACGGTGAGCATCTCTAGACAGTTCCACTCATTCTTTTAAGTCCCTAGCAGGGATGACAGAAGTTAATATTTATTGAACACCTACCAAATGCCAGGAATTGTGCTACTAATTTTTTCTCTTCCTCACAGTGAGGAAGAATCAATGGCAGGACTGAACCCAGAGTTCACTCTCTGCTTGTCAGTTACACATGAGGTGTGATTATGAGAGGACAAAATTGATTTCAAACAAGCACCCAGAGCTTATACATCCTCCTGGGGAGACACAATGCTGTTAGTGCTCAAAACATCTCTGAAACTCTCCTTTGTGAAATACTGAATAACTCAATACTAAAAAGCACCACCTTGCCATCTTCCATATTTGAGCAATACCCAACCTATTTTGAAAGTGTTTCTTTTCTCACTTGAATTGTTTAACCATGGGAACTACATATGAATTTCGGGACCCTCCCCCTCAAAGTTATTTAGAATCAAATTAGGATATTACAAGTCAGGTGTTTGCAAATGCTAACAGTGACCACGGTACTGGTGCCTGGCCCCTACTGGTGCCTGCTGATGTCTAACCAAGGTTAATGGCTCCCATCACTGTGCATGCTGTGGTTTGTGCCAAGGCCACTCCCTCAGTCTGCAGATTATTCCCAGATTAACCAATCTGCTAATTATGTCTTCTCTCCTTGAGATGAAGCTGATACTATCTCCCCTGCTGTGATGATGCCGGTTCCATCATCACATGTCAGTCTTAAATTCTTAAATTTTTTTTTTTTTTTTTTTTGGAGACAGAGTCTCACTCTGTCACCCCAGCTGGAGTGCAGCGGCATGATCACGGCTCACTGCAGCCTTGAACTTCCCAGGCTCAGGCTATCCTCCCACTTTAGCCTCTTGAGTACATGGGACTACAGGCATGCACCACCATGCATGGCCAATTTTTGTATTATTTGTAGAGAGGGGTTTCGCTGGGTTATCCATGCTGGTCTTGAACTCCTGGGCTGAAGTGATCTGCCTACTTCAGCCTCCCAAATTGCTGGGATTACAAGTGTGAGCCACTGCACCTGGCCAGTCTTAAATTCTTGTGCTCTCATATTCTAGTTCACTTAATATCTACTCCTTTGTTGTTGATGCTGCTGCAGCTTAGACAGGAGACCTTGGAAGACCGTCTGAGTGATACTCCATCCTCTGCTCAGAATGTCTTAGACCCAGTTTGTGGACTCTATTCTCTCTTTCCTCAGGGAGAGTTCATTCCCTGGAGCTACCTGCATGCCTCATGAAAACCGCCCTTGTTCAATTTATCCCGGCAGTTCTCCACACATGCTGGGATTACTGTCCACTGATAGTTACCTCTCAGCTACCTTCACCAGGAACAGTGCCTCCCAAATACCCAGTTGCATGCTTTGTGAGTGAGAGGTCAAAGTTCTCAACACAGTAAATACACTTTGTTTTTAGTGTTCAATTTATAAAATATTAAGCAAAACTTGTTTCTATGTTTGATGTTGTGTCAGCGGAAAACATGGGTCTAGGGAAAACAGTCCTTAGTTCTTATCTCTGCCATGGTGCTCTCCTTGGAGGATAAAAGAAAGGAGTGTCAGGGAGATCACTTTTTCTCAGGACAAAGCCAAATTGCTCTTCTGAAGTATCTGGGAAGGGTCAGTGTTACCACTGAGAAATAAAACTAAAATCCTAAGTCCCCCAGCTGACTGAACGGACTCTGTCTTGGCCAAGGGGACCGAAGAGAAACCTTAAAAACAGAGTCACATGTATGTTTATTGCAGCAATGTTCACAATAGCAAAGGCCTGGAATCAACCCAAATGCCCAATAATGATAGACTGGATAAAGAAAATGTGGCACATATATACCATGGAATACTATGCAGCCATAAAAAAGGTTGTGTTCATGTCCTTTGCAGGGACAAGGATGAAGCTGGAAACCATCATTCTCAGCAAACTAACACAGGAACAGAAAACCAAACACCGCATGTTCTCACTCATAAGTGGGAGTTGAACAATGAGAACACGTGGACACAGGGAGGGGATCATCACACACTGGGGCCTTTTGGGGGGTGGGGGGCTAGGGGAGGGATAGCATTAGGAGAAATACCTAATATAGATGATGGGCTGATGGGTGGAGCAAACCACCATGGCACATGTACACCTATGTAAAAAACCTGCACGTTCTGCACATATATTCCAGAACTTAAAGTATAATAAGAAAAAGAAAAAAGAAGGAAAGAAAGAAAAAAACAGAGTCCCTGACCATGACAGGATGGGAGGTCAGACATGCCTCAGTATGCCCCCTCCTTATTAACTTTTAACCAGAATTCTTTCCTAAGGAGTAAGCAGAAACCAGCTCTGGAAAATAAGAAACAGATGAATCATTCCTTTATCACCTTTAGCCCATCATCTGAAGCTGTGACTGGATTCCTTCCTCCCGCCTTTTGCAGTTTCAACACAGCAACCAACTGGCTGGCATTCCTTCCTGATAAGAGACCACCAACCATGGAGTGGTCTGGCCAGTCTACAGAGGATGTGCGGTGAGGGTTTTCACATCCTCTGCCTCACCTTTCAACATCAGAGGGCCAAAAACTCCATCCTTGGATCATGCTAATGCCACCATTTGTGAACATGCGACCCATGAAGAGGCATGAAGCTCAATTGCACATGCTTACATTTGTCTTTTCATAAATATTCATGACTCCTCCTGTAGCTTATTAAATAGTGCATTTGGCCACCTCACTCAGCATACATTCCTTTCTCACATTTCCCTCCCTCAAAATGCTTACTCTTGGCTTCTGCCAGAGGCTACGCTTCCCAGCTTGCAGGATGGTCAGCCTGGAGGCTGCAGCCTTTTATGAGAAATAAAGCTCTCCTTTCCAACTTTATTAATCTTGTGATTTTTCAGTTGGCACTACTTAGCTTACTGACTTGGCAAGATACGCTGGCTGTAAAATTCACCATGACATGATGACCTGCAATTGGCCATCTAGTGTGACAAGGCAATGTTGCCAATGAAATGTGGGTATAATCTAGCTTGTCTCACTTCATAATTTTAAAGTTTCTAGTGAAATTAAATATTTAAAAAATCTTTTTATTGGTCATTCATGTGTCTTCTCTATAAATCAATTCAATCCAATGTATAATCATTGAATGCTTACGATGGTGCCTGTTGGGCAGAGCACTGAACAAAACAAAGACCTGCTCTAAGAAGCCTACTTTCAAGTGGAAGAAGACAGACAATAAAAAGAGGCAAACAAGCATGACTGTGTCAAGCAATAAGTGCTGAGAGGAAATATAAAGCAAGGAAAGGGAATAGGAAGTGGAAACTTTTGGATAAGGTGGTGAGGGCACTCTATGTCTGATGAGGAGAAATAGGGTTTAATCTATTTACATGTAATTTTATTACTGACTTTTTGGACTTATTTTAAAAATCTTACTTTGTCCTTTCCATTAAGGATGATTTTTTTTTGTTGCTTATTGTTTCCTCAGTTCCTGACACCTGTGGATTGATCTTGTTTTCTTTGTTCCCCCTTTTAATATGTGTTCTTAATTTTTAAATGTGCACACTTGACTTAGCACTATCTAATTTAATCTCTTTCTTCTTGCATAAAAACAAGATCCATAGAAGATGTTTTTGTTTTTTGTTTTTAAGAGACAGGATCTAACTCTGTTACCCAGGCTGGAGTGCAGTGGTGTAATCATAGCCGATACAGTTTGGATGTTGTCCTTGCCCAAGTCTCATGTTGAATTGTAATTCCAAATGTTGGAGGTGGGGCCTGGTGGGAGGTGATTGAATCATGGGGGCAGTTTCTCATGAATGGTTTAATACCATCCCCCTTGGTACTGTTGTCACAACGGTGAGTGAGTTCTCACAAGATCTGGTTGTTTAAAGGTGTGTAGAACCTCCCCCACTCCCTTGCTTCTTCTCCCACCATGTGAGACACCTCGCTGCACCTTTGCCTTCCACCATGATTGGAAGCTACCTGAGGCTTCCCTAGAAGCAGAAGCCTCTATGCTTCCTATACAGCCTGCAGAACTGTGAGGTAATTAAACTTCTTTTCTTTGTAAATTACCTAGTCTCAGGTATTTCTTTATAGCTGTGTGAGAATGGATTAATACAATGGCCCACTGCAGCCTTAACCTCCCAGATCCTGAGGATCCTAACCTCAAGTGACCCTCCTGCCTCAGTCTCCGAAGTAGCTGGGACCACACATGCATGCCACCATGTCTGGCTAATTTTTTACTTTTTATTTTTGTAGAGACAAGGTCTCTCTATGTTGCTTAGGCTGGTCTTAAAATCCTGGGCTCAAGGGATTCTCTGTGTTGGCCTCCCAAAGTGTAGGGATTACAGGTGTGAGCCACTGTGCCCTGTCAGAAATTTTTGTTTATGTTCTTTACTTTACTTTTTTATCTTGGTTTATTTTATTATTTATTTATTTATTGACAGGATCTTGATCTGTTGCCCAGGCTGGAGTGCAGTGGCATGATCATAGCTCACTGCAGCTTCACCTTCCTTGTCTCAACCTATCTGCCTGTCACAGCCTCCTGAGTAATGGGACTACAGGCATATGCCACCATGTGTAGCTAATTAATTTTTTTTTTTGTAGAGACGAGGGTCTTTCTATGATGCCCAGGCTGGTCGTGAACTCCTGGGCTCAAGCGATTCTTTCACCTTGGCCTCTGAAAGTGCTAGGATTGTAGATGTGAGTCGCCATGTTCAATCTTACCTTATTTTTATGCTCCAAAATTTGGTCATTATTATTATTATTTAGAATTATCTACATGGTTACCAGTTTATTTGTTTGCAGTGTTTCTTGGACTTTATTCGTCCTTTCTGGTTTTAACTTTTTATTTTCTGAAATACATTCTTTGGTAGTTTTTATAGCATTTGCTATGGTTTGAATGACACCTCCAACCATTCACTACTACTTAAACCATTCACTACTACTTAATGGTCAAGTAGTGATTAGGCCATGAGAACCCTGCCTTCATCAATGGATTAATGTCATTTTATCATGGGAGGGGGGTAGTTATCATGAGAGTGGACTTGTTATAAAATGAGTTTGGCCTCCTTTTGCTCTCTGGCTGTCATGCTCTCTTGCATTTACACCTTCTACCATGGGACAATGCAGCATGAAGGCCCCCATCAGATACCAGCATCTTGATAGTGGCCTTCCCAGTCTCTAGAACTGGAGAAATAAATTTATTTTCTTTATAAATTATCCAGTGTGTGGAATTCTGCTGTAGCAACACACAGCAGACTAAGAATCTATAAGTGACAACTTCTCTGTTATTTTCTGAAAATGTCTTTTCTTAGTGGTCACTCTTACATGATGGTTTAGTTTGTATAAAATTCTAGGTTGGCAGCTATTTTCCTTCAGCGTGTTGGAAATATTATACCATTATCTTCTGGATTCTGTTGTTGATGCTGAAAAGCCTATTGCTAACCTGTATTTCCATTGTTGGTAATTCTTCTATTTTTTTCTCTCTTTGACTCTTTCTAAGATCATCTCTTTGTCTTTAGTGTTGTGCAGTTTCACTATGTTATTCTAGGGATGGCTTTGGTTTAGTTTTCCTACTTAGGACTTATGTGCTTCTTGATTGATTCATGTATTTCAATACCCGTGGAAAATTCTCAGCCATTACATTTTTTCAATATTACTTATATCTTATACTCCATTTTCTCCTTCTGAATTCCTTTTTTTAAAAAATAGCTTCACTGAAGTATAATGTATCATATATAATTCATATACTATAAAATTTACAGATCTAAAGTATAAAATCAAATGGTTTTTAGTATAATGAGAGTTATAACTACTACTACCATTTTAGAACATTTTATTACCTCTAATAGAAACCTTGTACCCATTAGTAGTCACTCTCTGTTCCCTGCAACCCTCCAGGCCCAGGAAATCATTGCTGTCTCTTTAGATTTGCCTGTTCTGGACATTTTATATAATGAAGTCATAGAATATGTGTTTTTTTGGCTAGCTTCATTTACATAGTATGTTTCAAGGTCCATCCATGTTGTAACATATAACAGGTATCATGGAGGAATAAGTGCATGATCCTAACCTAGGATCATGAAGATTTACTTCTACATTTTTTTCCTAAGTTTTCTAGTTTTAGCTGTTACATTTAGGCTGTGCTCCATTTTGAGTCATTTTTTTTGTCTGTGGTGTAAGAAAGGGGTCAAACATTTTATTCTTTTGCATGTGGATGTCTAGTTGTCCCAGCATTATTTACTGAAAAGATTATTTTTCCCCATTAATTATATTGGGACCTATGTTGAATATTAATGGACCATAAATGTGAGGGTTTATTTCTAGACTCTCAATTTTATTCTGTTGGTCTGTATGTCTATCTTTATGCCAATAGAATACTGTCTGTGTTACTGTAGCTTTGTAGTAAGTTTTGAAATCATGAAATGTTAATCCCCCTACTTTGTTCTTCTTTTTCAAGATCGTTTTGGCTATTCTGGTCTTATGCATTTCCACATGAATAAAAGGAACAACACGTCAAGTTCTATAAAACAGCTAGCTGGGATTTTGGTAGGTGTTGTTGAAAGTTTAGATCAACTTGGGTGATACTGCCATCTTAACTGTGGAGCCCAATGGAACATCTCTCCTGTAACACAGAGGTGTGCAGGAAAGAAGGACTGCACTCCTCAAGCCACCCTGCCTGAATCCTCCCTATGTAGAGGGAACTGGGGTTAGAAATGGGTGAGCTATGAAAAATGGGATCTGCTGATGTGTATTGGCTGCTGGGAGGATTGGGAACTGCCACTCAGCTGCCCAGCACATGGTGCTTCTGGAAGGCAGAGACATGAGAAATAATGGAGTCCCTCATTTAAACATCATAGCCCCCAGTGTTCTTATCAAGTTTCCATTTTTTGTGTGTGGTTGTTGAGTAAATGCTTCTCATTTGTTGTAAGCCCTTTAATCAATGCCTAGAGCCTTTGACTGATGTCTTTGTTAATTTTGAGTGGCTTAATAGATGTCTTTCTAGGGGAGAGACTTCCCCAAGCTCTTCATACCACCATTTCTGTGCTTCTTCAAACAGATTTTGGACCTTCACATTCTAGCTTGTCTGTCATCTCTTTCATATTTTCAATCTCTAAATATTTCTGTGTTATATTCTGGTAAATTTCCTTAGAGATCTTTTCCAGTTGACTTATTCTCTTTTCATCTTTGTCTAATTTAATGTTTAACCTATCAATCGAGTTTGAAAATTTGTTGTATTTTACTTTTGTAGAAAAGAAAGGCTCTTTTATTATTAATTTTTTTAGAATTGGCTTTAATAAATGCAATTCTAACAGAGATGACAATACTTTATTTGGCTTTGTAAGAAAGGGATATTTCAGCTATTAAAGCTAACAACAATTTGATACATAAAAAGTGATTGAATAAAGGGAATAATAAGGCAGAAATGCATATTTTATATCTTAACAGAAATGAATAAATGCAACATTCCATGTAAAAACTAACAAAATTACATCAATTCCCAGACAAAATCTATTAGGAGTCAACTTAATTTTATAAAAATGAATTTGTCATTTAATGAAAAAAGTAAAACAATTAAATTTATTGACTCCTAGAACTCTGTTAAAATATTTCTGTGAAGCTCTGTGGAACAATTATTAATAAAATTAAGCTGACAGAACAAATGCAACAATTAAACAATTGCTGTGACTTAATAGGAGAAGTATAAAATATCTAAAAATGTCCAATAGAATTATGAGAGCTAAAACTTTGTTTTTAATTAAAATTTCATTAGTTCAGTAGGAGATGAGTGAAAATTTAGCACCCTGAATAATATTATTGATATCAAAAGAAAATTTTGATTTTTTGAAGCCACAAAAGACCTAGTGATGAAATTTTACACTTAAAATTTGCACTTTAAATTATACTCTTCACTTTTAGAAGTTGTTTGACATTTTTTTTTTAAACATGCCTATACTTTTTGCATAGTGGCTACCATTTTCTTTTAGGGATTTGATTCCTTATTTTGTCGTATAAGCTCTTTAAACATAGTTATTTAATATACTTGGCTTTAACCTTCTGTTTCTTGTATCTTCTCCTCCTTGCTAATTGTGAGTTATTTCCTTGGGTGTTTTGTTAATTTATCAGCATGAAGGTTCTTGCATTGATTCAACCCCCAAACCTTAATGATAAATAGGTCACTAGTTTAACAATCTCAAAGGAGATTTTTACTATTTACTTTTTTTTTTTACTATTTTACTATTTACTATTATTTACTATTATAATTTTAAAATTAGAGCCCACTAAGAGATAGATAGTTCAGCTTTTTAAAGTTTTCCTTTAACAACAAGCATCCTTTATTTTTCTAGTTCACCTTTTTACTAAGGGTTTAGTGTTTAGAGAGACTTGCATCGTTCGGTGGTCTCCGCCTGAACTCTCTCATAAAGACTAAAAGCCTTATCCTATTTCTTTAGTCTAATTTATCCTCTTTCAGTTTAGACTCTTTCACAAGCTCTCTGCAAGTTTGGGCAAGTCACTTCCCCTTTTGGGTCAAAGTTATCCCATTTTTAAAATGAAAGAGTTGAGTGAAATGACCAGTTAGGTCCTTGGTAACTCCAGCATGCTAAGCCTGTAGGCTTTATCTGACTTAGATAGTATTTCCAGAAAAGAAATTTAATTATCCCTTATGTGTATGTGGGAAGTATAGTCTATGGATGCGGGTCAATATGAGGTGGTTCTAGCAGCCAATCTTGGACCATGGGCTAGCAGTCAATGGCAGAATGTTTCTCCAAGGGTTACTCCTCCTTGTCTTCTCCTTCACCCGAAGCTCAGACCTCATGCCAGTCAATTCATGAGCTATAGGTAGCTTGATTTCCCTTCATTCCTTCTTAGTAGCTCACCTTTGGAATGGACAAAGTCAGCAGATATCACAAGGGCATGAATGCCGATCACAACAAAGACTTTATTTCTAGAACAGGCTCAAGTGTAATGTAGTAATTATATTGGAACAGGAGCCTCCTAGGCTTTTTTTTTTTAATAACTCATTGTTCCTCTAGAAGATTTGCAAGAATTTCCTTCTGAAATTTTAAATGTAAATTTTATTTTGTTTATTGTGCAGAAGTAACATATATTTTCAAAGAATTTGGAGAGAAGAAAAAAAACATTCATAATCCTGTCATTTAATAGCATCCAGTGTCATTGTGGTGTGTTTTCTTTAATCTCTCAATTGTCCCCATTTTAATAATAGTTTAATTTTGTTGTGACTATCTTTTGTGTACCTTACTCTGGATAAGCATATTGCTGTCGAGTAGGGTCACCATTGTTTGACCAATTGTTCTAAGTTGCTCCAAACAGATGGGATATAATCTATATCTGATGGGATATAATTATGTTTAAATTACTCCAAATTGTTGGTATATAATTGTATCATCAACTTAGAAATAATTGAAATCAGAGAGTTAACAAGAAACTGTACTATTGCTGAATTCTATCTTTATTTACACATTGACTCATAATTCTTCTTCAACACAGCATATCTATGGTTAACAAGATGTTTTTCTCACTGCCCTTGATTTCTGTCCTTAGGTAATAACAGATCAGATTGTTTGTGAAATTCTTCAACATTTCAGTAGAATGGTGATTGGGCTGATAATGCAGTGGGAATCAGAAGATCTGGGTCCTAGCTAGATGATACTAAGCAAGGCATTTCTCCATTCTGAGCCTCAGTTTCCCCTTCGTAAAACGAACGGTTTGGATGAGTTGACCATTAGGATCCCCAATATCTTGTTCCAAGATTTTCCCTCTCTCTTTTAACCATTTTCATATTTAGGATCTATGTTAGGAGGTAAGAGGGAGGAAGAGAAGAGCCAAATGCAAAGCCATCTGGTTTTTGGTCTGTAGCTGTAGCTGGGAGGCTTGGAAGCTGCTTGGATTGGTAGCTGTAGCTGGGAGGCTTGGAATCTGTTGTCTGCTTTATCCTCTGCTAGCAAGGACATAGGAAGCCCCTCCTCTTTCTGGCCAATGTATGCCTCCTCAGGCCCATACTTGAATTTTTTCCTCATTGCCTCTTTAGGATATCAAATAAGGCTCATCTTACATCTTGTGACAAAACAGAAGTGGTGTCATATGCACGGTCAGTTCAGATTACTCATGCTTCTTGGATAATTGTTCCTAAATAATAAACTATTACGAATCATCAAGTTCAAACAAGTCTGGCATCTGCGTAAAGCCCACTCCAATTATTGTATAAAAGTCTGTATTGGTAAGATCAAAGCTCCAAGCTTAATAATCAGATATATAAATTTATTGCAGCAGAACTTCTCTAAGTAATGAACATCTCAATTCTGTGTGTTTGAAGTCTTGGTTTACCGAAGTTCACTGTGGGCATTACTTTAAGAATGTGCACAGGCGCTGCGTACAGCAGGCATACCTGTGTGACCCTGGAAAGGTCCTGGTAAATTTCTGGTCAAGGCAGCCAATACCCTCTCCATGGTCCTGATCATGTGCGGCCCCTTTGCTGCACTTGGCACTTCTAACATCACCTCCTCTTGGAAGCACCCTCCTTCCTGCCCTTCTGGGATGCCATGAACTTGTTTTTATCATTTTTTTCTCACCATTTCTCCATTTATCACAGATTCTTTTTCCTTCTCCTGATCTCTGATTGGGAAATTCTCCAAAGTTTGGTCCTCAGCTCCTTGTTGCTCTTCTCTTTGTACTCTCCCTTGGCCCAGTTCTCTAACTCTCTCACTTGTACTAAACCTTATCTGTATCATCATCCCTGCCATAAATTCTAGTCTTGCATGGACTGTTGCAATAGTCTCTTTGCTGAACTCTTTGCCTCCAATCTTTCCTTCATTTTTCAAAAACAGATAAATATTTGCTAAAACATTTCCTAAAACACCTTTTGTCACACCACACTTAGGTTCAAAAGCTTATACTGGCTCTACAGCTTCTGGGGAAGTCCAAGCTGCTCCACTTCACCATCGAGACCCCCTACCATAGGGTCCCCATACAATCCCCCATAAAGCTTTAATTTCTAGCACTTCCCTTCACAACTCTCCCCTTCCTGCTGCCTAGACTTACCCTGGTCCTTCAACCATGCCTTGGGCTTTCCCACCCCATTCCTGTGTGCACATTATTCTCCTCACCTGCACTTCCTACTTTTCTCCCCTCTGCTTCTTAGAAGCCTCCCTATCCCAGCACAAATCCATTCATCCATTCCTAAGAGCCTCCAATCCTGGAGCTGCTCGCCCTCCCCAGTGTGTAAACCACTCAGTTATCACTTGTCAACTTCTGCCTCAGATTATTATTTCCTGTTCATCCCTTCATCACTCTACCCACACCCATTCAACAGTGCCTACCAGGTGCCTAGAGCTGGGGATTCAAAGACAAACTAGACCCTGCCCTTGCCTTCAGGGACCTCAAATAGAGACAGAGAGACAAGCACATAAGTCATGACAGTGTCATGCTCAAGGTAAAAAGAGAGCTTGGAGAGGAGAAAGGGACGGCCTGTCTGAAGAAGGGAAGGAAGTAAGCCATTTATATTTAAGCCAAGTGTTGTGATGAAAAGAAAAGTGATCTGCTTTGGAATCCTAGGTCCACAACTTATTATCCTCACCCTCTATGCCTTGGTGTTCTCATCTATAAAATGGGAATTATACAGTTTACCTTTAAGAGTTCTGGTGAGGAATAATGGACATCTAAGTTCTGCATGTTTGAGGATCATGTTTGTAAAAAGGATCTAGTTTGTGAAAAGTGTCCACACTACCTTGGGCTTGTGCAGTTTCTTAACAAGTAAGAACTTCTTCTGACCATAGCATTGAGTCCTATTTTCCACCCCTCCCAGTGTCTATTACATCGCCCTGGATGAAATTGTCATAGTGGATATCTATTATTTGGTTGATTGACGTCATCATGGACATGAAAAAAGCCCATCATATCAGGAAACATGGCCATCAGGAACTGTCCCAGAAAGGATCTATTCCTCTTTCTGAGAACCATGAATTTGGAATTTGGCACTTGGAAATGTGACCTAGCAAAAGACACAGGGCAAGAGCTATGCTTTTCCATTTCACCAAGGAGAGCCAGAGCTTGCCAAAGAGTTAGGGGCCTCAAGCCACAAAGCAGAACAGCAATACTGTCTCTTGACCTGCTGCACCCCACTGAAGAAGGCCAGGGCTTTCATGAGTCCAGGTCTTTGAAGTCACACCATGAAGCTCTTACATCATGACACACAGCATGGAAGAGGAGTCCCGACTTAGCGAGAAGCCCAAGTAAAGTATTTTATGAGGGGAGAGACTCTTCTGAAGAAACACAACAAATGGAGGGAAGGGCTTTTGACAATCACCAAATGAGCAAAAAAAAAAAAAAAAAAAAGGGGTTGTCTTACGTGTCCACACCCTCCATGGACGAGGTATAAATGCTCCCTGGAGGAAGGAGACCCACCGCTCTACAACCTGGAGATTTTGGACTCTGTCTTCAGCTGGACACTCCCTCCCTGCACCATGTCTTACAGTTGTGGCCTGCCCAGCCTGAGCTGCCGCACCAGCTGCTCCTCCCGGCCCTGTGTGCCCCCCAGCTGCCACGGCTGCACCCTGCCCGGGGCCTGCAACATCCCCGCCAATGTGAGCAACTGCAACTGGTTCTGTGAGGGCTCCTTCAATGGCAGTGAGAAGGAGACCATGCAGTTCCTGAACGACCGCCTGGCCAGCTACCTGGAGAAGGTGCGTCAGCTGGAGCGGGACAACGCGGAGCTGGAGAACCTCATCCGGGAGCGGTCACAGCAGCAGGAGCCCTTGGTGTGTGCCAGCTACCAGTCCTACTTCAAGACCATTGAGGAGCTCCAGCAGAAGGTGAGGAGTGGGCGACACAGTGCCTCCAGTAGGAAGTTGTCGGGAGAGAATCCGAGTTGTGATTGAGAAACAACGTAAGCTCTTGATGTGAATGAAAAGCTGAAAACTGGCCTTTCCATTTTGTTTTTTGAGGGCCCATCTAATACTAGACTTGGGACTGTTAGGTCTAAATATTTGCATAGTGTTAGTCTATGTGGAGGTAGCAGCACTTTGCATAAATGAGCTGTAATTAAAAACTACCTCTGAATGCTTCCATGCACCTGCCAAGCTCCAGAATTATTACCCTGAGGTGAGAGAAAAGGACTGAGTCCAAAGGAAGCTGGGGAAACGGAATCTTTTGTAAAGACTGGGCCATTTTCTTTCTCCCTCATCTGAGCTTTTTGCCCCTTGGACTGCTGGCTGCCTCTCTCTTCTAGGTTCCTACTTATCCTGATTTCATTGTCCTCACCTTCATGCCTCTGGGCTTCTCCTGGTGCACAGTGTCCAGTGAGAGCCTAAAATGTTTGGCCCAAATTGGGAAGATTGGAAATTACCTAGGACAAAGTAGTCCCAGTTGTCTGGGACATCTGGGAACATGTGGCTTCTTCCCTGATCCAGTCCCCTGCAATTGCTAGTTTACCTATTTGTCTTTTCTGCTTGATTGAAAGTTTCTTGAGGGCAGGATCAAGTGCTTACCAATTTTTGTATCCTCAGCTCCTAGTATCATGCCAGAAACATAGTAGGTGTTTTTCATAAATGTCAACTATTATGATCAGCTTCTCAGTATTGCTCATTAGGATAGAAAAAAGATTATCTACTTATACTTTTTGCATATTTTGGTGTTCTTTTTTTGAATATAATTTTGGAAATATTCATTGAGTACCTGCTGTATATAGAAAGCATTTAATAAGATAGACATCCTGATCCTTCCAAGGAAGTGAATTAGGAAGGACTGCCATTGGTGAAAAATTACCAAGTCCTTGCTCATTCTTGAATGTTTTGGGCCTTCTAGATCCTGTGCAGCAAGTCTGAGAATGCCAGGCTTGTGGTGCAGATCGACAATGCCAAGCTGGCCTCAGATGACTTCAGGACCAAGTGAGTGGGCAAGCGGGGTGTTGCTGTTTATTTCTCTTCTCTGGCAGCCCTCCTTTCCTTTAGCCTGTTGTCAACACAAGTTAAACAAACAGTGACTGAGCTATGTTCTAGCTGCTTTCTCCAAGATTCACAGAGCCACCACACACCGTAGCTCAGAGATCCTTTCCCCAGGCCTTAGACTTCCTTTCCTCCTTCTTCTCCTCTGTGACGTGACACCCCTAGTCGTACTGTGAGTTAGTGTAGACGTGTTGGCCCCCGATGTTCTCCTATGCACAGAACCCATTCATGAGAATGGAGAATGTGGAAGCATATTATTTTGGAAGTCTTACAGTTTGTCAGCTTTTATCCTAAATCCACTGGCTTTCTTCTTTTTTTTAGAGACAGGGCCTTGCTCTGTCACCCAGGCTGGAGGGCAGTGGTGCAATCATAGCTCAGTGTAACTTCAGATCCTCAGACTCCTGGGCTCAAGCAACCCTCTCCCCTTAGCCTCCTGAATAGCTAGGAATATAGAAGTCTATCCACTGGATCTTTAAACGTAAAATTACCAGTGCATTTTCTTCCAGCTCGATGCTGAAAACCTAAACAAAAGAGATGGCTATAAAAACTACAAACCCTAATTCCTAGTTGCCTGACTAACCAAACCAAAGCAGAGTCAAGGCCAGGCCTATTCCTGCCCAGCCTGTTCCTGACCCTCCTGTGATCACAGATATGAGACCGAGCTGTCCCTGCGGCAGCTGGTGGAGTCGGACATCAATGGCCTGCGCAGGATCCTGGATGAGCTGACCCTGTGCAGGTCTGACCTGGAGGCCCAGGTGGAGTCCCTGAAGGAGGAGCTGCTGTGCCTCAAGCAGAACCATGAGCAGGTGAGTTCCCTGAAGAGTGATGGGCTCAGACTAGCCAGGACCTGTTTCACAACTGCCACAGGGTCCAGGACAGGCTGTCAGTAGAGGCTCAATTAGCTGAGGAAGTAATTCTGCATACAAAAAGGGATATGTAGAGAATGACTAATCTAAAAACCTGTGATATGAGATTAGGATTTTTCTGCCAGAGGCAGGAATGAGAGTGAGGAAGTTGGCAAGCCCAGTAGTGAGGAAAGCTGGGTAATGAGGCAGAAGCCACAGCCTCTCCTGTGCCCAGGTTAGAGTGCATGCAGCAGCAATCTTCTATTCCAATTCTCCATTTGTAGCTGGAGAAGCCAGGATGGCCTAGGCCCATCAGGCAGAGAGGGCTGAGCTAGAACAAAATGCAATTCTCTTCGTTCCTGTCCAGAGCTCTTTCTGCTTGCTGTTCAGTGTTGCTTGGAAACAGCCTTGAGCAAAATGCTCACCATTATGGCTAAGTCAGTTGGGCAAAAAAGAAGACGTGTATTTTATGCAACCTGAAATCCAAGAACAATGTAAATGGTGACAGTTAATATTAATCAAGTGCTTAGTATGTGCCAAACATTGTGCTAAGTGCTTTAACTCCGGAGGCAGTTCTCATGTTAAGATGAAGAAATCGAGGCTTCAAGAAGCTTCTAGAAGCAATGTATTAAGTGGTAGAGATGAGGTTGAATACAAATTTGTCTGAAATCCGCCTAAGCCCAAGTACCAAGCTATGCTTAGCAGGGAAGTAAACAGATACTTATTGCCTTCAGCAAAATCTATGCTGGTGGAATCAACAAATCACCCTTTAAGTCTCTTCTATGCCAGGATGGCAGATTTTGAAGTAAGCATTCTGTATTTCCTCTTTAGCTAGACTCTGTTCTTTTTATTATCCATGCTTAAGAGTCAAACATGTGAGGCTATATGGTATACTAGCAAAAACACTGAACTGGGCATTTGGGGACCAGAGTTTAAATAATGGCCCACCATGTATCAGCTTTGAGCCCAAATCACTGAATCTCTCTAAATGAGGAGTGATACATTTAATACAAAGAGCAGAGGGAAGTCATGGGCTTGAAAGTAGTTTGTAAAAAGTGGAGTATACAAATTAGTCATTGAATATAGATCCTGGTTAGTGACAGGATCAGAGGGAACAAAGTTTCTTGAAAGCTTAAGAATGATCAGAAGTTGAATTGCATTCTCTTAAGGAGAGCACCAAGATCCTTTGTGAAATTTAAAATTTTGCCCTTTCTCCATCAGGAGGTTAACACCCTGCGCTGCCAGCTTGGAGACCGCCTCAACGTGGAGGTGGACGCTGCTCCCACTGTGGACCTGAACCAGGTCCTGAATGAGACCAGGAGTCAGTATGAGGCCCTGGTGGAAACCAACCGCAGGGAAGTGGAGCAATGGTTCGCCACGCAGGTGGGCATCTAAGCACGTGGCCACTCAGGACCCGAGGCCCCCCAGGGCCCCGGAGGCAGGGTCTGATCCTTTCTCCCCTTGGGTGTTTCAGACCGAGGAGCTGAACAAGCAGGTGGTATCCAGCTCGGAGCAGCTGCAGTCCTACCAGGCGGAGATCATCGAGCTGAGACGCACGGTCAATGCCCTGGAGATCGAGCTGCAGGCCCAGCACAACCTGGTGTGTATTGTTCAGACCTGCTGGTGAGCGATGGGAACTTGGGAGGCAGAGTCTTGGGGATGCCCTTGGGGCCACACACTCTCCTTAGCTCTTGGAGCTTGTGAGTTCTTTGGAACCCCATGGAGGAACCTTATAAGGAGCAGCTCTCTGACACTCTCAATCTTCCCCACCACAGCGAGACTCTCTGGAAAACACGCTGACAGAGAGCGAGGCCCGCTACAGCTCCCAGCTGTCCCAGGTGCAGAGACTGATCACCAACGTGGAGTCCCAGCTGGCGGAGATCCGCAGTGACCTGGAGCGGCAGAACCAGGAGTATCAGGTGCTGCTGGACGTGCGGGCGCGGCTGGAGTGTGAGATCAACACGTACCGGAGCCTGCTGGAGAGCGAGGACTGCAAGTCAGTATGGGGGTAGTAATCTTCTCCTTGGGGCATGTTAGGTTGCTGTGGAGATGAATAGTCTTCTTGATGGAAATGAATTTATAATTTCAAGCTTTTGTTTGGAGGAAGTCCAAGGAGGAACAATATTCTTACACAAAGCCCTTTTAGTATTTTCCAATCTCTTCAGCTCATTTTACTCTAACTTGCTCCAATGATTTTCTGCCCACAGGCTCCCCTCCAACCCCTGCGCCACAACCAATGCATGTGACAAGTCCACTGGGCCCTGTATCTCTAATCCCTGTGGCCTACGTGCTCGGTGTGGGCCTTGCAACACATTTGGGTACTAGAGGCCCCACAACCAGGAGGAGAAGAAAGGCATCAGTCACACCTCAACTCTACTTCATCCCAACATCTCCAACAGTGACCACACTTTGGAAAGAGGCAGAAACCTTTCTATCAACCCTGGCTTCCAGGGGTCAGCTCTAGCCTTCCACTGTATTCCCTGGCTTGATTCTTCAGCATAAGGCTGCAAAATCTGTCTTCTGAGTCACATAGAGAGACCTACAGCAGGATCAAGATCAAGCAATATCTATCACCATAAAGACACATTTGCATAACATGTTATACTTGAATAAAACTTAAATAATACAATTTAGAGAAAATTCCATTAAATGTGATAGAGCTGATGGGCATGCTATGAAACAGAACATAATTGGAGCAAATCTTCCTTGTCACTCTTGGTCTTTGGAGATGCAATAGAAATCCTTTGTTAACCTCCTAATAAACTGTTATTCAAAAGTTATAATTGTCTGTTTCACTCATTAATTCCAAAATTGGCTGTCTTGTATAAATTAAAAAAATAACCAGAGTTTTTCCATCAGATGAAGAGGTTATTCACCCCATATATGGCCTATGATTTCCTTCAATGGAAAAGCCTCCATGAAAGACTATTAACCCGGATTTAGTGTTTGGGAAGAAGGTGGTGGGAAACAGAATGGCAAATTCATATGAAGGTGTCTTTAGAGACACAGGAACTATTTATTCTGAAACATTAAGTGGAGGGATCCGAAAACCTTTTGAGTAAAAAAAAAACCTGTACTGAGGTAATATAAATCTATCACCTTAACATATGGTATATAATCTCATATACACATATACATAACCACATACCATATAAGCATATGTACACCACACACACATGCACACACACAACCATGCTGTGCTGAAATGTTTAGGTAGAAAGTAGGAAGGAGCAGCAAAGGGTAGAGGGATATAGTGGCCAGGAGGAGTGTGGGATCTGCTAGGCTGGATGGTGGGGAGGTGCCTTTGGTTCACCTTCCTCTCTTTGTTCCTGCCTCGGCACTCAAGGACTCCTTGTGACTTTCTGTAGTTCTATGATGTGGGCCTGGAACTCTATGCTGGAGTTCTCTGCTCAGTTGCCTGGGGTCTGCGTCAGATGATGGAGAACTGTGAGTGGGTTATTTGGCGGAAAAGTCTCTTTTGTCCTAGTGAGCCTTGAGCTTTGGCCCCACCTGTTTTTATTTATATGCAGTTGGGACCATCATTATGTCACATTACTGCCTTCAGTGGCATCCAGATTTGGCAATGTTTAAAAAAACAAAAACAGCAATCAAGTAAGGAAACCCAAGGCCCAGCCCACAAATGAGATTGAGTCTCATTTTTCACTTCTCTACTCCTACTTTTCTAAATCAATGATTGAAATGAAGAGATATTGAGAATGGGAACTCTTAATAGAGATTAGAATATCATCAACCTATGAGAACAGGTAGGGAGGGGCAGGAGGTAGAGTGGGGGTTGGAAATTCTCTCCAAAACTTGCAGACCATATATTTAGGTGTGGTAGAGATGTCCAGGGAAAAATACCCAAAACCTTCCATTCAGGGCTGTGGATACCAGAGGACAGCTAAGGAGACCAGCCCTCAACAGTTGCTCGTGGCCACCTTCTTCCCTTAGGTGCGGACCAGTCCTCTCTTTTGCGTTAGGGCTAACATAGAGAGAATGCTGAGTCTCAAAGATTGGTCACTCGCTACTCCATTTGTCTTCAGCAGCACAGTCCTATAGAATGGAGAACAGATGTTCCTGAGGATCTGAGAGTCTGGGCTCCTTTTTAGTGGAAGATCATGTATATAAAACATTTCTTTATTTGAGTTTGGAAGAGAAGAATCAGTAGAAAAGGTCTTTATAAACTTTAAAAATAACCTGGATAGGATACAGATTTCAATTAAATCAATGTAGAAAGTCACCTCATCATTAATCATGAATGTCTGCTGCTTGCTTGGAAGGAGGAGATAAATAATGGGTTCAGAATCCTTTCTTTCTCTCTTGTATATTTCAGCAACAATGCAGAGGCAGGAAAAAAAAAGCAAGAATTCTTAAAGGCGAGGTTCTGTTATTCAACCCTGGGCTTTCCCAGGTGCAAACTTAATTTCTCCTTTCTGCAGGTTCCCAGGTCTGCAGTCGCTGAGGTCATCAGCTCCTCGAGCCAGGCCTTCTCAGAAAACAGTGCTCTGAGGGGAGAGGCCCATAGCAAGGAAGCAAGGAAACAAGACCCTGGGAAATGTCTCCTAATCCCTGCCCCACCCTTCCCTGTGAAATAAACCATGATGGCGCTGGGCTATGAGTCTTACCCACTAGGAGATGGTGTGGGATGCTGTGATGAGAAGAAGAATTATGGCTTGTTTTGGAGGCAACATTTTTTGGTCCTGGTTTTGGATATATTGTTGACTCCCCTGACCATCAGAGTCCTCCTTTTGAGAGACCTGGCCTGGCAGCATTGTGGGGTTGTGAAGATCCCCTGTGTATGGAAGTGCTTTATAAATGGTGCAGCATGGTACCTATGTAAGACTCAGTATTCTTGTTGTTGACACTTTGACCTTGAATACGAATTCCTGGGCTCTTGGGATCTAAGTTTGATATTGTCTAGTCCCAGTAAAACATTCTACTCAGCCTCCTAACAGCCTGTTTGCTCCTATTTTTGACAGATGTGAACCGAGCTCCTATTGTCTCAGTTTGGAGAGCTTGCCTGAGAGGTGACATTTGCATTGAGACCTGAAAACAGAGAAGAAACAGAGCAGAGGGAAAGAGCTTTCCAGAGAGAGGGACAGAAAGTCAAGGAAGGGAGGGAGTAAGGCAGTTGCCTTTGAAGAAGGGAGCAAGGCCAGGGCATCGGGAGTGATGAGTAGGGGAGGAACAATCAGCCTGTATGTGTGGGCAGTGGCCAGGGTACATGGGGGCTCGCCAGTTCTGTGGAGGATCCGATTTCATTTCAAGGGAAGAGGAAAGCCTTGGGAGAGTTAAAAGGATGAATTTGATTGACACTTTTATTAAAAGGAGTGCATTGGCAGCTGAATGGAAAATAGGTTTACTGAACACTAACATTTAAAGTTTCAGGGTAGTGGATGACAATTACAAGTCAGGTATGTCTTCTTTTATGTTTCAAAGAAGAATCACTGACATCTAACAACAACTGCTCACATTTCTCATCAAAAACAGGAGAGTCTGGCAGCAGGCACCAAAAGTCCCAAGAATGGCTCCAACTATAAAAGGATATGAGGATGACATGATCTGTCCCTTGTTATTGCAAAATGCACACTGACAACTTGATGAAGTTATGTGCCAGGCAGGTGGGCCCCGGCCCCACCAGGCTCCTCGCTGAGCCTGCTGCAGGTGTGCAGAGGTAGCTTTCCCTCACTCTCACTTTTTTTTTTTAAACTTGTAGGGACAAGCACAGGACTGAAATGTAAAGTGTAGGGGGAGCCCTTGAAACTATTGCTATGGAATAAAAGATGAAATGCTCCTGATTATTGTAAATACAAAGTTGCATGCAGGATTGTGTAAAGACAATGCCAGGCTGGACTACCAGAATAAGCCAACAGCGTGTGATGTGCTTCCCCCTGCAGAGTCTATGAACGGAAGGGCAGGCAGGGATGTTTCACATCACCAAGATTCCTATCCCAGAAAAGCAGATGTTCATAGCTCTGAGAACGGAATGCGACCCTTGAGGAGAGCCTATAAACGGACGCATGAGGGGTGCATGTTCATATGGATAAGATAGGGCTATAAATGCCCTCATCTTGCCACAGCTCTTCTAGGCCTCTTTAGGGTTAAGGCATTCTCCCTTCTGAGAATTTCTGGTCTAACCTGTTGTCTAGCTTCACGTCCTGTTTCTATGGATTGTTTGTAACCAGCTTTTGCTGCAACTGTTACTGCTGATTAATATCTTGCTAATCACAGGTTATGGAAACACTGTGTTTCTGTTTTAAGGCTCTGTTAGAAATTACTGATGCACATACTATATTGTAAATTCTTATCTCTGTATATTGTACTTCTGCATACAGATGTTATGTTAAAGAATTGCTTCATCCCCATGTGACCATCTCACCTCATAATCAAATGACCCGAAATCCCTCACTAACCTACCCCCACCCTCACTAAACTTAATAACAAATGCTATATTTATATCCAGTGCATTGGTGGCATCGCAGGACCAGAAGGCGGTGACCCCCCGGACCCAGCTTTCACTATCTTGTGTGTGTCTATTCTTTCTCAACCTGCCAATCCTCCTGGGAACAAAGAGCCCCATTGCATTGCAGATTGCTGGCCAGATCCTGCAATAGTAAAGCCTAGGGAGGATTTACAGCCTCCCCAGTCAAAGATGTATTTACAAAAAATTCAAACACTTGCTCAGCTGCGGCCTGGATGTGATGGCATCTACACAAGATGACTTCCTGCAGCGGCACAAATGAAGCTGTGGGGGATCCCGACGAGCTAAAGCTTGGGTGTGGCACATGGGAGTGAATGTGTTTAAAGTTTTAAAAGTGGTTAAAAGGTGAAAAAAGAAAGGCTAGAAACCAAACCTCAGAAAAATCATGCATTTGAAAGTGACTGCTTTAGTTTTCAATCTGGTTTCAGTCTTGTAACCTCTATCTGTATCTCAGCCTGCATTGTGTTACTATGCTTTTTAAGCCACGGTTTCTTAAACTGAAAATGGGAGACTAATAACCACCTCACTTTTTTTTAAATAAAGGTAGAATCAGATTATGTTGCAAAGATGCTCAACCCAACCAGATACATCATAAGTGTCCAGTAAATGGAGTTCCTATTCACTTCCTTAGCAGCCCTGCATTCTGACCCCTTTCCTATTGCTCATCACAGGGTCTCCACAGCCTTGAGAATAAAAGGTTTTGCTCATTTGAGTCCTTCAGTAACCAGGTGAGAATCTAGTTTCAGGTTCTCTCAAATTGAGGGTTGTAGAAGACAGGCCAGATGGGACAAGAAACTGAAGAATCTGAGCTCGAGGGCTGAGAATCAGAGAGAAATGAATTCAGATGTGCCTGCATGCATCTGTGTGGGTCTGTGCACCTATGCTTGTGTGTGTGAGTGCAGGTGTGTGTGCGTGCTGTGTTAGGAGGAAGATGGCTAATTATGATTATGAAACTGGTGGTATTTTTGCTGATTATAACAATCAGAATTTTCAAATGGAAAGATAAAAGTAAAGCACAGAGCTGGTGGTGTCAAAGTCATAGGAATTTTAGTCACTTTATGGGAACTGGTTTCCACTTATGCCTATTTTCTACACAGGAAACCAACAATTAAGTGTATCATTAAAGGCCTGGGTAAAATTTAACGTGTTTGTATTTCCTGTTAATAATTATTTCAGACCTGCACATGCTGACTTCATCTTGGTTGGTTGTGGAGGCTGACTGACTGCTGGCTGCTGTGAAACATGAGGGTTACCAAGACCCTGAGAGCAGAGGGTGTGTGGTCCATTGTCAAAGAGCCAGGGGGACACGTGGGAGGGTCACTGCGGGAAGTGACTGCAGGCCATGCATGGTAATGCACAGGTATGACCAGCACAGAGGGACATGCCTCTAAGAAGGGTGCACTCTGGGGGCAGGGAAAGGACATAGATGAGAGAGTTTGAATGCTTTCTTGGTAAGTGCTTAATTAGATTGGTTCCCCACGGCAGCATTTTATGAACTGAAGTGCATAGACACTTCAAGGGGCTATAAGAGGGAAAATATTCCATGGGTTAGAGATGGAGAGAGGAGCATCTAGAATTTTGCAACTGAGCTTTAGTGAGCTCTGTTTCACATTTGGATGTCAAGGATTTTAGAAAAGCAGATGTCTGCCTCACTGCTGTCTGTTTAACTGAAGGTTTACACTTGTGCTCTGAGATTGTTACTAAAACAGAAAGAGGAAGGAGAAGAAGAGGAGGACGAGGGGGAAGGAGAGAGAATGAGTGAGGAAGGAAGGAAGAAAGGCAGGGAGGAAGAAAGGAGGAGAAGAAGAAAAAAACAAAATGTCTATTGCAGTTGTCTTAGGCATTTAGTGAATTGTCAGTTTTTTTGCTTGGTCGTTTTTTGTGGCCCTGTTTCTGTCACTACCTTGCCTTTGTCTCCATTTCTAACCCCATGTTCACCCCTTGGATTTAATGGTAGATCCAGCTTTTCTGGTTCTGGCCTTGGGTGCCTCCAGGGCATTATTTGCCCCTATTCTCTCTAGCTTTTCCTAATTCTGGCCTTTGATGCCTCCTGATATATGCCCCCATTCTCTCTAGCTTTTTCTGCTCTTGGCCTCTCAGCCAGGTCTGCAATAACCCCTGTGCACCATTAATGGTTTAGAGAAAGGCTCTCTCTCTGGGTGGATGCAGCCTGTAGGTGCCTGATTTGGCAAGCAGCACATAAGCTCGTCTCCATCCCACCCTGCAGCTGGGTGCTCTTGTGCCTGGCACAGCTCATACCTGCATATTGCTGCCTTGGAACAACCCATGCAGCCAGCTCAAAACTTCATCCCTGGACTCCATCTGGCCATTGTCCCTGCTAGATTAGAGCTTGAGTCAGACAGTTTAAATAATTTTGAGGAATTCTCTCATTTTTTAAACTGATCCTTGTGGTACTTTTATGGCAGACGTAAAGTAGGCACACAATAAGTGCTCAACAAATAATTAATAATCTGCCTGCCTGAAATGCATAACCTATTTAGGGCAGATGAGGAAATGAGGCATAGAGGGGTTGCTTGAGCAATACTATGCAGCAAAAAATGTTTTTGTTTATCAACAGAAGACGCACTTAGGCAACTGAGAAGAGCAGGAAACATGTGGGTACATGATTGTCTTTTTTCTAATGAGAAGGGAGTAATTCTTCCTTTTCTCAAACTTGACGCTGTTCTTTGAAGGCAGTATGTTATTCTTAGATTAACAACCATGACACTCATAGGATTAGACGTGCAACTTCATGGTGAAAGAACTTTGGTGGCAAGAACAGGGGTACAGAATGCAACATTTGAACCAAGCCCAACAGTAAACAGAAACTAAGAACTAAAGTGGTTTGCCCACACAAAGATTGAATTTGTGCCAAGGGTTTTTCCAGTTCTCAGAGGTGCTTAAGTGTAAACCCAGAAAGTTACCTGACATGCTCACGTCCCTGTGTCTCCGTGATATGCTGAGACTGCAAAGTTTTGGTCTGGTCTGCTGCCCCTTTTTTCCATAGAGCTCTAGGCATCTCTTGCTAGACATAAAGCTCAGGGGCTGTTGAATCAAAGGTGGTCAAATGTAACAATGTGAGGCATCCATTCTAGAAAGTTTTGAATTCTAATTGAGAGAGTCAGGATGTTTCTAAACTTTTTCTTTTTCTTTTCCCTTTAGTGATCATTAGGTTAAGCTGTGACTGATCACAAGTAAAGACCTGGTGAAAAAGTGAACTTCTTGTTTGGACTAACAAGTTCTCTCAAATTCACACTAATTGTACATCCAATTAGAGGAGTTGATTGAAAAATACCAGTTCATGTTTATGTTTATATTTTTAAAGAACTTAGACTTGTAATACATTTATAAAACCATAAAATGCTAGAAGGACATACATATCAAATGTATAATTGTGTTTGTCTCTGAGAAGAAGAGATTGGAATAAGAATGGATATGGAAGTCAAAGAAGTTCTCAATGCTGTATTTCTTAATTTTAAACCCACTTAGAGCAAATATGAAAAAATATTAACAGCCACAGATTCTGGGTAGGAAAGCACAAGTTGTAAAATATATTTTCTCTGTTCTTTTTTTTTTTTGACTAGATGTTTGTTTTAAAGTATTTTATTGCTATTAAAAGAAAACAAAATACAAAAGAATTGGATGGAAAAGCAAAGGCTAATCTCTTTATTTCAGCCACTAATAATTGTGGTAATCCTGGGTGTTAATCCTTGAAGTCTTCATGGCATTGCTGTTTATCTGGTGGAAACTTATGACGCTTAGAATAGGCTGAGTAACCTGTAATATCTTGTGTTTGACCCAGGACACCACAGTCCCAGGCACAAAGTGGTTAATTTTTTTCTTTTTTCCCATTAATGATCATTAGGTTAAGCTGTGACTGATAACAAGTGAAGACCTAGTAAAATAGTGAACTTCTTTGGTTGGACCAACGAGTTCTATCAAACTCACACAAATTGTATATCCAATTAAAGAAGTTGATTGAAAAATGCCAGTTCATGTTTATGTTTGTATTTAAAAAAATCTTAGACTTGTATATACATTTAAAAAACCATAAAATGCTAGAAGGACATACATATGAAATGTATGCATTAATGTATATTAAATGTATGTCCTTCTGGCATTTTATGGTTTTGTAAATGTATACACAAATCTAAGTGATGGCAATGACATTTGTTCAGACCCCTCCAATAAGGTATTTGTATAAAGGTACTGTAATTTTCATACTTACTATGATAAGGATAAGGTTAAGCGAGTCAAAGGTCACTTTATAAAAAATCTAGCTGCTTTTTTACAATAATTTAAAGCTCTCCTGGAAACACTATACAAGGTTTAAACAATGAGTATTTAAACAATGAGCCCCTCTATGATGGACTGGGAAGCACCATGTGTCAAGAGGAGCATGGCAATGCTATTAACCATAGAAGCATCAATAAAATATGTGTATGTTGCCAATGAGGACCACATTTGGGTTGGTTCGTTTCTCTAAGATATCTGTCTAGCCGATTCATTGTCTCAGGACATTTTGTTGCCCAGGATGCAGTTTTCTCTTTCAAATACACATCCCTGATTTTTACTGAGAATATCTTCCAATGATATTTTCTTTGTCAGAAATTTTGCAAATAAAAGTAGAAAGAAAAAAGGGATTTGTGGAGAGAGAGTTCCAAGATGGCAGGTGATGGAGTTTATGGTGGCATATGTGCCCCAAACAAAACGCAGGCCTGGGAAGGGCCTGGACAGCTTTTCCTGGAAATAGGAGACTGGGAATGGGAGGGAGTGTGGATTCAACATGGACCATCTTTTCCAGTCCTTACACCACTCTGACGTTAGTAACTCTAAAGCATTGCATACGTTTGCCTTCAGGGCTAGCTGAGGGGGCTTCTTTCCTCTCTCCTTCAAGAAAGGAGAGAGGGAAGAGGGTCTCTTGCTTCTCTACTCCTAGCTTCTTGCTGATGGGAAACTTCAGAGTTTCCCATGAGAATCTAATGCCTTATGATCTGTCACTGTCTCCCATCACCCCCAGATGGGATCATGTAGTTGCAGGAAAACAAACTCAAGGCTCCCACTGATCCTACATTATGGTTAGTTGTGTAATTTTTTCATTGTATATTACAATATATTAATAGTAGAAATAAAGTGCACAATAAATGTAATGGGCTTGAATCAGCCCCAAATCATAACTTTCCCTCTCCTCGGCCCATGGGAAAGTTGTTTTCCATGAAACTGGTCTCTGGTACCAAAAAGGCTGGGGACCACTGGTGTAAATGCTTCTAAGAATAGATAAGCAACTTAAGGTTTACAGGGTACTAAAAATATGGGTTTAAATGCTAATAAAACTGGATGCACATGAAAACACTCTCTTGCTGTGGTCCAGTGAATCTTGACCATTCTATCACAGAGACTTGCAGCTTTGAGTTGGAGCTGCCCCCTGGACCTCCTGTCCACAGCACACCCCTGCAACACACACACACATGCACATACATACATGTGCACATACCTGCACACATACACACACATGCTGTGCTTCATGCCCTCACTAAGGTGGCATGGGAGGGAATGAGTGTTTTTAAGAGAAATGAAGACAACTCAGGCTTCTTGTTCTCCTGGTGTTTGCACAAGTGCCTTCTCTGCAGACCATGCTTCAATCTCTTTCTTGGCTTTCCCTGTTAGTGAAAGAGACAAGCAGAGCCCCAGCATGTATCTGACTGCTTAGGGTCCAACCCAAGCTCACAAGCTTCCTGGGGAGCCTAGTGAGATGAAGGCACTGCAGAGCCTCCCAAAAAGAGGCATCAGCTTTTGGTGGAGACTTGAGCCCGGGAAGGTGGGACATCATGGTTCATCAAAGACACAACCAAAATCCAGTGAGGAATGGCAGCCATCAAAAGTTTTATTCTTCAAGAGAAGGAGTTCTCAGGGGCTGTGGGCAGCAGGCACAGAGCTCTTTAGTGCATGTGTGGGCAGGTGATGGTGACCTACAGTTTGCACTGGGAACTAAGATCAAGAGTGACCTGACCTCTGCTCATGCGCATCTCTCCCTGTCTCTCTCTCTACCTTTTATGTCTCTCTCCTTATCTCTCTCCCCACACTCCCTCTCAGCCTCCTCTGTCTCTGTCTCTCTCCCCATCTCTCTTTCTCTCTCTCACTCCTTTCTTCCCATGTCTCTTTCTCTCTCCTTCTCCACTTCTCTCTCCCTCCTCCTCTCCCTCTCTGCCACTGTTCAGGCTCCTGCCCACCCCTCCCTGCTGTGCAGAGAGGCACACGCAGGACTCCTAGGCTACCTTCCAGGGCACACGCACAAGGCTGCCGGGACTTGGTCCCAGTACAGTGCCCCCACCTCCCAGTGCCCTCAAGGTCAGGGGTGTGGGGTGTGCTTGTGCTCTCTTGGGTGGGCACCCCACTCTCCAGGAAGCAGAAGCTGCAGGTCACTGCTGGCTTGAGTGGCACGCCTATTGGACTGCTGGCTTCCATCCTGTGATCTGCCGAGGCCAAAACAGAGGACACCTGCCAAGGCCCCACCCTGCTCCAGGGTTGGGGTAGAGGTAGGGGTAGTGGTGGGGATGAGAGCAGCCACTGCAATCTGGTCCCTGCCCAGCATCCTGCCCTGCACCCTGCCATGCAAGGCCTCCTCTGCCACCCTTTCCCTGCCCCTCACCATCTTCACCCCTAGAAAGCCCCAGGCACAGGCTCCAGAAATCTCCCTGGATCCAGGAACTAAGAGCAACCACTGGGCTCCACAGCCCCTAGGCCAGGTGTCAGCCACACCCACTGCATGCTGACAAATCTTGGCTCTCACTTATGCCCCCCCGCAAGCCAGCCACACTCTGCCCCCACTCCCCCCACTTCCTGACTTTAGCCCTGACTGACAGTGCTGCCTCCTGGTAACCTTTCCCCCTCCCCACAAGGTCCAGGCAAGCCCAAATGCCAGCACCCGCCACCCACCCTTCCTGGGTGCCCCTCTATTGTCTGCTTGCCTAGATGTCTTAACCTCATTTTACCAAGCTAGAACAAATAACAGGGATGAGCCCCCAGCCTCTCCCAGGAAGATTTGGCAAAATGCTCTCCTTTTAGAAGCAGGAGCAGTGACAGGACCTAGGGATGACCCGAGGCTTGTCACCCAAGCAACAAGAAGGGCAAGGAGCCCAGTTTTATGACCTCACCTTGGGAGGACATGGCCAGGGCTCCACAAGGCCCTGTGGGGGGCTGGCAGGAGAACAGATCCACTCTCCTTTTGAGGAAGCAGGCCCCAACCCTAGGAAGCAGCAGATGGGGGCACACAGGCAGAGCTTCCGCAAGCTGTAGATCAGGGTCAGCAGATCTGCATTCAGCTTTAGCCCCAGGGGAGCTGCAAGACGTGAGACACTGATAGGTTTGGCTCTGTGTCCCCACCCAAATCTCATTTTGAGCTGTAATCCCCATGTGTCAAGGGAGGAACCTCATGGGAGGTGATTGTATTATAGGGGGCTGGGTTCCCCCATGCTGTTCCCCTGATAGTGAGTGAGTTCTCAGGAGAGCAGATGGTTTTAAAGCATGGCACTTCCTCGTTTTCTCACTCCCTCCTGCTGCCTTGTGAAGAAGATGCCCGCTTCCCCTTCGCCTTCCACCATGATTGCAAGCTTTCTGAACTGTGAGTCAATTCAACCTCTTTCCTTGATAAATTACCCAGTCTCAGGTATTTCTTCATAGCAGTGTGAAAACAAAACAAACTAAGACAGACCCCTTCTCTGAGGTGCCTTCTTCTGAGGCCACCAGCTGCCCCCATGCTCCTCCTCTGCCCCCTGGTCTTTCTTTTCCCCTCATGAGGCCCAAGTGATCTGCATGGCCAGCCCCAGCCCCATCCTACTGCAGGCCTGTCTAGCTGGTGGAGAGGCCGACCTCCTTTCCTGACCCTCAGGCTGGCTGATATGCTCTCTGGATCCTGGAGGAAACTGATTGTCTCTCCTCATACTGGTAGCAACTTCTTCCAAGACCACAAAGCTGGAAAACTGGTCTTTTTGTTGTCTCCGCTTGCTAGGGCTGTAGTTGGGACAGTACTAGAGGTGGGCCAATGGATGAATGGATGGATGAGTGGGACAGTAGTCCAGGGAGGATGTCCCTGTCTGTCCAGTTTGCATCGGCTCCTGTGCAGTCACATAGCTCCCTGCTAGCTGAGTTGAAATTAAAACCCATTCAGTCTGGCTTCTATATGGCTCATGGGGCCTGTGGACTGGTCTCTCCTTTTCCCTCCAGACCCCATCCCCATTAAGTCCATGAGCAAATCATGTAGGTGACATCCTCACAATGATCCTGAGGTGACTCTACTCACCATCTGCCTTCTCCCACCTAGTTTGAGCACCCTTCATTACTTACCTGGACCAGCCAGCTGGCCCCCCTCTCCTCCCTGCTGGTGTGGTGTGGCCTGTTAACACCTGAGCCGCAGCTGAACCCACTTCTGGCTAGGACCCTCTGCTGGCTCCCTGGCTGCTCTGAGTGACAGCTAGAGCCTTGCAACAGCCTCAGCCATTGAACCTGGGACTTCTGTCCCTGAGCTCTCTGCTGCTTGCCTCTGCTCACACCAGGACAGATGCAGGCTTCCCCTCTGGGCCTCAGGCATGCCGGTCATGCTCCTGCCTCAGGGCCTTTGCATGAGCCATTCCCACTGCCTGGAATGCTCTCTGCCAAGATATCTGCTTGGGTGACCCACCACCTCCTGCAAACATTGCTCGAACCTTGCCTCGTCAATGAGGACTACAACCCCGGCCACGCATCTAGAAGGCATCCAGCACAGAGTATGTGCTCAATACACAGACAAAGCAGGACAATACATGAGACAACTGTCCCTCTCCCAGGCCCCTGGGAAATGCTGGGATGGGGAAGATATTCAGATGTCAAGAGGAATAGGGCCCAGTGTCTTGATTCTCATTCCAGTGCTCTTCCTGTTCACAGGAGTGGCAGGGCTGCACATTTGGAGCAAAACTGAGATGAGTTTCAAGGGCCGCTGAGCATCTTACCCACCCACAGCCTTTCCCAGTGTTCTGGGAGATAAACAGCTGTCTCCTATATTGTCCTGGATCCCTGGAGGATGGGCCAGGCTTGGAGGTGGAAGAAGAGCTCAGTGGGGAGGGGGCCGAGAAGGGGCTGCCCAGAGGTGACACATCTGGAGTCCCCAAATCTGCATCAGGGCAGATGAGTAGAGCTGCACTCTCCCAACCTGCTCATGTTGGCCTTTTGTGATCTTTCATTTTGCCCCATCCGCGTTGCCCTTAGGTATTCATTGCTACCTGTTATCACTGGAATAAAAATGGCCATGGGCATTCTGCCCTTCCTCCACCTCCCTCTTCTCCATCCCTTCTTTCTTCATCTGTGTATTGAGCACATACCCTGTGCTGGGCCCCTTCTAGATGCATGGCCAGGGTTGTCCTCATTGATGAAGCAAGGTTTGAGCAAGGTTTGTAGGAGGTGATGGGTCAGCCAAGCAGTTTTCTAGGCAGAGAGCATTCCAGGCAGCGGGAATGGCTTGTGCAAAGGCCCTGAGGCAGGAGCATGATTGGCATGCCTGAGGCCCAGAGGGGAAGCCTGCATCTGGCCTGGTGTGAGCTAGGGGAGAGCAGGAGATAGCTCAGGGAGAGAAGGCCCAGGTTCAATGACCTGAGGCCACTGCAAGGCTTCAGCTCTCCCTTGGAGCAGCTGGGGAGCCATTGAGCAGAGCAAGAGCCAAACTGAACGGGTTCCAATTTCAGCTTAGCTATCAGGGAGCTATGTGACTGCACCAGGTCCAGGCGGACCCACCTGTACATGAGTGACAGCACCCACAGGGTCCAGAGCTCACATGTCCATGGGTCCAGCTCAGTGCCTGGCATGCCGAGAATACTTGGGAAATGCCAACTAAGGACTCTCACCTCAGGAGGGTCTCTTCTCATTTCCAAAGCTGTCTCTTGCTTTGGAATGCACGCAGACACTGGGCAAGTATATATGGAGCTTTTAATCTCTGCCTGACACCAGAGACACATCCACAGACTGACCGAGTTTCCTGCCCTTGTGCTGCACTCCCCTTGAGGAGACAGACGACGGTGACATGCAAGGAGCTAAGATGTCAGGACACTGAGCTGTGAACGAGGCAAGCAGGGGCTGAGGGATGGAGGAGACAGGGTGGTGGCAGGTGGGGGTGGCCGGGATGGCTGGAGCCTGGGACCAAGGTAGGTTCCTGCACTGCTCTGCGTGGGGACCTAGCTGGGCTCTGAGTCATGAGGGCAGACAGTGGCCAGGGTGAGGCTGGCACTGTGCATCCCCTTCCCCACTGCTGAAGATGCCGCCTAGGGTGGGCTCACAGTCTTTGGGGAGTTAAGAACCATCCTGATCCTAGAGAAGGTTATTTCTGGAAGCAAAAATCCAGGGTTTATGCTCCTGGGACAGGGGATCCCTGGAGCCTCTCATCCTCCCCATAGCCTTTGCATTGGGCAGTGAAGGCGTTTTCCTGTTGAGTCTGAGGAAGGGAGAAGTGGTGTCACTTGGGGTGTCAGCTTTCATCTCACTTAGTCCTCACGGGGGCCTGCAAAGTAAGGGTCACCATCGGCCCAATTTACAGATGAGGACACTGAGGTTCAGAGAAGTTACATGATTTGCCCAAAGTGACACAGCTACTAAGTGGCTGAATGGGATTGAATCCAGGTCTTTCTGAGACAGCCCAAGCTGTTGATGGAGCCCTCTGGCTCACGGATGAGCAGGTAAAGTGAAACAAACACTTTAGAAAGCTTACCTGAGGGTGAGGGGGCAGGCAATTGAGCCTTCTGTGGGGTCCGAAATGTTTACAGTTGTCTCTCTGCGTACGTCGGGAATCAGTTTCACCACCTCCCACAAATACCAAAATCCACAGATGCTCCAGTCTTGATATAAAATGGTACAGTATTTGCATATAACCTAAGCACATCTTCCCATATGCTTTAAATCATCTCTAGATTACTTACCTATGCAATCATGTGTCAGATAGCAACATTTCAGTCCGTGCCAGAATGCATATAGAATGGTGGTCCCATAAGGTTATAATGGAGCTGCCCTATACAGGTGTACCATCTCTAAAAATTGATATCTAAAAAGAGATGGGGTCTTTTTATGTTGCCCAGACTAGTCTAGAACTTCTGGGCTCAAGTGATCCTCCCGGCATGGTCTCTCAAAGTGCTGGGATTATAGGCATGAACCACTACATCTGGCCAGGTGTACCAATTTTTTTTTTTTTTTATCATTTATACTGTATTTTTATCATTCTTTTCTGTGTTTAGATACACAAATAGCCATCATTGTGTTACCACTACCTATGGTACTCAGTATGGTAACATGCTGCAGAGGTTTGGAGCCCAGGAGCAATCAGCTCTACCATTCAGCCAAGGTGTGTGTTTGGTTGCAACCTCTGAAGGAAGCTAAGGAGGAATGACCTAAAGACAGAAGGTGAGTCCGAGGTGGGATCCTGGGACAGGTACCAGAAGTTAAGCAAAAACAGGTGAAATCTGAATGAATTTCACCATATTAATATAGTGACAGCATTAATAACCTTAAATAATAGTTAACATTATTATTCAGTTAACAGGATTGCACCCATGTTAAATTCCTTAATTTTTTTTTTAAGAGAGAAAGTCTCATTCTGTCGCCCAGGCTGGAATGCAGTGGTGCGATCATAGCTCACTGCTTCCTGGATCTCTTGGGCTCAAGCGATCCTCCTGCTTCAGCCTCCTGATTAGGTGGGACTATAGGCACACGCCACCATGCCTGGCTCCTTATTTTTTTTTTTTTTTTTTTTTAACTTTTCTCCAGGGATAGGGTCTACCTATGTTGCCCAGGCTGGTCTCAAACTCCAGGACTCAAATGAACCTTAACCTCCTGCCTTGGCCTCTCAAACTGCTGGGATTACAGGTGTGAGCCACCACACCTGGCCTAAATTTCTTAATTTGGACAAATGTGCCATGGTAATGCAAAATGTCATTATTAGGGGCAGCTGGACGGAAGGTGTCGGAGTACACTATAATGCCTTTTCAGTTTTTCTATATATCTAAAATCATTTCAAAAGTAAACATTTATTTTAAAACATGGACGTGGTTATCCTTCCATGAGTGTAAAGTACAAAAGGCAGGCTCATGGTGTTGTCAGAAGTCAGAACACTGGTTGCAGGGCTGGGGGCGCAGAGGCTGGGTTGGCTTTGTGATCTGGGGGCTGATGTGTTCCATCTGTTAATGTCTTTAGAGCTGTGCACTTTCTTCATAAATTTTCATAAGTTTAACAAAAAAGTAAAACGAGGATGGGAAGCTTGTTTGGGTTGTGGGGCCTCGGGAGTGTACTGCTGCTTGTCCCTAGCTGTGAATGGGGTGCCCTGGTCGGAAGCAGTGCTGTGTGCACTGCAGGGCCGGCAAGTGCATGTCCACGTTGTGGCTCAGTGCAGTGAAAGCCAATCTCAGCCCCTTCCGCAGTGTGGTCAGCCTGCCAGTAGGTGGCCAGCTGGTCCTTCTGGGAAATGGTGCCATCCCAGGGGTTGGGTGTGAATCTGTTTTCCACAGACAAGGCGCTCAGCAGTGGTGTCAGCCTGGTGAGCCTTGGTAAGGGCATGTGCAGGATGCTGAGCCTCTCCCGTCCCCATGCCCGTCTCATGGCCACTTGCTCTGCGGGCCCATCCAGCAAGCATGGTGGCTGGGAAAGAAGCCGGCTCCATCCACAGGGCATGCTGTTTTGCCCACCTCAGGACCAAGAGTATTCTCTGTAGTAATTCTCTTTGGTGGGAGCACTGGGAACATGAACAACAGATACCTTCAGAGTCTGAGCTGCTGAGGTGAGGGCTGCAGGGTGCCCTGCTGTCAGGAGAGCCTGCACTGGCAGCTGGAAGGCACGTGGTGGTGGCACCTGCTGTGGCTGCAGCAGTGGCTGCAAGGCTTCGAGATCTCTCCCCGGTTCTGTAAGGTGAATTGTGACAATGCAGAGCTCTGCAGTGCCAGGGTCCCCTGCATGGTCATGCTGACTGCAGCTGGGAGCCCACCACAGCCCTGGTACCCCTCTCTTCCCAGGGCTGGGGTCTAGGCCAGGCCACTCTTGGCCTGGGTATTGTGCCCCAGGTCCATACTGCTGGCTGTCTGGGGCTGCAGGGATGCCGTGCTCACGTCTCTCTCTTGTGGCCTTGATGGGACCAGCTTCCCCATTGAATGGGATCTTCCAAGGTATCTGGGGCTGCGGGGAAGCTGGTGGGTGCCACCCTGGTTCCTTCCAGATACAGGTGCCCATGTTGCAGTGGGGGTATCTCCTGATCTCCTTCTTAGTCCTGATGGGCCTGGGCAGGGCCTGGTGTCGAGGTCCCCATGGGCTTCCTGGGCTAGGTCTGTCCCATGGTCCCAGGGCTGTCCAGGACACATTTGGAGGGGACACGGGCCCAACAGCCCTGTTCGAAATCATAATGGGGAAACCAAGGGCTCACCACGTCCGAGTCCATTGGGAGCTGAGGCAGGGAGTTCCACTGCAGGTACCTCCAGGAAACCCGAGGTCCTCCCTGAGCTGGGGCCAGTCTGGGCACACCCTGGGATAGCCCCACCAAGACAGGACAGGGTGTGAAAGGAAGAGGCACCCATGGCGGGGAAGCTGACCAAATGCACTGCTGGAAGTGGGCTTGTGGGCCTGGAGGAGCCTGCCTACTCCCCTTGCAGAGGGTCTTCCTGCCACACGGTGAAGCCAGCTCAGGCCTGGGTGCTGAGGACCCTTGCTTAGGTTTGGCTGAAAGGAAAACAGATATGGTCAGCATCTCCAGTGAGCCCATGCAGATCTTTCCGGGTCAGGCCCCACCTGCCTGGGTCTCTAGAGTCCTCAGGGTCTCTGTGTGGCCCCCGTGGCCTGACAGGACACGCCTGTAGGCTGCTGATCCCAGAGGGAGGGAGTGTGTGCCGCCTGGGGTGGGAAAGCTGTATGGGCATGGGAGGTGGCTCCTGGGACTGCCTTCTGGGACTGCCTCCCAGGGTTCAGGCTGGCTGGGGGCTTCCTGCCTTACCACCCTCATCCCAGGGCTGTTGGGCCTGGGATACAGTCCCTAGTCAGAACTCAGGTGGGAGGGGCCTTGGTTGTCACCCAGCCCCCTTGTCACCTCACATGGGGACCTATCTCCACAGTGGGTGAGAGGACCCGGACACAGGGCCCTTTCTGCCCTCCTGGGCTGCCCAGTCCATGCCGGGACTGACTGTTCCCACAGCTGGCTGAACTCTTGGCTCTGGCTCTGGGCCAGGGGTCCCACCCGTGCCCTCTCCCTGAATGCTCTGGGAGTCAGGGACACCAATTCCCTTGTCTCCCTGGCTCGAGACTTGTTTTTCTGGCACCCTTGGAAGGGTGTGCAGGAGTGAGGGTCCTCTGCTGCTCTCTGAGTCTGTCAGTGCTTGCAGGGAGGGGCGGGGGCTCCCCCAAATAGGCCTGGCTCTTCCAATGCCCTTGAGGGCCATTTGAGGGGGAGGGCAGGACAATGGAAAGTGGGAGGGGGTTTGTTGGAGGGTCTTGCCCACATCCCCCTCCTGTGTGCACAGCACTGAGTACCAGTACACACGCACTGAGCGCCTGCCCTGAGGACCGGTGGGCCTCCTGCACTTACTTAGCATCCAGGAGGAAGAGGAGGAAGAAAAGATGTAAGAGGAAGGCCCAGGTTTGGGGTCACAGGCACTCCCCCACTATTGACTGCCCCAGAAGGTGACTTGGTGGGGGGACTGGGTATTGGAGCCTTCCTGGGGGTGGCAGGTCCCCATGCTTCCTGGTAGTTTCCTTACAGAGCACAGAGGCCTGAAGGTGCCTAAGAACTGCATCACTGTCCAGGGCCCAGGTTTGGGGGAACTGGTCCTGAAAACGCGCCCACAGGCCAGACCTGGAAGCCTTCATGAGGTGCTCTAGGGACAGGGTGAGGATCAGGCCAGGAAAGTTCCCTGGGAGGCGTCAGAGCCGACACCCCATTGCCACCTCTGTCGTCTCCCACTGGGTGGTGCCGGATCATTTTGTGGCCACAACAGGGGTGCAGATGTGCACAGGAGGCTGTGGTTTGGGGGAGGCCTGGGCAGGGAAGTGCTTGCCACACTCCCGACTTTCATCTGGGTCACGTGCGGGATGGGCTCGGCATCACTGTGCCCTGCCCTGCTCACCAGGCCAGACCTTCTTCTGGGCTGGAGCAGAGAAACATGGGGACAGTGTGAGGAAGCTGCCCTTGGGCCAGTCGGGGTCTGACCCCAGAGCTTCCCAGGCCCCACTGGGCACACGTGGACTTACTCCTCTGAACCTTGAAGGCAGTGCGTGCCATTGGCATCAACACCTGTTCCTTTCTACCAAATACACCCTCCACAGGCTTAGGGTGAGCCCGAGAGAGATCTGTGGGGACACAGGTGTGGGAGGCCCTGGCTCGTCCAGGCTGGAGGCTGGTGGCTGGATCTGGGCCCACTGGGGCTTCAGTCCCCCAGAGTCAGTGACCCTCCCCATGAGGGTCATCTGACCCCTCCAGGAGGCTGGGTCTGGCTTCCCTGAGCCCTCCCAAGTTAGGTCCTGGGTCAGTCTATCCATGAGGCTGGGCCTGAGCCCTGGCCTCTGCTGGGGGATGACCCCTCTTGGGCAGAGGGCCTTGCTTGTGTGTCCTACAGGGACCTGCCTGAGCCTCCTGTGGGCTGGGGGTGAGCCAGACCCCTGGGCTGGGGAAGTAGAGCACTGCAGGGCAAGGAGGGTCCCTGAGCCACGGTCTCCCTGTGCCTCCTTATCCCATTGATCACCCTCTGTAGAAGCCAAGCTAATGAGGAACCTTGAGCACATAGCCCTTCCGTGTCCCGACAGGAGGAACAGAGGTGCTCAGGGCCCCCTAGCCTGCCCTAAAAACCTCCTTCTTCTAGGGCCCTCTGAAGACCCTTCCCCAAGTGCAGAGTACTGGGTGGTGTCCAGGGCTCCCCACAACACCTTCCCCCTTCCTGCATTCCCAGTGGACACACTGCCCTCAGCCCTGCTCTGCAGGAGCTGGGCCCCTGTCCCTGTGCCTCTGTCTCCTCCAGGGCAGGAAAGGAAACCCAACTCCCAGTACATGGAGAACCCCACGTCCCAGGTCAGGCCCTGGCTGGGACTCAGCCTCTCACCAGCCCCACGAGGGGCTCCAGCACCCCCGACTCCTCTGGCCCCATGGGATGCTGGGCCTCTAGGGAAGAGTCGAGGGGACCATAAACTCACCAAGTGCCTCATGGTCTTGGGGTGTGACGTGGGTACCACATGCTCCTGGTGGTCTTGGAGCCCCTGGACCCCTGTGCCATTTGGGCTGTGGAATCCTGAGAAGCCTCCAGCCCATCATGAAATCAGAGCCTGTTCCCAAGATGTGGAACTGTCGGCTGGAATTGCTGGGCAGCTGCAAAGGCCCATGAACACCGGGCCTCCCACCCTCCCACCTGGTGACCCCACCATGCGGCCTTGGCCCTGGGGAAGAGGGATGGGAACATCCTCTGGAGCCTGGCCGGAGGTGCTCCTGGAGGCCTCCTGGGCCCGGGTGCTAGGAAGGCAAGGCTGACTTTGAGGCCATGACAGAGGGCGGGAAGAACTGGGTGGGTGCTGGGTTTCGTGGTCGTCTCCTGGAAGTGGGGTCGGGCCAGGGTACATGGGAAGGGGAGATGCTGCCATCTGGGCTTCATCGACCCATCTGTGGGCACCAAGGGCAGCTGGAGCCTGGCCAGCAGGAGGGCAGGAGGACTCTCACGGAGGGGACAGTCAGTTGCACAGAATCAGAGCCAGAGGGTGTGGCTCCAGGCCACAGAGGGCAGCCACGGGGGGATAAGATGTCCTCTGTTGATGGAGATAAAAGGCGTCTCATTTGGGGCCTGGGGGTACCTGTGTAGCCCTGGGGGTATCCGTTCAGTCCTGGGCTTCTGTGGGGCCCTCAGCAGAGACATTCTAAAGGCTCCAGATAAGTTGGCGACACAGGAAGGTGCCTTCACTAAAAGTGGAGGTCACCTGGCCAGGGTGGCTGAGAAAAATCAGCCCGAGACGGGACAGGTGCCACCCAGGGTGGGTAGCCGGGCCCTGACAGGAGTCCCTCAGGGAGTGACCACATCACCCTGCTGAGGTTTAGGGATCCTGGCCTGAGACTTGCCTGGTGTACCCAGGGTGCATCCAGGGCCCATCCCACCCGACATTCCCAAGCCCTCACAGGGTCTGACCTCCCGGCATCCACCTGCCTCTCCCTGCACTCCAGCCACCCACCCTGCTTGTTCCCCAATTTCTGCCATCCTGTCAACCCAGAGATGGTGAATGTTTCCCCAGCCACCCTGGCCCTTCTTTGATCCTTGTCCTGTCAGAACCCCCGAGTGATACTCCCCAGATCTGTTCACATGCCTGCCTTGTCTGCTCTCTCATTGGGCTGCCGATGGCTGCTGGGGAGATGCCAAGGGTGACATGGGTGACCGAGGACCCCACAGATGGCCAGGATGGCTTCCCTGCCCCACCTCCAGCCTCACCTGGCTCTTGGAGCCCTTGGCTGTCAGCCCTCAGCCTCCTCCCAGACACTGCAGCAGCTGGGATTGGGGCGCCTGACTGTCCTCTCCCACTGTCCCGCCTGCCTTAAGTCAGTCTCCCCCATCACTTTCTGCACACCGTGCTGTCCAAGCCAACTGGAAGCAGAGTCTCTGGAAAGCCACGCAGAGCCTTGGGGACTGACCGGCTCCCTCTGCTGGGACTCTGCTGACGAGTCCCAGGTGAGTTGGTGTTTTTGGCTCCACCCCTTCTGTCATCCTCACCAGACCATCGGCTCCTTTGGGGTGCATTTCAGAAGTGGCACAGCCCATAAGCTCACTCCCACCCCACCTTCCCTGGGATCCTCTGTTTCTCTATCCTATGACCCCCGAGGGATCAGCTCCAGGCTGGGCTCCTACCTGGCCCCAGATTCCTTCCCAGCACCAGATCCAGGGCCTTTAGCCACAAGCTCTGCTGCTTCCCTGGTCTCACCGTGAGACGCCCAGAACATGGCCCTACCCATCTTCTCCCCCATTCCCCCAGGGCCACAGCCCTCATTCTCCCCATGCCCTTCCCCATGGGGAATGGGGAAGAAGACAGGCAGGTGGGCCCTCAGAGATCTGCCGGACAACTGCCCCCAGGCTGGGCCAAGCATCCCCTCACCCTGTGGCCACAACCCTTGGATCTCAGAAAGTGGACAGGGCCAGACCCTCAGGCTGCCCCCCTCCTCTTGTGCTAACTTGGAGACAGAACTGCTGAGAGCCCAGGGGCCTGACCTAGCCCTCTCTCCATTCCCACCCGCTCCCTAGATGAACCACGCTCCCTAGATGGGCCACGCACCTCTGGCCTAACAACGACCATGGGCTGGACCTGCAGGGGTGCCAGGGAGGAGTTCTGGCCCTGAAAAGGAGGTTGGCTGGAGCCAGGTAGACACATCTTGCCTCAGAAAGGCCTTTCTAAGGGCAAAACCCATCCCTGAGCTGAGATTGGTGCTTTAAGGGATGAGGACTCACTGCAGAATCCCAAGGCGATCAGTGCCTTTGTAGATGTCAGCATAGTGAGGCCCCATGTCCGCTGGCAGCCCAGCTGGGCATCCCTGCAACTCAGAGGGAGCCAGGGTGAGGGGTCCAAGATAAAGGGTGCATGTGTTGCTTCTCTGGCCAGATCCGGCTGCCCTACTCATGTGTGCAGCCAGTTCCTCATCACTCTCACTCCTGGGTCCCAGGGCCAGCATCAGAGCCTCTGTGGGTGCTCCCTAACTTCAGCCCTCCCCACCCAGCATGGTGGAGTGGAGAGGCAAAAAGTTGAGGGTTGAAGGCAGAGGACAGAGGGCAGTGAATGGTTAACGCCTGAGCCACAGCTGAGCCTTCCTCTACCCAGGACCCTCTGCTGGCTCTCCATCTCCTCTGAGTGACAGCTAGAGCCTTGCAACGGCCTCAGGTCATTGAACCTGGGCCTTCTTCTTCCCCTGAGCTGTCTGCCGCTCTCCCCTGCTCACACCAGACCAGACCAGATGCAGACTTCCCCTCTGGGCCTCAAGCATGCCAATCACGCTCCTGCCTCAGGGCCTTTGCAATTTTCTGTGGTTCTCTCAGAAAGCCAGACATAGAGGAGGGAAGATGGGCTTCAGAAACAGACAGATCTGGGTTCAAATCCAAGCTCTGCATTGTCTGGGTAAAGTAATTGATCACCATGAGCTCCAGTTTCTTCATGCACAAAATAAGGATATTAATACTTGTGTTGAGCTATCTTGAGCATTAACCAAGAAAACACGTATAAAGTGCTCACAGCAGGGCCTGGCATGAGGGAGGGACTGATAATGTGTCTCCTTTGCTAAGAGATCGTTAATTGGATGCATGGTTTAAATTAGTTCCATGTAAATATAATAAGCTTCTCTCATCAAACCAAATTTTTGTTGAGTTGCTTCTGGTGAATCTAGTGTCAGAGCCTGTCTTGTGAGTGCTTCTAAAGGAAACACTAGAAGCTGCTTGTGTAATATCATGAGATGAACACTAGAGGCTGCCAGAACAGACGACATGATTGCGTTTTTGATCTCTACATTCTGTTCTTTCTTGTACAGAAACTATTTTTTTTATTTATTAGAGACAGGGTCTCGCTCCATTGCCCAGGCTGGAGTGTAGTGGCTTGATCATGGCTCCTTGAGCTCAGTCACTGCAGCCTTGAGCTCTTAGGCTCAAGCCATCCTCCTGCCTCAGCCTTCTGAGTAGCTGGGACTACAGGCATGCACCACCACACCCAGCAAATTTTTTATTTTTTAATTTTTTGTAGAGGCAGGATCTTGTCAGCAAACTTCATTTAATAGGCAGTCAAGTTCCCCAATTAGGAAAACTAGGATTTTTTTTTTTTTTTGTAAAGCAGTATCTGCCACACACCAAAGTAAATTCCTGATGGATAGCAGCATTAAGTATAAAAAATACAACCATAAAATAGATGAAAATAAAGCAAATAGTTGTCTGATTTGGGGATGGAGGAGAACTTTTGAAACAAAACACTAGGAAAAAAAGATTTCCCTACATAGAAAGAAATTTCTGTGCGTAAAAATATAGACACAACTAAAAGAAAGTGATACACCCTGGGACAAATTTTGCAACATGTGTGAGTGACACAACGAAAAGTTAATATACCTGGCATAATAAAATAAGTTCATATAAGTAAGGTGGGAAAGATGGGTAGCTAATTAGAATGAGCAGATAATTTCTAAAAAGGAAATAACAGTGGCCTATAAAAATATGCAATGATAATTACTAAGTACAAATAAATACTATAATGAGACTTCATAATTGGCCTACCCAATTGACAAAGAGATTTTAAAAATAACAACTAATATTGGCGAAGGCACTGTGAAGTGAACACAAATGAGGACAATTTTTCTGGAGAGTAATTAAAAAAATAATTTCAACTTTTCTTTTGGATTCAGGGGGTATACGTGTAGGTTTGCTACCTGGGTATATATGCTGAGGTTTGTGGTACAATTGATCTCATCATCCAGATAGTGAGCATAGTAACCAATAGTTAGTTTTTCTACCCTTGCTCCTCTCCTTCCCTTTCCCCTCTCATAGTCTCCAGTGTCTATTGTTGCCATATTTACGTCCATGTGAATTCACTGTTTAGCTCCCACTTGTAAGTGAGAACACATGGTATTTAGCTTTCTGTTCTTGTATTAATTCACTTAGGATAATGGCCTCCAGCTGCATCCATGTTGCTGCAAATGACATGATTTTTTTTTTTATGGCCAGGTAGTATTCCATGGTGTATGTGTGCCACATTTTCCTTACATAGTCCACTGCTGATGGGCATTTAGGCTGATTCTATGTCTTTGCTATTGTGAATAGTGCTGCAATGAACATATAAGTGGATGTGTGTTTTTTTGGTAGAACGATTTATTTTCTTTTGGATGTATACCCAGTGATATAATTTGGATCTGTGTTCCTGCCCAAATCTCATGTTCAGTTGTTAATTCCCAGCGTTGCAGGTGGGTCCTGGTGGGAGGTGATTGGATCACAGGGGTGATTTCTGATGAATGGTTTAGCACTAGCCCCCTTGGTTGTGATAGTGAGTGAGTTCTTGTGAGATCTGGTCATTTAAAAGTGTGTAGCATCTCCCCACTCTCTCTCTTCCTCCTGCCCTGGCCATGTGAAGTGCCAGCTACCCTTTGCCTGCTGCCATGATTGTAAGTTTTCTGAGGCCTCCCCAGAACCTGAGAAGATGCCTGCATCATGCTTCCTGTATAGCTTATGAAACTGTGAGCCAATTAATCCTCTTTTCTTTCTAAATTACCCAGTCTCAGGCATTTCTTCATAGTAGTGCAAGAACAGACTAATACACCCAGTAATGGGATTGCTGGGTTGAATGGTAGTTCTATTTGAAGTTCTTTGAGAAATCTCTAAACTGCGTTCCACAGTGGCTGAACTAATTTACATTCCCACCAACAGTGTATAAGCGGTCCCTTTTCTCTACACCCTCACCAACATCTGTTGTTTTTTGACTTTTTAATAATTGCCATTCTGACTGGTGTGAGATGGTATCTTACTGTGGTTTTGATTTGCATTTCTCTGATGATTAATGATGTGGAGCATTTTTTCACATGTTTGTTGACCACTCGCATGTCTTCTTTTGAGAAGTGTCTGTTCATGTCTTTTGCCCACTTTTTAACAGGGTCATTTGTTTTTTCCTTGTTGAATTGTTTAAGTTTTTCATAGATTCTGGATATTAGATCTTTTTTGGATGCATAGTTTGTGGATATTTTCTTCCATTCTATAGGTTATCTGTTTACTCTGTTGATAGTTTCTTTTACTGTGCTGAAGCTCTTTCATTTAAATAGATCCCACTTGTCAATTTTTGTTTTTGTTGCATTTGTTTTTGAGAACTTAGTAATGCATTTTTTCCCAAGACTAGTGTTCAGAATGATGTTTCCTAGTTTTTCTTCTAGGATTCTTATAGTTTGAGGCCTTACATTTAAATCTTTAATCCATCTTGAGTTAATTTTTCTATATGGTGAAATACAGAGGTTGTTTAATTCTTCTGCATATGGCTAGCCAGTTATCCCAGCACCATTTATTGAATCGGGAGTCCTTTCCCCAATGCTTATTTTTGTTAACTTTGTCAAAGATCAGGTGGCTGTAGGTGAGCAGCTTTATTTCCGGATTCTCTATTCTGTTCCATTGTATATGTCTGTTTTTGTACCAGTACCATGCTGTTTTGGTTACTGTAGCTTTACACTATAGTTTGAAATTGGGTAACGTGATACCTTCCACTTTGTTCTTTCTGCTTAGGATTGCATTGGCTCTTTGGGATCTTTTCTGGTTCCATATGAAATTTAGAATAGTTTTTTCAAATTCTGTTAAAAATGATGTTGGTAGTTTGATAGTGTTGATTCTGGAGCCATGTTGCAACAGATACTGTATACTTACATCATTTTATATATATCTTGATATATCCCTGTCGTAAACTCTTAGAATATAAATTATTGGATCAATTAGTTTTTGCATTGGTAATTTTGATGGATATTGCCATAAAGGTTGTACCAATTTACACTCCCATCAGCAATGTGTGAGACTATCTGTCTCTTCACTCCTTATTACATAATGTGTTATCAAAATATATGACCTTGCAAATCTGGTAACAGATAGGATTTTGGAATTGTTTTAATCTGCTTTTCTGTTATTGTGAATGCAACTAAGCAATATTTCATATGCTCAAATGCTATTCATATTCCCTCTTCCATGAATTATCTTTTCATCTCCATTGTCAATTTTTCTACTCGGTTGCTGGTCTTTCTCTTTGATTGATGGAAATCCTTTGTTAAATAGAAAATGAAAGCAAGCTTTGTCTATGAGTTACTTGTATTGTTCCCAGGTTTTCATTTGCCTTTGACACTGTATTCAAATAATAATAATAATAAAATGTTTACATTATAAATTTCATACCTACACACTGCAAATTTCTAAAAAATACAAAAAAGAGAAGAAAATAAAAATCATTTATCATGCCACAATAAATACATTTACTGCTAATACTTTAGTTTTCCTTTTAGTGTTTTTTCAAATATCTGCATGTAAATATTTATATTAATGTAGATAAGTATCCATAAAGATATATACATATATAAATATATAATAACATATATTAGTTACAAATTTCAAAATTCATGTTCTAAGATATGTTAAAAATATATAACTTTATTTTCCTCTGAGACTGTTTAAACTTATTTCAAACCCTCATTCCACCTTATGGGGGAAAAAAATAAAAGTCAGTTCTATGTAAACACAGAAATCATTCAGGATTTCTCCCTCCCAACCTTCATCTGGAGGAGGTGTCTGAGCTTTGAGGGGTGTTATGTTTGAATCAAATGGAAATTTCATAGCCTTCAAGAGGCTGGCAACAGGTTCATGGTGGGAATTTGCTGAAATATACATGGTTCTCTCTTACTCTTGGCCCTATCATCCCTCTCATGGCATCAACCAAGATATTAGAGTTCTTTTAGTCCACAAAAGAACTACATCCTCTACGTCTACATCCTCTCATTACCCCATCCAGGCGGCTAGATGGACCTGGTCATCTGACCACCCACTCTCCTGCATTGCAAAAGTCTACTTTGAATTGTATAAGCTAAGCATTGACCTAAGTCATTCTCTCTGCATTTCTACAGTAATAACCCTACCCTGGGGGCAGTAAATATAAAAAGTCCCTACTGCTGCCCAATTTGTGTGGAAAGACCAACAGTGAAATAAATTGCAGAAGAAAAATAACACCACCATGAGGACTTCAAGTCCTCATCATGACATGTACATTTACACAATTGAAATCATAGTGTATAATTTGAGTTGCACACTGAATGTTGTACTTAATCTGAGTAAATGCTCATGAGTATATGAATTGTTAAATATAAAAGTATGATAATTTATATTTTCAAGTTGTTCAAACAACCAAGTGTTCAATATGTATACATTTATATTTACTCATTTAATCAAAACAGCTCTACGACACTGCTACTATTATTATCCTAATTTCTGTTTTATAGATGAAGAAATTCAGGTACACAGGGGTTAAGTAATTATGGGAGCAGCGAGGGGGTGGGTGAGAGGCAGGAGAACTGAATGGTGAGACATTGGAAGATGAGGAAGACTTTCTACTCTTTTGTACCTTTTATCCTGGGAATGCTTGACCTCTTATTAAAATAAATAAATATGTAAAAGGATGTGTCGGCCGGGTGCAGTGGCTCACGCCTGTAATCCCAGCACTTCGGGAGGCCGAGGCGGGCAGATCACTTGAGGTCAGGAGATCCAGACCAGCCTGTGCGACATGGCGAAACCCTGTCTCTACTAAAAATACAGCAATTAGCTGGGCTTGTTGGTGCGTGCCTGTAATCCCAGGTACTTGGGAGGCTAAGTCAGGAGCATCGTTTGAGCCCAGGAGGCGGAAGTTGCCATGAGCCAAGATCAAGCTACTGCGCTCCAGCCTGGGCAGCAGAGTGAGACTCCATCTCAAAAAAACAAACAAACAAACAAAAAAGGACACGTCTGCCATAGACATTGCTGTATTATACTCACTCAGAGGTGCCCATCTGTGGATGTGGTATGGTGGAAGAAACAGTGGACCAGGAGGGAGAACATCTGGGCCATGGGTCCAATCTACCACGGATGTGTCATCTCTGGGCCTTGGTATCATCTTCTGTAAAACACAAGTGCTTGGCAGTGATGGTCATGATAGGATTAGATTATATCAGTGTTTCCTAATGTAACCCAAGTTACCTGAGAAAGTTTAAAATATATAGCTTCTCAAGCTCTCATAAGCACACATTCTGATTTATCATAAGGACTGGAATACAGTTTGGGAATCTGTATTTTTCAAAAGGCCCCCTTTTAGGCAATTCTGATATAAAACCCTGGACCAGATGATGTTTCAGGGGTTCCTCCCAGCTCTAAAATTCCATATCCTGTGAAGTATTGAGTATCATATCAGATCCAAGTAACTCATTCATCATTTACCCTCCCGACTCCCACCCTGTCCTTAGTTCTTCTAGCCCTTCTTAGAGGCTGTCTTACTTCTAGCCCATCTTACAAAGAAAGGGAAATGAAAAGGGAAGGACTAGATCCCTTGATCCAGATCCTTACTCCCATCCCTCCTTCCATTCCCACCCCACCCCTATCTTCTGTCCTCTACCCCTACTAGATGTTGTATTCCAGCTCCAGGGCTGCCATGGGCACTCCAAGAGGAGAACAAGGTACCAAAGTCCAAGAAAGAGACAGAAATTTTGACCCATCTCAAAATTTACACATGGACCTGAACCATCTGTAGATTTTAGACTCCTTGCAAAGGCATTTTATTCCTTGGGATGACACTCTGGGTATTTTGTATTCTAATTTCTCCTTCTGCCAGATGGTCTATAAGGTTCGAACTCTTAAAAAAAGTGCGTTACATTCCCATTTTAATGTAGCATTTTGGATATTTACTGATCTCCTTCCTGCTTTCTTCTTTCTTTTCTTCTTTCCTTTCTTCCTCCCCTTCTCCTCTTCTTCCTCCTCCTGCATCTCTTCCTTCCCCGGTCAAGGAAAGGCCTGGGGCTGGAGTGGGGGTGGGTAGAGGGTTCTGATCTCAGTTCTTCCCACCTATTTAGAGAGAAGTGCGAATATTCAGCTCACCTTGCCGCCGAGACAGACCATGCCTTACCAGCTTCTTGCAGCTTTACGATGAGTCTCTCTCGGTTTCACAGGGCAGTTATTACTCATGACTGATGCTCACCGGCCAAGCCTAAACGTGTGGCACACTCCCCATACCACACACAGACACAAACATTTGCCTGGCTCACATGAACCGGGATGAGGATGCCATTTCCACCTGGGAGGAGCCACGTGACCAGGCGTTCTCAGTAGCCTCCACTGGTGTCAGGGGGAACAGAGCATTCGGCTGTTGCCGGTCTGCCTTTCCAGGACTAGCATCCATGGAAGATGGGGTCCATCGCCAACCTGCGAAGATGTGGAAGGCAAGCCCCTCATTCCAGAGCCAGAAGCTGTGGCCGGCTTCCCCTTCCCATCTCCAACCTGGGCTAATGACAGCTGGCAGATGCTTGGCCATGATGACAGGTCTTTTCGAAGATGTATTTTTACCCTCTGGATAAACAGCAGTTGGCAGGAGTGGGGCGTTTTTATGAGTTGAGGTACTCAGGACTGGAAAATAAACAGCCAGTTAATGAGCCGGTCTTATGGAAACTTGCATAAATAATAACAAAGAAAACATCCCGTCCCTCATGCCTGGGTGAGGGGATATAAAAGCTGCCATCCAGATGGCTGGCCACCGTCAGTCGTGGGGAACTCCGGCTGCGTTACCGACCTGCGAGCTGACGGGCCCGGACCATGGGGTGCTGCCCGGGGGACTGCTTCACCTGCTGCACCCAGGAGCAAAACTGCTGTGAAGAGTGCTGCTGTCAGCCGGGCTGCTGTGGCTGCTGCGGCTCCTGCTGTGGCTGTGGGGGCTCTGGCTGCGGGGGCTCTGGCTGCGGGGGCAGCTGCTGCGGATCGTCTTGCTGTGGATCTGGCTGCGGAGGCTGTGGAGGCTGCGGAGGCTGCGGGGGTGGCTGCTGTGGATCCAGTTGCTGTGGGTCCAGTTGCTGCGGCTCCGGGTGCTGTGGGCCTGTGTGCTGCCAGCCCACACCTATATGCGACACAAAATGAAGACCTTTCCCTCCACCACTGATGCAGTCCCACCGAAAGCCTCCATCTGCTCCAGGGGGACAGCCCCTCGTGTCCAGAACCTTCCATACCCCCAAGACAGTGTCTTGTCTTTCTGTGATTTGTAGAGGAGGGCTTGTTCTCCAACACCTTCTCTGGTATTTCAAGGCACCGAGAACAAGAGCCATACTCTGATGAAACATTAAAACTCGGTCACAACTAAGTGATCCCAAGCTCAAGGGTGAATCCCCAATACTTTACTTATTCACATGAAGTTCAATGTCTTGTACTATAAGACATCCTCTTCTTCAAGGTGTCTTTGGGACTGATCCTCCGCCCTGGCTTTCTGCAGCTTTGAGATGCAAAAAAGGTCCATCTTCTTTGTGAGCCTCTTAATAAATTTGAGCATGCTGGCATAACCTAATTAGTTCTCTTGCCTCTTCCTTGACCTCCCTGCTGAGGACTGGGTTAGAAAAATTCACTCTGGCATCTGCCTTAGGGTTTTTGAATTGTGGTTTTTGGATCACCTGCGTCGGAATCACCTGGGAGCTTGTTAAAACTGGAGACTCTGAGGCCCTCCCTAAGACATACAGAATCAGAATCCACCAAAGTGTGGCCTGGGAATCTGTGTTTTTAACAAGAACCTTAGATAATTCTTATGCACTGAAGTTTGAGAACCATAGATCTAGACGGAAGCTTCCGTGTGCTGCATGAGATTCACTTGAAAAGCTTTTAAAAATATAGATCATTGGGTTTTATCACTGGAGATTTTACCCGTTAGCTCTAGGGCCTAGAGTCCCTAGGGACCTGCATTTTTAAAAGCTCCTGGGTGAATGCTGATGCTGGCCACATTTAATGGTGATTGAGGGGCATGGCTTTCTTCTGCACTACAGCTCTCCTAGGATGGTTCTGCAGGAGGGCTTCAGGCTTGATCAGAACTTTCTGGCAAAGTCGGAAAGGAGGCTTTGGTAAAACAAGATTGGTTCTGAATGGAAAGGATTTCTAATGGCAAAGCTAGTGAATTCACAGTTTCTGAGGATGTTCTGCGCAGTACAGTTCCTTCTTCCAGCCTCATGCTTGGTCCAGTCTCACTTTTCTGTGCTAGGTTGTCTTACCTGGAACCAGCTACGTTTCTTCTGCCTGAGTTCTAAGGAGGAGGGAGTGAGTATACCTCTGCTAGGTAGGGCCCAGCCAAGGTGTGTGGGTCCACCTGGGAGGTTAAAACTCAAAAGACAGTTGATCAACCTTTTGTTGAAAGTGACCTTAAGCTGTGTGTGTAATAAAACTAATTTTGCTCTTGCCCTGGAAAAATAGTATTTATTTTTATGCCTACAAAGCGATGTTTCATTTGACAAAGAAAAATTTTTTTCTGATTATAAGCATAGCAATGAACTCTAAAAAATGAAAAAATACAGAAACATATAAAGAATATAGCATTCGAAGGCTCACCACTCAGAGTCTATTACTGATAAGCTTTCCAGACTGTTTTCTAAGCATAGTTATGAATAAAACTGGGATTATGTTGCTTTTACCTTTTTCTTTAAAAAATTTTTTTGTTTCATTTTTTATGGTCAACTTTATTGAAATATAATTTACATATAATAAAAAGTTCCCATTTTTAGTGAACAGTATGATGTGATCTGACATTCGTGTATACTTATGTAACCACCACTGCACTCAAGATCTTTATGGAACTTTCCATCACCCCCAAAATTCCCAGTTTGTCTTTGCAGTCAGTTCTTCCCCCACCCCCAGACCCTGGCAACCATCAACCTGTTCTTTATGTTACTACAGATTTCACCATGTCTAGAATTTCATATAAAAGAAATCATGCAGTATGCACTATTTTTCATTTTGCCTATCATGTTTTGTATCTGTTCATTGTTGCAGGTATCAATAATTCATTTTTTTTTCTACTGAATGGCATCCCATTATACAGATAAACTACATTAAAAATATATTCACCTACTTATGGGCATTTGGATTCTTTTGTGTTTCTGGCTATTATGAATGAAGCTGCTATGAGCATTCTCGTACAATTTTTTTTTTTTGGTGAACATATGCTTTGTTTTGGATAAATACTTAGCAATTGGATGGCTGTTTAAATGGTAAGTGAATGCTTAACCTTATGTGAAACTGCCGAGTTGTTTTGCAAAGTGGCCACAGCATTTTGTATTCCAACCAGCAATGTCTGAGAGTTCCAGTGTCTATGTCCTTGGTAACACTTAATATTATCAGTCTTTTTATTTCTAGCCATTCCAGCAGGTGTATAGTGGTAGCTCATTGTGTTTTCATTTTTTTCTTTCATTTATGAACCCAGCAGTATTATTAATGTCTTCTTTTGGAGAGAACCTGAGATTTGACTCTGCCTTGGTTCAGTTTCGGACTCTACTATTTGAGCCATTTTCACTCTGGCTGGAACTGGCTTCCTAGGAACTGGCTCTTTAACCCCTAAGACAAAGCCACCGCCAAAGCAGGAGCTGCCAATGGGACACACTTGTCCAGAGACCAGTGAATCTGCACTGAGTAGTTGTGATTCAGAGCAGCTGATTATTCTATTGCGCACGGTCATGCCTCCTGGATGCATGTGTGGCGGTAGTGATTTTTGAATTACTGATACAGGCTTGCCCTTCTTAGCTATCCACAGAGGTTCTCATTTATTCACTCAATAAATGCTAATCGTGTGCCTCCAATGTATCAGCTGCTGCTCTGGATGCTGGGTATGCATCTGTGAATAGACAAGGTCCTTGCCCTCATGGTGCTTATATGAGGTCAAGGGGTGATAAGAGCCATAAAGAAGAATAAAGTAGAAATGGGCTACATAGTTGAATGACCTGCCTTTTCATTTAGCAGGGAAGGATTCTTCGAAGAGATGACATTCCAGCACAATGGATGAGTTTCTTGGCTGAGAGAGTTTATGAGAAATTTGTTTGTGGGGCGGACTTCCATTCACTGCTGGTTTAGCTGAGGAAGAGAAGTGAATGGAAAAGAGAAGGGTCTCAGCATCTCCTCTGTGTTTGCCTCTGCAGGCCTGTCCAAAAGTCTTCTTTGCCCACTGCTTGAGAGCCACATTTAAAAGAATGGCACTCCCTGTTCCTAATCCTCCATTTTCAACTACCATGACCCGTCTCTCAGGTCTCTGAACCTGCCCAATTCAGGTTGTTGCCATGAAACTTCTAAGTGATTGCCACAGACCCCTAATGGTCTCCCTGCCTTCAGACTTGCCCTCAACCTCCCTTCTCCACATCCAGAGAGAGGGGACACATCCTTCTGAAAGGGCAACCCTGATCAAGTTACTCTCCTGCTTAAACCCTCATTATCATTAAAAAAATACAACTTCTTAATCATGGTCCACAAGACCTTTCATGATTGGGTGCCTAGTAACCCCTCTAGCCCCACTGCTTTTCCCTCCTATCCCCTCTGCTTTTCATCCTGGATATGTTGAACCATTTGCTGCTTCCCAAATGTTATGTGCTCTATGTCTTTGATTTCCACATCTTATCCTTTTCCTGCCTTTATGACCCCCTTTTTGTCCACTCTCTTTGAGCCTTCATATTACTTGAAAAGGCTTCTCTAATTCCCCAAAAACCATGTCCTTTTAAAAATTTTCCTTTGGGACAGAGTCTCGCTCTGTCACCCATAGTGCCATCTTGGCTCACTGCAACCTCTGCCTCCCGGGTTCAAGCAATTCTCCTGCCTCAGCCTCCCAAGTGCAGCTGGAATTACAGGCACATGTCAGCATGCCCAGCTAATTTTTGTATTTTTAGTAGGGACAGGGTTTCTCCATGTTGGCCCGGCTTGTCTCGAACTCCTGACCTCAAGTGATACACTCACCTCAGCCTCTCAAAGTGTTGGGATTACAGGTGTGAGCCACCATGCCCAGCCTCCAAAAACCATGTCAATATCTCTCCTGGGTGCCTCCAAAGTGAGGGCCTCGGGGAGCTGTCACAGTCAGGCAGTGACCTCTCAGCACTCACAGGAAGCATGGCCACCTCTACCATGTCTGGCAGATGCTGTTCTAGGAAATGCCTCTCCATACCAGCTATCTCTCTCTGCTGCATCCACCCCCTGCATCCCTCTTTCACAATACTTGCATTCTGTACCATACTTGCTTATAGATGTGTCTATCTCTCTTCTAAACTTGGGCTCCTTGTGGCCAGAATTACAACTCACTCTTTTTGTATCTATCACACAGAACCCAGTGTTGGCTGAGTTGAGTGCATAAATAAAAGAGAAACTGAGTCAATGATTGCATGAATTAATAAATGAAGGGAGGGATGAATGGATGGCACAATGGATGGCAGAATGGCTCAGCTTTTCCAAGCGAGAGCCTGCCTTTTGTGTTGATGAAAACACATGGTGGAGGCAAACTAGGCCCTTCACTGAGCAAGATGTTAAGTCCTGGAATTCAGAAACCTAGGATTCATTTCTCCCTTCATCTGTCTCAAGAGTAGCAAAGACGAGTCTTTTGTTCACAAAGTCTTTGAGAGACACACCTGAGAAGTCTCTTGTTTTTACTATTTACCCTTTGGGTCTTGGAGATTTTTTTTTTTTAAAGGAACTGTCAAAATCATTAAAAGCAAGGAAGACCCTGGAGGTCTAATGAATGCTTGAGGAAGAGCAGAAAGGCTGGGTCACATGATTTCCAGGAACAGGTCAAGCCAATGTTCTATGTTCATGGGATAGCATGGAGGACAGCGGTGGGCTAAGCTGGCGATATGTGACTTTGATGAAGTCTTCTGAGAAAGGTAGGTCTAGACAGGTTGGTGAGAAGGAGGGACAGCCGCCTTAGATCAGGGACAGACTGTGTGTGATCTTTAGCAAGTGACTGAAACTTTCTGACCCTCTGCCCCCATTTCTTCATTTCTTTCTCTTTCTTTCTTTCTTTTCTTTCTTTCTTTCTTTCTTTCTTTCTTTCTTTCTTTCTTTCTTTCTTTCTTTCTTTCCTTCTTTCTTTCTTTCTTTCCTTTCTTTCTTTCTTTCTTTCTTTCTTTCTTTCTTTCTTTCTTCTTTTCTTTCTTCTTTCTTTCTTTTCTTTCTTTATTTCCTTCTTTCTTCCTTCCTTCCTTCTTTCCTTCTTTCCTTCCTTCATTCCTTCCTTCCTTCTTTCCTTCCTTCCTTCCTTTTTTTTCTTTTTCTTTTTTTGACAGAGTCTTCCTCTGTCACCCAGGCAGGAGTGCAGTGGCTTGATCTTGGCTCACTGCAACCTCCACCTCCCAGGTTCAAGTGATTCTCCTGCCTTAGCCTCCCAAGCATTTGGGATTACAGGTGTGTGCCACCATGCCTGGCTATTTTTTATATTTTTAGTGGAGATGGGTTTTTGCCATGTTGGCCAATCTGGTCTCGAACTTCTGACTTCAGGTGATCTGCCTGCCTCAGCCTCCCAAAGTGCTGGGATTACAGGCGTGAGCCATGGTTCCTGGACCATTTATTCATTTCTAATGGTGGAGAAAAATCTCTGCCTCATGAGATTGCTGGTGGTTTTAAGCAAGATCATTGCTGTAAGGTGCAGTCATTTAAAATCCAGCCCAGTTGTTCTTTTCCCAACTGAGTTCATCACCTCTCCTCTCAATTAATCTCTGTATGTCTATTGTTGAACTTATTATTGTATTGCAGTGAGTTTGTCTGCATGCTTATCTGCCCACTAGAAGGCGAGATCCAAGAGAATGGGTGAATAGGTCTTATTCCTGTGGCATCCTCTGAATCCAACCCAGGGCCCTGTATGGAAGACTAGAAGGTGGATAAATCATAAGTTTCATTCTTCTTTCCCTGTTCACAATGCTCAGAAATATAGATTATCCAGTTTGGAGGTGAGGATGCTTCTTCCAAGACTACCTGTAGCTCTGAGGATTCCAAATTTAGCACATCAATAAATAAACACCTTCTTTACGGGTAGATAAACAGCTTCCAGATCAACAAACGGTGGTATAATAAGATGTTCCTCTGCAAACTGGCCCAAACAACAATGAGGAAAAGATGCAGGAGTCCCAAACAGAACACGCCAGTGAGGGGGTATAAAAGTGAGGGCCTCAGGGAGCTGTCACAGTGAGGCAGCAACCTCTCAGCACTCAGCACAAGGAAGCACGGCCACCTCCACCATGTCTGGCAGTTGCTCTTCTAGGAAATGCTTCTCCGTGCCAGCCACCTCTCTCTGCTCCACTGAGGTGAGCTGTGGAGGCCCCATCTGCCTGCCCAGTTCCTGCCAGAGCCAGACATGGCAGCTGGTGACTTGTCAAGACAGCTGTGGATCATCCAGCTGTGGGCCACAGTGCCGTCAGCCCTCCTGTCCTGTGAGTAGCTGTGCCCAACCCCTGTGCTGTGATCCTGTCATTTGTGAGCCTTCTTGCTCCGTGAGCAGCGGCTGCCAACCCGTGTGCTGTGAGGCCACCACCTGTGAGCCTTCTTGCTCTGTGAGCAACTGCTACCAACCTGTGTGCTTCGAGGCCACCATCTGTGAGCCTTCTTGCTCAGTGAGCAACTGCTGCCAACCTGTGTGCTTTGAGGCCACCGTTTGTGAGCCTTCTTGTTCCGTGAGCAGCTGTGCTCAACCTGTGTGCTGTGAGCCTGCTATTTGTGAGCCTTCTTGCTCCGTGAGCAGCTGCTGCCAGCCTGTAGGCTCTGAAGCCACTTCCTGCCAACCAGTCCTCTGTGTGCCCACTTCCTGCCAGCCTGTCCTCTGCAAATCCAGCTGCTGCCAGCCAGTTGTCTGTGAGCCCAGCTGCTGTTCAGCTGTCTGCACCCTGCCTAGTTCCTGCCAACCTGTGGTCTGTGAGCCTTCCTGCTGTCAGCCGGTGTGCCCGACACCTACCTGCTCTGTGACCAGTAGCTGCCAGGCTGTCTGCTGTGACCCCAGCCCTTGTGAGCCAAGTTGCTCAGAGTCTAGCATCTGCCAGCCAGCTACGTGTGTGGCTCTGGTCTGTGAGCCAGTTTGCCTCCGCCCTGTCTGCTGTGTTCAGAGCTCGTGCGAGCCACCTTCTGTCCCCAGCACTTGCCAAGAGCCTTCTTGTTGTGTCTCCAGTATCTGCCAACCCATCTGCTCTGAGCCCAGCCCCTGCTCACCAGCTGTCTGTGTGTCCAGTCCATGCCAACCTACTTGCTATGTAGTCAAGCGCTGTCCTTCTGTCTGCCCTGAGCCAGTTTCCTGCCCATCTACCTCCTGCCGACCTCTTTCCTGCAGTCCAGGGTCTTCTGCATCTGCCATCTGCCGACCAACTTGTCCTAGGACTTTCTACATACCCAGTTCCAGCAAACGGCCTTGCAGTGCTACGATTTCCTACCGCCCGGTCTCCCGTCCGATCTGCCGCCCAATCTGCTCTGGACTCCTCACCTATAGGCAGCCATACATGACATCCATCTCCTACCGTCCTGCCTGCTATCGCCCATGCTACTCCATCCTGCGCCGCCCAGCCTGTGTCACTTCCTACTCTTGCCGCCCAGTCTACTTCCGCCCATCTTGCACTGAGTCTGACTCTTGCAAACGGGATTGCAAAAAATCCACTTCCAGCCAACTGGATTGTGTTGACACAACCCCCTGCAAGGTGGATGTCTCAGAAGAGGCTCCCTGCCAGCCCACTGAAGCCAAACCCATCAGCCCAACCACCCGTGAGGCCGCAGCAGCTCAGCCTGCTGCCAGCAAGCCTGCCAACTGCTAAATTGGCTTCAGCCCCCCAATTCTTGCAAGTCAAGCCACCAGCTAGAGACAAAACTGCACTGTCCTCCCCAAAGCTCATTATGACTTAGCTAGGAGCTCTTTCTTTCTGCATTGTTACTCACAATCGGCTTACCCCTCAAAGAACTCATCAGAAATGTCAGTATCCTGATCACTTAAATGAAGGCCTTCTGGACAGTGAGAGGGAGACATTCCAGGTTCTTGTCTTCTGCTACGATTAAGCTGAGAAGAGCTGCTTTGCCACATCATCTCGGGTCTCTTTCCTGCATGTAGTTTTTTCTGTCATCATGTATGTGCTCCCTTGCTATGCATGCTTGTGTTCCTTAGGGACTTCTCCAATCAGGTAAAATATGTAACTGTCCAATAAAGGTGGCTAAGCTGAAGCAACTTGCTGTTCTCCTTGCTCTTCCATTAATGCCATAGTCTCATCAGTGACTTGCTTCTTCTTTAACAGCAGCTCCATTCAACCATCCATCCACCCACCCATCCCTCTGGCATTATTAGACAGCAGCTAGGTGCCAGGGACTGTGTTTAGCTCTAAGAATAAACATAAGAAGTCTCAGTCTTTGTTCTCAAGAAACTCACTCTCTGGTGGGCAGCAAGACAATTATGACATTCCTTTGTGCCAAGTACTTGGAGATAAGCATAGAGCACCATGAACTCAGCAGAGCATAGTTGGGGAACAAGGAAAGAATTATTGGAGAATGTGATACTGGCATCGAGTCTTTCAGTATGAGTAGGAATTAACCAGTTACAAACAGGAAAGGAAAAACTTTCTAGGCAAAGGAGACTTGTACAAGTGAATGGGGCTTGAGGGCAAATTGTTCATTAGGTGAGGCATGGGAGAGTTGTTCTTTGAGGAATGAGCCATGAGGTCAGGTCGTAGACAGTGATCTGTCTATGTGGGGTCTTGCATGCTAGACAGAGGTATTTCGGTTTGATGCAGGGCTGACATGAAAGCATCAAGGGGCTGCATGCAAGGAGGTGACAGGAAGAGCACTGGTTTTGGAACATCCCTCTGGCCTTGGTTGGTGTGGAGAACTCAATGGAAGAACATGGTTCTGGATATAGAGAGACTGGGGAGGAAAGGAAGCCAATTGTTTTTGGGTCCACAGGAAGAAAAACAAGTGGGGATCAGGGATCATACTTACAACAAAGAAGGTTGGGTAACTTGGATTTCTTGTGTGAGAATTTTGTTTATGTTCTCCTACTTCCTCCAAGACACTCATAGGATAAATTCTGTATCTTACAAAATCCAAGGACAGAGTCTCTTCAAAGCAGTCACTCCCTACACTTAGTGCACAGAATGGAGGCCTATTCCTTGTCCTCAAGGGGCAGCTTGAGTCATCATGAGCACAGTGTGAGGGTCGACCAGGGCTTCTCAACTTCAGCATTATTGACATTTTGGGCTGGGCGATTCTTTGTTGTAAAGGCTGTCCTGTGAATTATAGGATGTTAAGCAGCATCCCTGGCCTCTATGAACCAGATTCTAGTAGCATCCTTTGAGGGTGATGATCACAAATGTCTCCAGACATTGCCAAACATTGCCTGGGAGTGCAAAAATCACCCCTGTTTGAGAACCACTGGGTCAGACTATGGCAGAGGGAGAAAGTCAAAAGCAAAACTTAATCACATTGGTGTTGGAGTTACTGTCTCATCAAGCCATTGGGATTTATCATTGTCTCCTTCCAGAGTCAAGAGGGGAGTTGGCCAGCCGGATGCTGTGGCTAAAGCCTATAATCCCAGCACTTCGGGAGGCCGAGGTGGGTGAATCACCTGAGGTCAGGAGTTCGAGACCAGCCTGGCCAACGTGGTGAAACCGCATCTCTACTAAAAATACAAAAATTAGCTGGTCATGGTGGCGCACGCCTGTAGTCCCAGCTACTAGGAGGCTGAGGCAGGAGAATTGCTTGAATCTGGAAGGAGGTTGCAGTGAGCCAAGATCACTTCACTGCACTCCAGCCTGGGCGACAGAGAGAGATTCTGTCTAAACACACACACACACACACACACACACACACACACACACACACAGGAGTTGGCTAGGGTTTTGAACCTCTGTGCCAAGCACTGGACTAAGCATTTCATATGGATTACAGCAATTCTTTGAAGTAATATGTATTCTCTCCTATTTTTTCACCTATACATAAGATGCAGAATTCGAAGGACAAACAATCCAAGTGCCCATCAATGGACAATTAAATTGTGGTATATTCACCCAATGGGATATTATACTGTGAAGATGACTGGAAAATGGCGACATGCAATAGCATGGATGAATCTTACTAACATAGTGTTGATTGATATAAACAAGCTCCAGAAAACCATACGTGTGTGTATATATTTATGTATATTAATATAATGTGTGTATATATATACACACACTCAAACATATATGTGTGTATTGTTCAAAAACCACAGACACACATATGTATGAGTATACATGCATTTATACACATATGTACACACACAAACACATATATATAAAGGGAGTGATAAAATTCACGATTGTCATGGCTAATAAGTAACATGCAAATGACTAAAACCCAGTTCTTTCCAAAGCCTAGGTTCTGTATGGATCATGATATGTCTCAATGTGGTCACAGGTGTCTTTGTTGATACACTAGGTGTTTTTAGTGCCTTGAACTACAGCAAGACAGATGTTCTTGCTATTAAGAGTTTCCTTTAGGAGAAAAGAAAACAAGAGCAGAATCACTTAGAGAAAAATGGATGTAGAATGGATTGCTTTAAAACTATAAAAGTGGTATAGGATATTGGACTGAAGTTGATGTGATTTTTCAAACATGCTCATGTTCCCAGTTTGATTGACATATTTGGTAAGACTGAAAGTATTAAATACATCCTCTGGGAAGATGAAGAGCTTTGGGGGTAAATATTCAGCAATAAAACACAGTGCATGGATTCCTGCAGATTGAAAGATGCCAACATGAATACAGACAAGAAGGAGGGCAAAAGAAGTGATCCATGGTGTGACATAGAAACCAACTGTGGGGAAAAAGGCATTTCAATGGCAGGGGAGAAGGTTTTCCAGACATTGTTCTGATCAAAAATGTTTCTCTTCTTTTTAAAATGGAGGTGAAGAGGGTGCCAAGGAGAAGGCATTTTGTAGCTGGGGGTTTGCAAAGTACCCTTCAGCGTTTTCAGTATTTTCAATAATTTGTGAAGCAACCAAAGCAAACAAACACCCACAAAAAACTAACCTGAGACATGACAACGCAGTTGATGAAATCGCCATACTTTGAAGACTTAGGTAATTAGCTAACATATTCAACAGAATGAGTTAGTGGCAGAGCCAGAAATCAAGGCCAGCCCCATCTGGCTCCCCACACCGTGATCTTTCCACTCCGTCATGTGCCTCCAGCGTGAACCGGCCAGAACGTTGGCTGGTGTAGAACACCGGACCTGGTTGGTGATGCGGAGCCAGGACAAGCCCGGAGGAAAAGCAGAAGGGCCAAGAAAGTCCCTCATGAATTCCTCTTGGAAGGGATTGGTTTAACATTAACACCACTTTACAGTGATTTTTTTTATTATCACTGCTGGCGTGTTTTTATTTGTATAGAATTCATATGCTATTGATGCCCTAGGGTGGGTTTGATACTTCCTGATTAAATATTTGGTAGTTTAAAAAATTTCCAAAATTAAAAGACTGTGTTTGAGTGTATTGATAAGTAGAGGTAAGTACTCACACCAGTGTGGTCTAGCTGCTGATTACAGTCACTGGAGTGGGCGGAGGATCCCCAGGATGGGGCCTGGGCAACCTGCTCACGAGCCAGTCTGTTGCCATAGGGGTGTCAGCCTGCAGCCACTATATCAGTGTCGCCTTCTCCCTGCCTCCCCAAAGTCAGGGGGTCTAATAGGTGGTTAAGATCAGGGGTTTGGTGGTCAGACAAAGCTAGGTTTGAATTTTGTTTCTACCCCTTTTCATTTGCATAATTTTGGGAACATGATTTAAACTCTATGAGTTTTGCCACTTCTGTTTTCTTCTTTTCTGTTCTAAAAAAATCTTGAGAGGAACCAATTTGGGGGAGATTTTAAGCTTCCTAAAAGGGCCAATGAAGTTTTATATTTTAATCTTAACTTTGTTTTAAACCTGGTTTCTTCTTTATTTATTACTTTTTTTTAGTTTTGCCACTTCTAACATAGTGATGACAATTATACTTACTGAAGTCATTGTGAGGATCCAGTGAAAAATGCAGCCAAGGACTTGATCTAGTAACTATGCAATAAATGAAAGCCATTTCTATTGTTATTATTAGTAATAGTACTAGTAAACAAGTTTCAGGAATGATAAATGGGAAGGTTTTAAAAAGAGGTAGAGGCACTTAAGTGTCCCTGGGTTCCTTGGACTAATTTTCCATTTCCCGTCTTGACATCCTCTCCCCAAACTGGGTCAAGGCTTCATTTCTGATTGAATGGTGCAAAGCTGCATTCCTGGAGGAACAGCAGGGCCACTCTGGCTTGGCAGAGGCCTCCTGATGAAAGGTTAGTGCCAGGAAAGGCCTGCTTCAGTGAGGCTGGAGAGCAACCTGTAAAAGAGACAGCTCATCCAAGAGCAGGAGCAGTGTCAACGAATCCAAATGCAGCGCAGAAAACTCCCGACTCAACAGACACCTTTTCAAAGTTGAAACATCTCCCAGGCTCCTGAAGCCTGCTAATCAGATGTTTGCATGCAAATGAGTAAAAACAATAACAAGGAAAGATGCTGCATGGCGTGCCAACACCCCTAGTGAAGGACTATAAAAGCCCCTCTGTATTGGATGTCTTTCCAATGCAGGTATACTGAGCTTGCAACTTCCCAGCAAGGTCAGCACCAGCACCATGGCAGACGGCTGTTGTCCTGGAAACACCACAGCCATTCCAGCTGTGCCCACCATCACCACATACCCAGTTAAAGGTGGATTTCGACATGCTCTCTGTTTGCCTAGTTCCTGCCACAGCAGAATGTGGCAACTGGTCACATGCCAAGAAAGCTGTCAGCCATCCATTGGTGCCCCAAGTGGCTGTGATCCTGCTTCGTGTCAACCTACCCGCCTTCCAGCAACGTCTTGTGTGGGTTTTGTTTGCCAACCTATGTGCTCCCACGCAGCCTGCTATCAGTCTGGCACTGGTCAGTCTCCTTGTCTGGTTAGCTCATGTCAGCCATCCTGCTCGGAATCCACTTGTTGTCAGGAAAAGTGCTGCGATGCCAGTCCCTGCCAGCAAAGCTCCTGCCAGGAATCTGTCTGCATGTCTGGATCATGTCAGGCAGCTTGTGGCCAATCAGTCTGCTGTGATGCTGGATCCTGCCAGCCATCCTGCTCTGAAGTGACCTCCTGTCCGGAAACTTCTTGCCTACCAACCATCTGTACAGCTAGTCCATGCCAACCAACTTGGTGCCAAGGAAGTTCATGTCAACCCGTCAGTGGTGAAGGCCAGCCCTGTAAATCAACTTATTATCAACCCATCTGCTATATTTTCAAGCCTTGCCAATCAGCCCTCTACATGCCTGTTCCCTGCCAGCCATCGACTTGTGTGTTCAGTTCTTGCAATACTACTTGCTGTGTGCCTTCCCATTGCCAGCCACCTCACTGCCAACTGGTTCCTTCCACATGCTTCATCTACCAGCCAGTGGCTAACTGCCAGGCCCCTTGTTCCACAAAGAACTGTTGCAAACCAGCTTCTTGTGACACTGTGATTTCTGGCCAACCAACTTGTGATGGACCCCCTTCCTATAACCAGAGTGGCTGCAAATCAGCTTGCTGTGTGACTGGTTTAGGCACATCACCCAGTAGTGGCTCCAATTGCTTGCCGACTTCATGCCAACCCAGCTGTGAGTCCAGCTTCTGCAAGGCAACACTTTGTTAATGGAGCCCTCTTCACACCTCCTCTGAGGGTCTGCGGCTGTCTATAAATGCATAGCCATCCCTGGGTGCCTGCCTCCCACCGAGTACAAATGCTGCCTGCTTTCTAACTTTACCCTGATTCCACCTTCACATTCTCTCCAGGTGCTGACCAGGGAACTTGTCCAGGCACGAAGAGATCCTTCTTAACCGAGAATAACCTTTCAGCAACCATGGACTACCACACTGCTGCTTGCATTTCCTGATGATGTCAATTCATTTCACTTTAGCAAACCCTCTCTTGTTTCTCTTTCTTGATGCTGCCTGGTCTTTCAGAAGACCTCGTTGCTGCCAGCTGCTAATAAAAATGTGACTGGTTAAGTATAATAAATAAGACTCCTGGAGTGCTTTCATTCCTACACACACCTCTATGTAGATTTCCTTCAGGTCACATTTGAACACAATGAGCCTGAGTCATCTAAGTCAGTGGGTCTGCATTGGTCTGCAAGGGTAGCTAGTGTCTAGGATTATAGATTCTCCAGCTGGACGAGAGTAAGGGCAAACAGTTCACTGGCTTCCAAAATTTTCACCACCAAGAGTTCTTTTGAGCTGAGTGGGCTCATTTTCCCTATAGTGAGTAGACAGGAAGCCAACAACAAAAATGGTTCTGGAAAGCCACAGATGAAAACAAACATGAGGTATTGGCCATAGAGAATAGCTTAGGGTTAATTCATTTAAGATTCTTTTTTTTTTTTTTTTTTTTTGACACAGAGTTTCACTCTTGTTGCCCAGGCTGGAGTGCAAGAGCGTGATCTCGGCCCACCGCAACCTCTGCCTCCTGGGTTCAAGCGATTCTCCTGCCTGGGACATTGTGTCAGCTGGCTAAGGAGAAATATTCATAGGATCCCTTTGTATTATCATAGAGCAGGCAATGAAGGGTGTACCTGTAGGTGAGCAGCAATAATTTGGTAACTAGCAAACAAATCTTCATAGTTCACATTTTTCTGTCACTGAGGTATACTTTGGATCTGTAGAGAGACTATTAATTGTTTTATCCCCAGTTTTAGAATCACAAGGGTCGTAGTCTTGAAAGAAGGTTCTGGGTCAAAAAAGAGGGGGATGGCCATAAGAACAAAATCTAGCACCTGAACATGGAAGGGTCCAGGTGGAGAATTTCTACCTGCAGTTGAATTGACTAATGTCAGCACTGAATCTCTTCTTGAATTGAATTCAAGAAGCATTGAATGCTTCTTGAATCCCTAGATATAGGTGGGCTTATCATTTCAACAGTTCAAGTAGCTAGATCTGTTCTAGTCTTCTAATGGGTATTTTCCTTTTATTTCTAACTATGTATGGGTATTGCCTTCAGTACCTTTTCTACCCACACACATGCACACACATATAGATGCATACAGGTACACACACACACACTCAGATACAGATGCACACACATACATGCACACACACACTCACACACAGACACACACCACATTTCAACTTAGTTGTATGGCTGCACTTAAGGTTGATTTATTTGCTCCATGATTTACAATTGCCTATAAAACATGCCTAGCCAAACCTGAGTAAAGTGCACTAAAAGACTGATTTTAGCATTTTAGCCTTCCCCATCTAACTGGCCCAGCTGATATCACCCTCTTGTTCCCCCCTGCCCTTTGGATGACTCCTGTCCCAGTTTAAATGGTTGGGCTTCTGTCCTTATGTCTTTATGACCAGTGCCCTGACTTTCTCCCAGATCGGGCCTTCTCCCCAACCCGAGGAGGGACCTTAGGATCTGCTCATAAACTTACCTGATGGTCACTGGCTGAGCATCTCTCGTTCCAGTCCTCTCAATCACTGTGATTTGAGGTTCTCAGTAGTTAAATAGGTCTTGCCAATATGTGTGGGACATTCTAAAAAAAACCTTACAGATGAAGGAAAACTAACCAAAAGAGCCCGGGAATAATGAGACATCAAGGTCACTGAAGGACAAGAGTATGGGCATTTGCCTTATGACCTGCTTGGAAATGCAACTCAGAGGAGGACTTCTATGGTGGTGGTGAGGAAAAAGCACTAGACCACGGCTCAAAGGAGAAGGCTTGAGTTGCATCCTGGCCACTTATTTACTGTATGACCTTATGTAACACCAGGGTGCTAATCTATAACACGAAGAAGTTAGTTTATTCTACCTCTGAGGGCTCATTTATTTACATGATCTTGTGAGTTTGTTGATGTGTTCTGTGAGGTTCTAAATATTCTCAAACTGATTAAAACTGAAGCCTCTTGTACTTCTGGAACTGATGGGGAAGAGATTTGGAAGGATATCTTTTTAGTATGCCATAAAATAAGAAATGTGATTGACTAATTTTGAGGTCCAAAAAGAAAATTAGAAACAAAAAGGAGGAGGGGGAGAGAGGGAACTTGATATCACAAAGGAAGTGCCATGGATGGAATGTCTCCCAGAAACGATCTTTGGGTGGACACCCTGTGCAAAACCTCTCTTGAGACATGAATGGAACTTCACGGAAGATGAATCCTTAAGTAAGCCTGTGAAAGAATTCTCAAAAGTATTATTTCTCAGAGATTTCAAAATTAAAATAACAATTACATATTACTTTACAGGTATTAGATTTGCAAAAAATAGAGTGCTATATCAGAGCCCAGCAAACTTATCCTGTAAAGGGACAGATATACATAATTTAGGCTTTGTGGGGCACATGGTCTCTGTTGCAACTACTGAATTTTGCCGTTGTATCATTGCATTATATCATTACATTTATAGACAATATGTAAGCAAATGAGTGTGGCTGGGTTCTAATAAAACTTTGTAAAAACAGGCTGGGGCTCTGTTTGGCTCATGGTGAGACGGGAAGAGTTTCCTTGTTCCCCTCGCAGGGCGTGCAACGGGGGCGTGGCTCGCTTCTTCCGTGCCCCACTGCTCACACTTCTAGGGGAAGCATGCAGATGGGCAGGCTTTGGGGCTCTGACCCCACGGCAGCGTCTAGGGGTGAGTGTTTACAGCTGAAGCCCCAGTGGGTGTGTGTACAGGGTACTCTTTCAGTTTAGCCTCCGTCCATAGATGGGTTGTGTTAGTTAGCTCAATTAGACCCCCTGCCTTATGGCAAGGACAGAGGGCTTTCTGTATCCCAGGGTTTCCTGCCTTGTTGTACTGGAGGAATCGGATCACACATGGGCTTGGAGAATGAGTGCAAGGTTTTATTGAGTGGAAGTAGCTCTCAGCAGACGGGGGAGCCAGAAGGGGGATGGAGTGGGAAGGTGGTTTTCCCCTGGAGTTGGGCTGCTCAGCCAGGCTTCCCTCATCCCGCCCCCGACAAACTCACTATGGTTCCCCCTGTCGATGGCCTGCCGTCCTGCTGGCGTCTGCCGCTGCCTGTCGGTGTGCTCTTCTGACGATTTGCTCCTCTCGGATGTCCAGCTGCCTGTGTCTCTTCCCACTAGGCACAGGATGAGGGCGTGGTGGGCCAGGGTGGTTTTGGGAAATGCAACGTTTGGGCACAAAAACAGAAATGCCTGTTCTTATTCATTCAGAAATGCCTGTTCCCTAGGTCCGTGGGCACAGTAGGGGTGGAGTCCTCACCAGGGACCCACCCTTCTTCTCCCAGCACTTCCCTGCCCCGCTCCTGTATCAATGGGCCATAGTTTTCTGACTCCTGTGCTATATAATGCCAAGTGTTGGTGGGAGTGGGAATTTACAGGAATTTTCCTGCATTGCTAATGGGATTGTTGGCTTGTTTGGCCACTCTAAAGAACAATCTGAAACTATTTATGTAAATTATGTAAGTGATGCTCCATGATCCAGCAATCCAACACCTGAGTGTGTATTTCCAGAAAATTCTCACACAGGTCCTCAGGGAGGTGTACATGTGGATGTTCACTGTAGCATCCCTATGGTGGCAAAAACGTCAAAGGAAAGCTGGTGTCCAACACTGTGAAAGTGGGTAGGCAACTCGGTGATCCTCTTCATGGAGTATCATGCAGGAATTAATAACAATAGATTACATATACACACTGTAGCATAGATGGATTTTTAAAAATTCTGCTTAATGACAAACCAGAATGAGATATATTACTGATTGCTATTTACATAAAGTATATGTGTACTGAACAATACTTTATAAGGATATATACAAATCCATTAAATAAATTTAATATGCGTTGAATATACATTAGACAGAATAGCATAGTGGCCTATAGGAAACGAAGGGAGTAAAGGGAGAAGAAGAAGTAAATTAACTGATTTATAAGTACATAAAAAATAAATAAGAGAGGGACCATGCAAAAATCACAGATGATAATAATTCAATTATTTATAACTAAGGTCCCAAAAGAAAATTTTTTTAAAAAGGAAGAAGGAGAGAGAGGGAACTTGACACCACAAAGGAATTACCGTGGATAGAATGTCTTCCAGAAATGACATTTTGATGGACACCCTGTTCAAATTCTCTCTCCCACACCTTCCATGGAGATTTCCATCATGCTAGAGGAAGGATATGGCTCTGGGAAGCAGATGCACCTCATCTCATATTGCATAGACTTTTCAAGAATGCTTCTTACAAGAGGATGCAGACATTGTTTAGGAGTTATATTAACTTTAATAATTTGTTGATTGATACCAGGATTCTCAAGACACCTGAAACTTCAAATTTCATTTTATAATAGTTTTTTTTTTACCCATCTACCTCATAGTTTTTGTTGTCCCAATGACAGATTTCTCAGTTTTATAGGCAAGTGTGTTTACCGGCCATCTGCCAACATGCAAACTTCACATTCTAAACATGTCAAATGTGAAACATGAGTTGAGAAGCTTTGTGTCTTTAACCATGCTTGGCAACAGTTTAAATGACATAGCATGTATTTTCTCCTTTTAAGTTTGCTAGGGCTTGTCCATAAAACATCTGAATCTCCTCTAATAAGCAATGTTCTGCCAAGCCTGAACATGTAACTAAATCTTTCTTTACACTTATGTTCAGGGCAGGGAACAATTTTAAAAATACAAGAAAATTTTGAGAAAAATATTACAAGAACCTGCCTCTCCAAATTGGCATTTTCTTACTTCTGCTTTGGATCTTTAAAAAATTAATTGAAATGAAACATTATGCTTGTAAAGTTGAAGTCCCCTCTTCAGTCTTATTTCCCTTTTTTCATCTCAGATATAACTTCTATCATAATTTTATTGTATATTCTCCCAGTCACTGTTAATTTATATAAAAATATAAACATCTTATATTTATAAAGTATTTAAACAAGACCTAGTATGAAGGATTGCAGATTTAAGAATTTATGTATGTGATGTAAAATTATGCAATTTACTTTTTAAATTTCATTATTGCTTTTAAGAACTATGCATTTTGATACATGGACCTGTTTCATTATATTAGTTACCTATTGTTGCATAACAATTATCTCAAAACTTAGTGGCTGAAACAACAAAGTTTATTATCTCACTGTTTCTGTGGGTTAGAAAACTAGATGTGGCTTAGCTAGATACCTATAGCTTGGGGTCTTTTATGAGATGGTTGGTGAGGTGTTGGCTGGGGCTGCGGTCATCTCATGGCTCAACTAGAGAAGGATTCACTTCCAAGCTCATTTATGTGGACACTGGAAGGCCACTGGTTCACACCAACTGTTAGCCAGAGATATCAGTTCATTGCCTCATGGGCTTCTCCATACTCTGGCTGATTGTCCTCATAGCACAGCATCTGGATTCTCCCAGAGGAAGCGAAGAGAAAGGTGAGACTTGAACAATGAGAACACTTGGACACAGGAAGGGGAACATCACATACCAGGGCCTGGTATGTTGGGGGAGGGATAGCGTTAGGAGATATACCTAATGTAAATGACGAGTTAATGGGTGCAGCACACCAACATGGCACGTGTATACATATGTAACAAACCTGCGCATTGTGCACATGTACCCTAGAACTTAAAGTATAAAAAATAGATATATAATATATAAAATATATATTATAAAATATATATATATAAAGTATAAAATATATATATATATAATATATATATATAAGTCACAGTCCCTTTACAGCCTAACCTAATGATATGGTTTGACTGTGTCCTCACCCAAATCTCATCTTGAAGTGTAACTCCCACAATTCCCATGTGTCATGGGAGGAAACCAGTGGGAGGTGATTGAATTATGAGGGTGGGTCTTTCCTACACTGTTCTCGTGATAGTGAATGAGTCTCACGAGATCTGATGTTTTTAAAAAGGGGAGTTTCCCTGCACTAGCTCTCTTCTCTTGTCTGCCACCATGTGAGACATGCCTCTGTTCAAGCTGGCAATTTGTTTGTATATATAATTTTTAGAAAAAATTTGTGGTTCTCCTGTGAATCTTCTTGGAGTTTACTCTATTAGACAAAAGTTACTACCACAGATCATCTAGAGATAAACACTTGGACCCCTGATGTAATAGCTGAGGACAATGCCCTTAAGTTTCCTAGAAGCCTCTTTGACTTATCCGAGAGTGTCTGTGAGGTTCTCACTTAATATTTTTTTTTTTTTTTTTTTTTTTTTGGAGACAGAGCCTCACTCTGTCACCCAGGCTGGAGTGCAGTGGCGGTGACCTTGGCTCACTGCAACCTCCGCCTCCCTGTTTCAAGCGATTCTCCTGCCTCAGCCTCCCAAGTAGCTGGGACTACAGGCGCCCACAACCATGCCCGGCTAATTTTTGTATTTTTTAGTAGATAGGGGATTTCACCATATTGGCCAGGCTGGTCTCGATCTCCTGACCTTGTGATCACCCGCCTCGGCCTCTCAAAGTGCTGGGATTACAGGCTTGAGCCATTGCGCCCGGCCTCGCTTAATATCTTTAGAGGGGCTTTTGTATGTAGCTGTTCCCCATTTTTCATTTTTGAAATGAAAATAATTTTCTAATTTTTGACTTTCTCAGATCTTAAAAAATCTTATAGCCACACGTTAGCTTTATCTTTAGGGCATGATTTCTGGTATACCTGAATTTCTCTGGCATTGTCTTCAATTTGATATTTGCTTAGAAGTCATTTTTAAACTTTAGCATTATTTGCCATTGGAGAGGCTGAGAATTTTCAAAACAAACAATACTGTCCAGGATCCTTTTTTTTTTTTTTTAATCAGCCCTTCTCTCAATTTATCTTTCTCTTCTCACATTTTATTATAGTCAGCAAGAAGAAATCAAAGAACACCTTCAAGACTTTAGTTGGAAATTTCCTTAGTTAGATCACTCAGTTCACCAGGAACCTTTCTACTTTTGCCTCAAAACTGCGGATGACAGAGTACTTTCTGCCACTGCATAGCAAGAATTTTCCTTTCTCCAGTTTCCAATATGCTCGTGGATTCTGTGGGTCAGGAATTCAGCCAGTGCACAGCAGAGAGAGCTTGTCTACAATCTGAGATGTCTTGGACTTTGGTTGGAAATATCCAAATGGCTATGGGCTAGAATCACCTGGAGGCTTTCTATGTAGGGACAAGTTTCCCCAAATCTAAGAATACAATTTTTTTTCCTCTGGGGTTTTAAATATATCAGTTTTGCAACAATTCCTGTCTTTGGGAAGGAAACATCCTTTCCTTATTACTGTATATGGTATTCCCTTTAGCTCTGAAGGATGGTTTGGCAGAAAGTTGTTAACTAAGTGTAATAAATCTTATGGAAAGAAATACTCTGGTTAGTTTCTCATCTGGTTCCATTTTTGTGATAATGAGGATCAGGAAATTATTCTGGTAATGAGTGACTGGGATGGAGGAAGGGGAAAACTCATGGCTGGTGAAGAGGTCAACGAACTGAGAGATCAAGATGTTTGATGAATTATCCTTATGGAAGTTGAATTCACTAAAAAAAAGAGACAGGCCTAGAGGAGAAAAGAAAGACAGTGACCCACAAATAAATGGGTGGAATTGCCTGGAAACTGATGAAAACAGCCAATGGGAAGGATAATGGCAGTTAAATCGGGTGGTGTAAACTTTGAAAACAACTAAAGTCAAGAATGGCTTTGGTAATGGCAAAACCACTCTGAGATGTAGGTTTCCTACTCTGACGGGTACCTTGGTTAAAATTCAGGACAATGGTCAGAACTTGTATGATCATTGCTTTCATAAGTCTTTTTTTTTTTTTGAGACAGAGTCTCACTCTGTCGCCCAGGCTGAAGTGCAATGGTGCAATCTTGGCTCGCTGCAGCCTCCGCCTCCTGGGTTCAAGCAATTCTGCAGCCGCAGCCTCAGCCTCCCAAGTAGCTGGGATTACAAGTGCATGCCACCACAACTGGCTAATTTTTGTATTTTTACTAGAGATGGGGTTTCACCATGTTAGCCAAGGCTGGTCTCAAACTCCTGACCTCAAGTGGTCTGCCTGCCTCAGCCTCCCAAAGTGCTGGGTTACAGGCATGAGACATGCCTTCATAAATCCTTAATGACTTAAGGAATCTTGCATATCAGTTGATCAAATTACCCATTTATTTACGCAAGCATTCTGTGACATCCCTATTAGTTTTTTTGTCTGTGTTTTCCTGTCTCCAGAGAATAGGGCACACGACTTCCCAAGAAAACATGTGTCTCTCTAGTCAGCTCCAGGAATGACTTTTCACTTATTTTTGCTTAAATCGGTCGTCTTGTTTCTTGACCCTATAAGGCCACACAGGACACATCTAATCCATCTTCTACATTAAGTCTTTCCCTTCCCCCAAAGATCTTCTTTTCTCTGGGATAATTATCACTGGATACCATCATTTTTCATTATGTGACTTGAATTCCAGTCCTATTCTCAGGATAGTTGCTCTACTTGCAAGACTTTCCAATTATTCAATATTCCTTTAAAAGGGGCATGATCAGAGCCTAACTCACGATCAAATTATCTGTTAGCCAGTACAGGATAGGGAATAGCCATCCTCTTCTTTTGAGTATAGTCCATATTTTCCAGGTCATGTCTGCCTGATGATATAATTAAATACTATTCTTTTGTTTGTTTGTTTGTTTTTGAGACAGAGTCTCGCTCTGTCACCCATGCTGGAGTGCAGTGGCGCGATCACCACTCACTGCAAGTTCCGCCTCCTGGGTTCACGCCATTCTCTTGCCTCAGCCTCCTGAGTAGCTGGGACTACAGGTGCCCACCACCACGGCCGGCTAATTTTTTGTATTTTTAGTAGAGACGGGGTTTCTCCGTGTTAGCCAGGATGGTCTTGATCTCCTGAACTCATGATCTGCCTGCCTCAGCCTCCAAAGTGCTGGGATTACAGAGATCTCCGCCCTGAAGAGGAAATGTGCTGGTATTTGAATGTCTAAGTCCCTATTTAGTGAGGTGGCATTTGTCCTCCTGTAGGGGCAACCTCTACCACTGCTCAAAGGTTTTCTGGTCCCTGTATTGATATCCTTTGTTCCTGCTTTTTTTTTTGACCGAATTTTGCTCTTGTCACCCAGCCTGGAGTGCAATGGTGCAATCTCGGCTAATTGCAACCTCCCCCTCCCAGGTTCAAGCGATTCTCCTGCCTCAGCCTCCTGAGTAGCTGGGACTACAGGCATCCACCACCATGCCCAGCTAATTTTTGTATTTGCAGTAGAGACAGGGTTTCACCATGTTGGCCAGGCTGGTCTCGAACTTCTGACCTCAGGTGATCCTGCCCGCCTCAGCCTTCCAAAGTGCTGGGATTACAGGCATGAACCCCTGCGCCCGGTATGTTCCTGCTTTTGAATGCCTGTTTCTAAGTTCAGATTTCTACTCCAGCCATAATGATGTCCTGACCGCCACTGCCTGGAAGAGGGAATTCTTCAGGTTCAGGTTTAATATTAGCTTCAGAAGTATGGCTTGTTAGTTTGAGTCCAAGTTAACAATACTGTCTCCTCCTAGCAATCTCTAGATGCTCTGAGCATCTGCAGAAAAGACTGTCCAGTGAGTCTGCCCCAAACTGTCTGCCTATCTGCCCCTCTAGCCCATCTCTTATCCAGGGCCTCAGTTTGAATTTAGGATCAAGTTCTTATTATTATTGGATAAAGTAAGACAGTGACATTAGAATAAAACATGTCTTGGCAAATTGTCACTGAATTGAATCCACCTTTCTGCAATGTTTTCATAAGCTACGATGAGAGTCCTTTTGAAATGCTCTGCTGAAATCCAGATTCATTTTGTACTGAATTTCGTTTATCAATGAATCTAGCAAAAATAAAAAGTTATTTTACATGGGTTGGTCTAAGTGGTACCATGTTTTATTTTTTGGCATTCACAAAAGATCATCTGAACAATTTATTCTAAAGTCTTTTTCTAAGATAAGATCAAGCTGATTGGTGTATGGTTTGCAGAAACTTGAAAAATTGGGATGGTCTTTGCTTGTCTCAACACGTTGAGTAGCTCTTGTTCTCTAACATTCCTCAAATATCAATATGTGGTTTATTTTCAGTCTCTAACTGCTCTGGGACCTAATGTGCACAGCATGCAGTGACATGAATTTATTTAGAGAATCTAAGCATTTGCAAAATTGATTTGTCCTTATCAATGTTTAGTCATTTTTCCAATTCAATTATTTCCTATTGTCTGAAAAGATAGACACCAAATAAGAGTGTTTCTAGCATAACCTTCACAGTCTTTGTGCCATACGCCACCGGGAGATCTCAGATCTTCTCTCAATCCCTGCTCTCAGCCTGAAATAAGGAGGCCAGGTTCCTTTTATAAGCCCAGATTTTCCTTGCCAGATACTGACATATTTACAGTTCATGGATCATGAATTGGATGAAGGGTGGATACAAATGCATCATACAAAAAATGCAACATCACACTGAGGAGCTTACTTCATATTAAACTTCTTTTAGTGCTTATAGCTCTCTTTATTCAGATCAAAAGGAATTAAAATCTCTCTGTCGCTCTTGTTGCAAGTTTTCTCATTTCAGTTCAGAAGGAAACATTTCAATTTTTCTTTTGTTATAAAAGTAACCTGTGCTTGAGGGGGAAAACAATGTAGGAAAAAAAATGGGAAGTCCTAGTTTCCAAACACCCCATCCACATCCCCCTCCCCAGGGACAAACTACTGGTTACTGCTTATTATGCCCTAATCTTGGTTTTCTCTTTCTCTTTACAGATGGTTGGTTACTATTCTCATTAGAAAGACTGAAGAAAAGGCTGGGCACAGTGGCTCATGCTTGTAATTCCAGCATTTTGGGAGGCTGAGGCGGGTGGATCATCTAAGGTCAGGAGTTCAAGACCAGCCTGGCCCATGTGGTGAAACCCTGTCTCTACTAAAGATGAAAGAAAGAAAGAAGGAAAGAAAGGAAGAAAGAAAGAAAGAAAGAAAAGAAAGAAAAGAAAGAAAGAAAGAAACCGGGCATGGTGGGCACCTGTAATCCCAGCTACTTGGGAGGCTGAGGCAGGAGAATTGCTTGAACCCAGGAGGTGGAGGTTGCGGTGAGCCGAGATCGCACCATTGCACTCCAGCCTGGGCAACAGGAGCGAAACTCTGTCTATTAAAAAAAAAAAAAAGACTAAAGAGAAATAAGAGGAGCGTTGATTTCTATATCGCAAGCACAGTACAAGATTATCAGTACAAAGCAATAGGCCTTTTCCTGTTTAATGGCATACTCACTTTGTTTACAACCATTTCATTAAAAAACACATTTTCACCATGTTTTCTGCTGTTTTGTTTTTGTTTTTGTTTTTGTTTTTTTCCAACCAAAAAGCATCTGGAGCTTCTTTCATTCTTCTCATGGACTCCTACCATCCCTGTTTAATGACTTGTTCACGAATCTTTCTTCCTAAGGCTAAACCTTTGAAGTTGTAGCTATGCAGTTATTTTTGATCTACAAAAATGGAAACTTCATATGGCTCAAACTCGTATTCTCTACTTGGCCTTTATTTTTTATTTTTTTAAGTAGAGATGGGGTTTCACCACGTTGGCCAGGCTGGTTTTGAACTCCTGACCTCAAGTGATCTGCCTGCCTTGCCCTCCCAAAGTGCTGGGATTACAGGCACAAGCCACCACGCCTGACCTACTTGGGCTTTTTCAATCAAATCCCAGCCCATAGCTCCTTATAACTCCCTCTGGCATCTTTATAGTATACTGAAAAGTATTTTAAAAGGCCTTAGGATACTAATCACACACAGTAAAGTATTTTAAAAAGAATTAAGTCAACATAAGCCATCTTTTCTCCCAGTGTCTATTAGAATGAAATTTCCCCTGTCATTTTTCTGATTGTTTCCCTATCTATTTAATAACTAGGGTACACGTCAGACTTGTCCTGAGAAGTTCCATTCCTGAGGAAAAGCTATGCATGATTGTCTTATTTTGGAAATCTCAAATGTGGGATTCGTGTAATGGGCTTTGATAAAGGATGTTAAGGGGCAAAGTTAAGGCAGCCTTGTAAAGGTCAACTTGGAAACTAAATATCAGTAGGGAGTTATCTCAGTGGCTATAAGTTAAGACAACAGAATAAAAACTGATATTTGAGACATAAAAATGGCCCAAAAGATGGGTGTAATGAGCCCATGAGTCCCCAGTATAACATGAAACTTGCCCATCTGCGTGGTGTACGGCATTTGGTGTTACTCATGTTGGTCTCATCAGTTTGCCCACCTAAATAAATTCATCTTACAACAATAGTTCTATAACATCTAGAAGTAAGTTCCCTCCTGTAGCCCACTTCATCAGAAACTTCTTGGCAACACCTGAACCTAGCTGGAACTGGAAAAATATTTGATGGTAGTGATTTCCTGATAAATAGTCTAGAGCTGTTGCAAACAAAATCCAAGGATTGCTCTTTTTAGACACAGTCTTGCTCTGTCGCACAGGCTAGAGTGCAGTGGCTTGATGTTGGCTCACTGCAACCTCCGCCTCCTGGGTTCAAGCGATTCTCCTGCCTCAGCCTGCCGAGTAGCTGAGATTGCAGGTGCGTGTCACCACACCCCACTAATTTTTTGCATTTTTAATAGAGACGGGGTTTCACCACATTTGTCAGGCTGGTTTTGAACTCCTGACCTCAAGTGATCCACCCACCTTGGCCTCCCAAAGTGCTAGGATTACAGGTGTGAGCCACTGTGCCTGGTTAAAGGGTTGCTGTTTAAATGAACTATTTGCTTATGCTCTAAGTCAGCATGGATGGGATCCATAGATCTTTCCCGAAGTCTTAAAAATTAGTCTCTTGACTTAGTGGCATGGGAATAGATGTGAAAGAACTTTGTTTTTTTAAAAATATTAATTAATTAATTAATTTTTGAGACAAAGTCTTGCTCTTTCACCCAGGCTGGAGTGCAGTGGCGCGATCTCAGCTCACTGCAAACTCTGCCTCCCAGGTTCAAGTGATTTTCGTGCCTAAGCCTCCCGAGTAGCTGGGAATACAGGTGCACACTGCCAAGCCTGGTTAATTTTGTATTTTTAGTAGAGACGGGTTTTGCCATGTTGGCCAGGCTGGTCTCGAACTCCTGACCTCAAATGATCCTCCTGCCTTGGCCTTTCAAAGTGCTGGGATTACAGGTGTGAGCCACTGTGCCAGGCCAAAATGGGAAAAAGCTTTGTAAAATATAAAATATCCTTTAAATTTAAGAGCTTATGAAGGATATACTGCACACATAATCTAGGTCACGAAAGGATATGCAAGATGAGTATAGATTACTAGGTGATAAATTGGGAAATGCCTTAGTTGCAAAGAAGATAATTCAAATTATAAATACAATGAAGAAATGTGCAGGAAAGATATTTTAGAGGTGGCAAAATTAACCAGTTATTAAGACAATCAGCAGAGGTGGTGGACAGGGATGGTGAATCTCATGCATGTCCAATTTCTAGTGATACTCATTAGTTAAATCCAAACCCTCACTAGTGGCCATGAAGTCCAATGTTTCTTTAAAAAGGCAGTAAGGACCAATGAAGATTTTTTTCCTTGTCCATAGTTTAGTCAAGCTTCTGAACCTTCTCATAGGCCCATGGGTGCACTTCCTTGTAAAATCCAGTTTTGTAAAATTTTAGCAAAGAGCCCTGCTAAATAGGTTTAGCAAGAACTCCCCATCCTCGATATCTGATCACCCTTAATAGCGGATCAGATCTCTTATCTGCCACCATTCTCCAAGTGATGTTTGATCACCCTCGCCTGTCTTCAGCAAGAGCACTTTTAGGTCAGTTTAGCCAAAATTTCCCTACTGGTGATGCTTCCTCTTAGTAATTTTCCATCCACTGACCGCCACCCTGCTCCTTGGCTGTAAATTCTCACTTGCCCATGCTATGTTAGGAGATGAGTCCAATCTCTGTCTCCCAATGCAAGACCCTGTTATGGTGGTTCCTTTGTTTACTGCAGTGTTCCTGAATAAAGTCTCCCTTACCAGGCTTTCACAAGTGCCATTGAATAATTTTTTTTTTAACAAGACTATGATGAATTTTTAAAAGCCAAATCCCTATTGTTTCCCTGATAACATATTATTTCACCAGAAAAATAAATATAAGAAATTCATTTTAAATGTATCTCAAACCATCAGAAAAGGGCTTAACCTTATTGAACTGAGCTACTAGGAAAGAGGAGGAAAGAAGAAGAGTGGAAACCATCGGTCATTCAGTGCAAGCATGTCCGGCTGTCACCAATAAGCTAGCTGTACCTGTCTTAGGACAGAGCTGTATGAAGGAAGTTAATATTTACCAGTTAAAAGAAAAACGAAAGAGGAAAACAGTGATTCAGCACTAAACAGAATTGAGTCAGTCATTTGAAATATAGAAAGCCCTAGAAATACCATTACAAACAACAATAATAACAATAAGCCCCCTATTGTATAATAACAAATTGTGCAATAGGTAAAAGATAGATTGTTTAAAGTCTTCTTGGATGTTGTAAGTTATTTTCAGGGCCAAAAAGGAAAAAACTGCTCTTGCAATTCAAGTTCGGGTATATATTTTGCAAATGCTGGCATGCTCAATGCTTCCTGAAGGAGAGGGAGCTATCCTTATTTTGATCAGTTCAGATTGAATGAAAATTTTCTCTGATGCTAATATAGATCCAGTCTCCCAAATTTTAGGTTCCCCACGATTCTTCAAACATCACCAATAAGAGTTCAATGTTCTTGGCTGGGTGTGGTGGCTCACACCTGTAATCCCAGCACTTTGGGAGGCCAGTGTGGGCCTCCCAAAGATCATGAGGTCAAGAGATCGAGACCATCCTGGCCAACATGGTGAAACATGGGCATGGTGGCGGGCACCTGTAATCCCAGCTACTCAGGAGGCTGAAGCAGGAGAATTGCTTGAACCTTGGAGGTGGAGGTTGCAGTGAGCCGAGATCGCACCACTGCACTCCAGCCTGGTGACAGAGCGAGACTTATCTCAAAAAAAAAAAAAAAAAAAAAAAAGAGCTCAGTGTTCAATGTTCTCACTTGGAAGATGTCTCAGTATCTGAGAAGTAGTTTGTCCACGGTCAGGAAACTAGAACTCATTTAAAGAAACTAAATTCTCTCCTATGCTGTTTACATCCATTTGGGGCCACTATTCCCCTTTCCAGCTGTCCTTCTACACAATTCTGTTCAAATATTATTCTTTGAATATATAAGTAATATTAAGAAGTCCTCCTTTCTTATGTCTTAATCATAATTTTACCAGTAGATCTTAAATGAAATCCCTTATATTCTTATCATCACCTATTTGTGTAGGTACAATTCTTTCATAGTGGACTTAATGTTGGTCTTAGTGAGTGGTTTGTTTTATATATTAAGTATACTTATGCTTTGCTATATTTATTACTATTGGGCACTTAAAGGGGAATGCTTGGAAAAAACTGGGTTGATTTTGCTAGGAATCAACCTTAAAGGGCAGAAGATTATTGAAATTTGACCCTTTCCATCTTAATCTTTGTTCCAAGCAGGAATCTGACTGGGGCTGAAGAGCTTGGTTTTTACCTTGTCCTTATCTTGCATAAGGAATGCTTTTGTTTAGAAAGAGGATCTGAAGGTTTTCTGGTCTGGGACAGGCCACAGCCACTGTGGAACGCAGTGATAATAAAGGATGGATAAAGCTTGCATGCTTTCCTTAGCGAGTTTATACAGTCTATCCAATTTAGGCTTTCTTGATTTATATTCTAGAATAATGTCTATATTTGTTTATTTAAGTGGGAATCATTTTAATTTTATTTCTGATTTTTAATCCTATATTTTCTGCATTAGTTACCTCCAAACCTACAATTTAATTAAATTTATCCCAGCGTTTGATCTTAGAATATAACATTCATTCTTGTTTCCTGCATATTCACAAGAAAAATCCCAAGCTGTGTTATCTGAACCATCTGTCAGAAGAGGTTCCAAGGAGAAGGTGTCCAGTGATGAAAGAGCCGAGTTTTCCCTATTTTGAATGTAGGAAACACAGGCTGGTTTTTCTGAAATTAATCCCTGTTCTTTCCATAACAATATTACATTGCACTAGAGGGCCTAACCTAGGGATTGTCTTTTATGTGTAATTCAAATTCTAAGAAGAATAAATTAATTATAGTCCAATCACCACTATAACTCACAGCAGGGAGGAAGGAAGAAGTATGTGGTGTGTCACTCATAACAGGTTGGTGATGTTAGATTATAATTAGATGAACAAAGACACACACAAAATCATAAGAGTCAACCCAACACTCTGATGATAATTCTACATTATCATTATGATGACAACTCTGTATCACACAGTAATCTTTTTTTAAAGACTTAGTGAGATAAGAAAGATAAACAAAGCCCAAGTTATCCTGACATGCAATAGAAATATTACAAATAGTCAACAGATATGATGGTAGACATGAACTAAACCAAATATAAATTTCATCATGGATGCTCACCATGCAATGGTGTGAATGAGAATGCATTGGTACAGTCAGATATCATCCAAGACTTGGAACCTATGTTCAAAACGATCAAAACCAAATTATGTAGCGTCACCTTAAAAAGATGTATGCATTAAAAGTCTGAGGAATTGATTCAAGTCTAATTGAAGATGTAAAAATGTGAAAGTTAAATTAGAGTATTGTTGAACCATGGAAAATCAGGGTTAAGACAAGTGCTGGGGTGAATGTTGGCAGTGTGCCTCCAGGCAACTGCCCACAGGAGAGGGACTATGAATTTTCAATTTCCATTGGTGAGAACTATTGTGAAACGAACATGTCAAATGCCATTCAACATTTAGTTTATATAACTTCCTGTCTGATTCCTTACTCATGTGGTGGTTTAGAAGTTCCTGTTACTTAATTCTCCTGTAATTTAATAAATAGGCATCCTTGCTTTTTGGGCTTGGCTAACAGGTGTCTGCTCTAAGACGTGGCTTAACCCTTAGAATGTAAGCAAAATCAGGTCTCTGAGTCTGCAAGGCTAAAGGCCAGACCCAGGTACATTTATCAAGGGTTGTGAATTCTACCTTGCATGCCATTGGGGAGATAGTCCTTATTTTTTTTTTTTTTTATCTCCAAGGGAATGCCAATTATCATGACAGTGTGTATGCTTTCTTTAAAGCATTATGTATGTGAATGCTTACGGAGTTCAGAGAATAACAACCTGTTAGCAATTAATTAATCAAATAATGATGGGGCAAGACAGAGTGTTTAAGGATCTCAAAGAATCTCAGGCATGGAAGGAATCCTAATAAACTTCCTGCCATGTGTTGCCAGATCCAATGCTTAAGTGTCTAGTAAATGGAAATTCATACACCCGGGGTGGTCTGTTCCATTCCTAGGAAGATCTTTTAAAGAGCTTTTAGAGAATTTCTGTACTCACTCTAGACCCCCTGAACTTTTTCCTCATTAGAAGCATCTGTGACTAAGCAATCAGAATGGCTTTTCTGAGCGCTTCCCTACCCTTAGCTCCATCCTCTATTCCAGTGCCCTTTGCTGGAAAATCACATTCATGTTCCTGTAAATAGCCAATTATCTTCCTGCTCTGTAGAATGCAGTTCCAGCCAAACAAGCATTTCCTTGCCTTGCTATCACAAATTTTTACATGGTCCTTTTGCAGCAAGTTTATCATCACTAACCTTTGCTTACCAAGTCCTTCTCATTGTTAAAATCTAGATCAAGGTGGTTTACCTGGTTGCCTAAGAACCTTCTGCTCAATTTTAGTGATTCTGAGGTCCCCACAAAATAGCTAGATTGTTGGATGTTCCTTCATCCCTTCTCCTCCCATGTGTGCTGGTTTTGTGATCTGCATTTGCAATGTATCATCAATTTCCTGTGTTTGGCCAGGAAGACTGCAGTATGTCCACACAAAGAGAGCTCATGGGTTCATCTTCCCTTCTTTGTTCATGCACAGGTTTTCCACTGTGGAAGAAGGCAGGAAAGTCTGGGCCATGAGGATCGAAATCACATAGATGAGTATTTGCATCATGCCTGTTCTGCTACCTACAAGCTGCAGGCTTTGGGGGAAGTACTTAATATATTCCAACCATGTTTTATTGTTTCTGCATTTACATTTTTGGGGAATTTTTGTACCTGAGTTCTTTCAGTATCACCCCTGTTGTTCTACTTGGTAAATTGATTCATGGGTTCAAAATGGAAGTTTTTTATTTCCTTCCCTCTCTGATTCGTTGCTAAGATACAATTCTGTTAGATACAGTCGTCATGAACCACCCTTCCTATATCATTAATAATATAGGCTCACCTTCCTCACTTCTACTGTATAAATTTTGTCTCTTGTTTGTATTCTTCCCGAAGCACAATAAAGGTGAGGATGTTGAATGTCTCGTTCACTTCTGTAATCACAGCACCTGGCACAGTACTTAACACACAGTAAGTGCTCAATAAATCTTATTTAAATAAAGGATTGTTTTAATATCCAGATGTAAGTCTTTATTCTTATTCACTCTCCCGAAGTCCCAACTATTGGTAGAATAAGGAAATGAGACTGTGTGAGGGTACCAAGTAATTTGCTGTCATATTCAAGACTCCATAGACCCGGTTATGTCTCTAGACTGGTAGGGGCAGGGAGCATAGCACACACAGTGAGTGTAGTGTAGACAGCTTAGTGTTTGAAGCCAGGTCAACTGTTAACTGTACAACTTTGAACAAGTTCCTTCATCTCCCTTAGCCTCTGTTTCTTCATCTGTGAAATGAGGAAAATAAAACATTGGTGGATTATGAATTAGAAAAACCTAGACTAATACCTGTAGTTACTCAGTAAATGGTAGTGCCTCAGCTCATCCTTGAATGCATCAGGAGAGCAAGCACTTAGCAAGTCAGACAACATGGAAGCCTCTTTGGAAAATCCCTCCACCTTCTTAGATTTCCTAAGACCTAACTACTATGCGATAGCTCAGGCCACAGAATATTATTTTTCCCCTGGAGCCAGTATCTGTTCTTTTTTTTCAAGAAATATCTTGGTATCCTCTTTGGTGTTCAGCTCTTCGGAAAGTCTAGCCCACTTTGGGGGACTACAATAACGTCTATTGTCATTATATCCACTATACTTTTTAAGAGTGACCAGTTTCCTTTATTTTCTTTCTCAAATCCTTATGTTTTCTTTTTCTAATACTCTGATGTTGAATCTCCTCTGCTTCAACTTTGCCTCACAACATTGAGGCACTGGTTGGATCAAAGCATTATATACCCATTGCTCAGTTACTTCAATTCTGAGGATTCTGTAAATATGCACTACCCTTATAATCCTCTGATTGAGAAGCTAGGTTGATCCAGCATTTGGAGCACAGAAACTGTGTCTTGTGCGCATTGCAGGGTGTTTCTTAGTCTTTTTTGTTCAAGTATTCTGCATTTTTAGGTAGAAAAGTGACCTACATGTACAAGACATTTCATTTTCATTTGTCAACAAGCAACTCAAATCATACACCTTCCCTAAAACTCAGACACCAGAGTTATTTCTACTTGTATTAAAATCTAAATAATAATGCCCTGGATCAAGATTCAGAACATCTGGGTATTGGACTTAATTCTATCAATTTCTAACTGTATGACCTGAGGCCAGTGATTTTTCCCATTTGTAATGTGCAAATGATAGTCTTTGCTTTGCCCACCTTGTGGGGTTACTATGAGATTAGAAGAGATAATAGGAAATACAATACACATGCAAGGCCTTTTAAAGGAATAGCTGTGCAGAACAAAACCCCAATGTATGGTCCATGACAGGAAAGACTTTAGGAAGATAATTCTTTTTTTTAAAATAATTTTTTTATTATACTGTAAGTTTAGGGTACATGTGCACAACATGCAGGTTTGTTACATAGGTATACATGTGCCATGTTGGTTTGCCGCACCCGTTAACTCGTCATTTACATTAGGTATTTCTCCTAATGCTATCCCTCCCCCTGACCCCCACCCCATGACAGGCCCTGGGGTGTGGTGTTCCCTGCCCTTTGTCCAAGTGTTCTCATTGTTCAATTCCCACCTATGAGGGAGAACATGCGGTATTTGGTTTTCTGTCCTTGTGATAGTTTGCTTAGAATGATGGTTTCCAGCTGCATCCATGTCCCTGCAAAGGACATGAACTCATCCTTTTTTATGGCTGCATAGTATTCCATGGTGTATATGTGCCATATTTCTTAATCCAGTCTATCACTGATGGACATTTGGGTTGGTTCCACGTCTTTGCTATTGTGAATAGTGCCGCAGCAAACATACGTGTGCATGCGTCTTTATAGTAGCATGATTTATAAGCCTTTGGGTATATACCCAGTAATGGGATTGCTGGGTCAAATGGTATTTCTAGTTCTAGATCCTTGAAGATAATTCTAACTGATTATGGAGGTGAGAAGCAGGACACAGGAATAATGAGTACATTGATATAACGTGGTTGATATTGGGCGTTTGCAGCAATATTGATCAGTTGCAGAGACTTAAGAGAACAGTCTTAGGGATTTGATATTTTAAGATTGTTAGAGGGAAAAGGGGATGACAATTTTTCCTTGGCTGAGATCTTGAGTTCATGTCAAGGATCCATGAAGATGACTAGCAGCTGGCACTCTGATATATAGGAAATAAGGAAGAGAAAAATCAAAGTGAAGCCAGCTCCACTTCACTAAGCAGCCTCACAATTTAACAATATAACACATCAAATGTTTGGCAACAGTATGTTGGTTGTCAACAAAGTCAGGGGAGTGGGAGTTAGTTCATTGGTAAGGCTGGTAGCAGCTGGACTCACAGTAGGTGGGCTGGCAGCAGGGTGGGCTGCAGCAGGTGGTCACACAGACGGTCCTGTAGCAGGTGATTGCACAGCAAATTGGGCCACAGCAAGGCGGGCGGGAGCTGGACCCACAGCAGATGCTCCTGTAACAGGTGGTTGCAGCACATAGGCTGGCAGCAAGGGGAGCAACACTGGGTCATGATGTCAGGGGTGGAGGGTGGGCTCCTGTTTAGAGGTAAATTTCCCGGAATCTGATGACTCCTTCCAATCTGGACCTTCTATACACTAAGCCTCCAAAGTTTCCACCAATCAGCAGGACTTTTCCTTGTTGTTGTTTACATTGTTTTCCGTAGTCAGTTTGGGATTATTGAAGAGGATGTTGTTTCCTAAATATTATAGATCTTCTGAGAGTAAGGGTTTAATCTGTTTCTTAATTGAGAATAACTGTTAGAAACTTTGTTTCAGATAAAAGGAAGGTGGTCACATCATTGACATCCTTCCTGCTCTGGTCATCATGTGGTCATGTGATAGTTCCTACTGGCCTTGGAAGGTCAGGGCAGGTGTCTCTCCCCAGCTTGTTCTTTGGGGAGTGTCTGTGGGGAGGAGCATGATGCTGATAGGTTCACAGTGATGAACTGAATCCATGCCTGCGTCAAGGCTATTCACCTACAAGGCCTGATTCAAGAATAACAGGCACCTACCTGTCTTTGTGCAACCTACTCCGGATGTGTATGTGGTGTTTGTCTTTCTGTGCCTGGCTTATTTTACTTAACATAATGATCTTCAACTCCATCCATGTTGTTGCAAATGACTTGATCTCATTCTTTTTTATGGCTGAATAATACTTCATTTGGTGTATGTACCACATTTTCTTTATCCACTCATCTGTTGGTGGACACTTACATTGCTGCTAAATCTTAGCTATTGTAAACAGTGTTGCAACAAATATAGGAGTGCAGATGTCTCTTTGATATACCAATTTCTCTTCTTCTGGGTATATACCGAGGAGTGTGATTGCTGGATAATATGGTAGCTCAGTTTTTAGTTTTTTGAGGAACCTCCAAAGTGTCTTCCATAGCGCTTGTACTAATTTACATTCCCACCAAGAATGCACGAGCGTTCTCTTTTCTCCACATCTGCATCAGCATTTGTCATTGCCTGCCTTTTGGATATAAGCCATTTTAACTGGGGTGAGATGATCTCTCATTGTAGTTTTGATTTGCATTTCTCTGATGATCAATGATGGTGAACACCTTTTCATATGCTTATTTATATGTCTTCTTTTGAGAAATGTCAATTCAAATCTTTTGCCCATTTTGTGATCAGATTATTAGATTTTTTTTCCTATAGAATTATTTGACCTCCTTATATTCTGGTTGTTAATTCATTAACAATGCATAGGTATTTTGCAAATATTTTCTCCCATTCTGTGGGTTGTCTCTTTGTTATTGTTTCCTTTGCTGTGCAGAAGCTTTTTAATTTGATGTGATCCCATTTGTTTATTTTTGCTTTGGTTGCCTGTGCTTGCGGGGTATTGCTCAAGAAATTTTTGCCCAGACCAATGTCCTGGAGATTTTCCCCAATATTTTCTTGTAGTAGTTTCATAGTTCGAGGTCTTAGATTCAAGTCTTCGATCTAATTTGATTTGATTTTTGTATGTGGTGAGAAAGAGGGATCTAGTTTCATTCCTCTGCATAGAGATATCTAGTTTTCCCAGCATGGTTTATTGAAGAGAATGCCTTTTTCCCAGTGTATGCTCTTGGCACCTTTGTTGAAAATGAGGTGACTGTAGGTGTGTGGCGAACTTTACTTGTCATGCAGACACCAGTTATATTGAATCAGAGGCCCATTTTATTCCAATGTGACCTTACCTTAACTAGTTACATTCTCAATGACCCTATTTGGTGATGAATTTCTGGGGAAACAAGTCAATCCAAATATTGAAGTATCTCAGAGTGTGTCCATGGCTGATGATAACTGCAAATGAGTAACAGGAATCACAGTGGACAATAACACAGTAACTAGAGGGTCAGACCCTTCAGGCAGGAGGTTCTGGCTTACATCATCAGGCAATTATCTAGACAACAGAAGTGCTGGCCAGTGGTGAAGGGAGTATAGAACTTGTGGTAACTAATGGAGATGATGAATCTCAGGTGAACCCTATTACAGTAGTAACTGTATCTTGTTCCATTTGGCCTTTATTTTATATCTCTCCTTCCCTTCTTCCTTCCTGCCTTCCTTTCCTCTTACCTTCCCTTCCTTCTATTCTACCATCCTTTTCATACAGACACCAGTCATATTGAATAAGAAGACCAGTTTATTCCAATGTGACCTTACTTAACTAGTTACATTCTCAATGACCTTATTTGTCTATGAATTTCTGGGGAAAAAAATCAATCCAAATATGGAAGTATCTCAGAGCGTGTCCATGCCTAGTGATAACCACAAATGAGTAACAGCAATCACAGTGGACAACGGTATAGTAACTAGCAGCTCAGAACCTTCTGTCCCTCTTCTTTCTCTCCTCCTCTACCTCCTTCTCCTAGAATTTCTGGCTGTCCATCACAGTTAAGAAGCAAAGATTGGATCTGAGTGGAGCGAATGACAGACCATAGATGACATTTTCATTATCCTGTCCATATTTCTCAGATCTTAGTGTGCTTGGGCCAGTTTCTATTTGCCAGAATCTGCATCTCTGTGCCTAAGGGCTCTTGTATTGCAACTGCAGAAAGTCATGTCACCTGTGCATTCCACACAGAGGACTATCACTCAACTCAACCAATGATCTTGGAGAGCTGATTTACAAAGACTCTAGCTCCCTTATTCCTGAAGATAGAGATTGCTAATTTATGTGTTTTTCATCATTTCTGATAGTTTTCCCTTTGGTTTAAATTTTAGTTGGTCACTGTGATACTTACTGGCTCAATAGTATACCCTTTTCTGTATCTCTTCTCTGATCCCTAATGGTGTGATCTGCACTTCCCAATAAACTACTTTCACTGGAATATTTTTCTAAGTATCTGTTCTGGGAGAAACCACACTATGACATTACATTAACTCTCTCAGCCTCAATTTCCTCATCTCTACAATGGTAACATTAATACCTACTTTGAACATTTCCTCAAGAATAAATATTAATGAACATAAAGCATGTAGTCACTATCTATCAAATAGTAGGCAACCTAGAACATATTAGTTCTTTTTTGTCCAGAAAACTTAAAAAATAATTTTAATATTGAATATAAGAATATATTTAAAATAACTAACTAGATCAACTAAATTCTTTCTTTACTAGTTTTATTGAGGTATAATTAACAAATAAAAATTGTGTATATGTAAGGTATAAAAGGTTATGTTTTGAGATATATATATATATATACAGTGTGAAATAATAATATATTTATTAGCTCACATAGTCACCATTTCCTTTTTATTGTTGTGGTGTGAACATTTAAGATCCACTTTCTCAGCAAATTTCAGGTATACAATAAAGTATTTTAAACTATGTCCACATTAGAGTGCACCAGATCTGCAGAACATATTCATCTTATATAACTGATGTTGGTCATGAGAATGTGCTAGTACTCCTTTACCCCACCACCCAACGACTATCCCAGTCAGCGGCTTTTCTCTCTTTCTGGAATCTTCAGAGCATTCCAGATATACAGTCTCAAAAGATGGCATCTGTATTTTTTAAGGAATAACTTAAGTTCATTTTGCCTTGCCAATATGTATTCAGGAGAAGAAGAAGGAAGCCATATAAGAATGGAAATGTTATCTGCAAATGTTACCTGCAAATACAGGAGATTACTCCTCCATTGTTGAGTCAACTTAAGTGCATGTCTTGCTAATGTAGAGTCCCAATGTAATTTTTACTTTAATGAGAGTTAAATATAAGTGCTCTTGGACAGAAAGAGAAGACCCAACCTTAAATCTGAGTCTGCATTTTTAGCTAAATAACATCACACATTAAAATTTTCCTCAGCTGGAAAGTAGAGGTAATAAAACATGACCATCTGTTTTTATAATCAAATTAGGTAACATGTATGGTATGGAATATGTGTGTAAATCCCATATCAGGAATGCTGTAAAATAAAAAAAAACACCATGTGAGATGAAGGACAGCTTTGAGTTTATTAAGAAACATATAGGTAAGAGTCCCTGTTTCTAGGGAGATAACCCAAAATGATCATGAAAGGAATAAGGATAAAAGAACCACGAGGAGGACACTGAAAATGAAAACATGATTGTGAAGATTATTGATCAGTTGCAAAACCTAAGTTTCTTAGAGAAAGGGAATGAAGCTCTTGACTTTAGAGTCAAGCTGAGACCATGACTCCAAATTGAAAATACATGAAGGTGGCACATGATCCACAAGGTGTAAGGAAAAAAGAATCAGGATGAAGTACTCTACCCTCACTCAAGCTGATTCACAAAATGTTAAACATGCAGAGAAGTCATAAAAATTAGGGTGAGCAAAGTTCACCCTAAGTTCACATTGTTGGTTTTCATCACAGTTTGAAAGTAAATTTGTCCCCCAGAAGGTAAATCTTTTGCCAGAGGGTTACTGTATGGGGATGATGGTCCTCTGCGGAACTGATCAGCAGCAAGCAGGCTGACAGCAGCTGGTCACACAGGTGGGCTGGAAGCAAGTGGTCCTGCAGCAGGTAGTCTCACAGCAGGCTGGGCGGCAGCACGGCTGGCAGCAGCTGGAGCCACAGCTCTGGTTTAGGCAACCAGGCAGGTAGACACTCGTGGGGTGGTAGCAGGTTCTCCTGCAGTAGATGGGTGCACAGGAGCTGGGCTGGCAGCAGCTGGACCCACAGCTGGTTTGGCCACAGCAGCTGGACCCACAGCAGATGGGCTGGCAGCAGGGTGTGCTGCAGCAGGAAGGCTGGCAGCAGCTGGTCACACAGGTGGGCTGGCAGCAGGTGGTCCTGCAGCAGGTGTTTTGACAGCAAGTTGGGTGGCAGCAAGGCTGGCAGCAGCTGGACACACAGCAGGAGGGCTGGCAGCAGGGTGTGCTGCTGCAGGTGGTCACAATGGTGGGCTGCCAGCAGGTAGTCCTGCAGCAAGTGGTCCTGCAGCAGGTAGGCTGACAGCCAGGGGAGCAACAGTGGGTCATGTTGTCAGGGGTGGAGGGTGGGCTTCTGTTCAGAGGTGAGTTTCCCAGGATTTGATGACCCCTTGCAATCTGGACCTTTTATACATGTGGCCTCCAAAGTTTCCACCAATCAGCAGGATTTTTCTTTCTTGCTGTTTACAGTTGTTTTCCATAGTCAGTTTGGCATTGTCAAAGAGGAAGTCATTTCCTAAATGTTATGAATCTTTGGAAAGTAAGGGTTTAATCTGTTTCTTAATTGTAAATTACTCGTAGAAACTTTGTTTCAGATAAAAGGAAGGCAGTCTCATCATCAGCTTCGTTCCTGCTCTGACCAGCATCTCGTCATGTGATAGTTCCTGGTGACTGGGGAGGCTCAGGAAGTTCTCTCTGCCCAGTCTCATCCTTTGGCTGTATGTAGACTGGGAAGTGTCTGTGGGGAGAAGCATGATGTTGATATATTCACAGTGGTGAATTGAATCCATGCTTGGGACCAAGACTGTTCACCCACCAAAGTCTGATTCAAGACTGATAGGCATCTCTCTATGTACAACCTACTTTACCTGTCTCTTCCAGTTCTATAAAAGCCTCTTGGGAAGAGGGTGTTCAGCACAATGTGTGCTATGTGGCAGAGCAGAGCCAAAGCAAACACGTAGAAAGAGGAGGGGTTCACTGGAATTCACAAAGCATCAAGCAATCTACGTGCTGCGGTGACCATTCATCCTGATTTGTCTGGGACTGAGGGGCTTACCAGCATGAGAATGTGGGACTGGGAATTACTGTGACATTACTGCTTGAGGTCCAGGCAAAGCAATATGAGCTGTGGCTCTAGCCCTAATCCAGGTTACTGGCACAATCATTGCCATTTCTCTGTCTCTGTCTCTGTCTCTGTCTCTGTCTCTGTCTCTGTCTCTCTCTCTCTCTCTCTCTGTCTCTCTGTTTTCAGTGAGGGAATTAGGTGAGTTGAGATGATATCTGATTCCTCTTTGAGGTTTACCATTGTTTAAAACTTTTTAAATTATACCATTCATTTCAGAAGAGTGCAAATTATGAATTCCAACTTGATATAATATTACATTATAAATACATCTAAGTCCCCATTACCAGTTTACAAAATAGAAATTAATTCCATTCCCTCCAAATTATATCTTTTTACTTATCTCCAAAGGTAGCTAGTCACTCTATCAAGTTTTAATCCTGTAGGTCAGTTTTGTTTTTTTCTTTGACTTTTATGTAAATAAAAATTATAGAATTTGCTTCACTGTGTTTTTGGCATAATCAAAAGCAGCAATTATAACCTGGTCATTTCATTTTGGATCCTTCATGTTAGCAGACCAGCAGGTAGATAAAGGAGTTAATATTCCATGAGGGATAATTTTCGTGAAGCCATAGAGCGTAGGGAGAATATATCTGAAACTCAAGAAATTTACTATATATATTAAAGCATTACACTGCCATTAAAAACTATGGCAAATCAAGTGGCTGAAGTTTATTTTCTCACAGTTCTGAAGGCTAAAATAAAGGTGTTGGCAATGTTGTTTTCATCTGAGGGCTGTGAGGGAAATATCTGTTTCAGGTCTCTCTCCTTGACCTGTAGATGTCTATCTTCTCCATGTGTCTCTTACATCATCTTCCCTCTATATGCATCCTGTTTGAATTTCCCCTGTTTATACAGACACCAGTCACATTGAATCAGAAGCACAATTTATTCCAATATGACCTTATCTTACCATCTTGCATTTAAGTGACCCTATTTGAATATGAGTTCTTGGGGACACAATTCGACCCATAACCTTGGAATATCTCGTAGTGTATCCATGCCCATTGATAAACACAAATGAGTAACAAAAGCAACCACAGTTGGAGAATGGTGTAGTAAGTAACTAGAGGGTAAGACCCATCAGGCAGGAAGTTCTGAGCTACTTCATCAGGCAATTATCTAAACTAACAGGAGTGCTGGCCAGTGATGAAGGGAGTATAGAACTGGCGGAAACTGATGGAGATTATGAATCTCAGAAGCACCCTATTACAGCAGTAGTTTCTTTTCCCTTCCCTCCCTTCCCTTCCCTTCCTTCCCTTCCCTTCCCTTCCTTTCCCCTCCCCTCCCCACCCCTCCCCTCCCCTTTCTTTCTCTTCTTTCTTTCTTTCCTTTTCCTTCCTTCCTTCCCCTTCCTTCCTTCCTTCCTTCCTTCCTTCCTTCCTTCCTTCCTTCCTTCCTTCATTCCTTCCTTCCTTTTCACTCTCTTTCCTTCTGTCTCTTGCTCTCTTTCTTCCTCCGTTCCTTTCTTCCTGTCTGTGTATATTGTCTTCTTCCCATATCTTTCCTAGTTTTTTCCTCCTCTCTCACCTTCTGTTCCTCCTCTTCCTCCTCCTCCTTTTTCTCCTAGAGTTCATGGCTGTCCATTACATTTAAGAAGGAAAGATTGGACTTGAATGGAGCAAATGTTACTGTAGACAGGTCTTCATTACCATACCTGTATATCATGGAACTTAGGGTGCTCATACCAATTTCCATCTGCCTGAATCTGCATCTCTGTGCCTTAGGGCTCTTGTATTGCAACTACAGAAAGTCATGTCACCTGTGCACACTACAGGGAGAAAAATATTCAACTGAAAATTCTAAAGAGTGGATTTATACAGACTCTAGCTTCTTCACTGCTGAAGTTTGAGAATTCAAAGTTGTGTGTTTTTCATCATTTCTGAAAAATTTCCCTTTAGCTTAAGCTTCAGTTGATCTCTGTGATACTGGCTTAATAGTATACCCTTTTCTGTATCACTGCCACAATCCCTTCTGGCCTGTTCTGCCCTTCCTAATACACTGTATTCATTGGAATCTTTTTCTCAGAGTATCTTCTGGGAAAAACCAAACTATGACATTACATCTCTCAGCCTCAATTTCCTCATCTCTACAATTAGAACACTAATGCCTACTTTGAAAGTTTTTTCAATAATTAATGATAATGTACATAAAAGATTTACACAATATCCATCAAATGATAGGCAACTGAAAACATATTATTTCTTTTCTCTCCAGAAATTCCTAAACTAATTTTAATGTTGATGATAAGAATATATTTATAATAATTAACTAGATCAACTTTTTTTCTTTTACTTTAAGTTCCAGGACACATGTGCAGAATGTCCAGGTTTGTTGAGTAGGTATACATGTGCCATGATTGTTTGCTGCACCTATCAACCTGTCCTCTAGGTCTTAAGCCCTGCATGCATTAGGTATTTGTCCTAATGCTCTCCCTCCCCTTGCCCCCGACCCCCCCAACAGGCCCTGGTGTGTGATGTTCCCCTCCCTGTGTCTGTGTGTTCTGGTTGATCAACTCCCACTTATGAGTGAGATCATGTGGTGTTTGGTTTTCTGCTCCTGTGTTACTTTGCTGAGAATGATGGCTTCCAGCTTCTTCCATGTCCCTGCAAAGGATATGAACTCATTGTTTTTTATGGCTGCATAGGATTCCATGGTTTATATGTGCCACATTTTCTTTATCCAGTCTATCACTGATGGGCATTTGGGTTGGTTCCAAGTCTTTGCTATTGTAAATACTGCTGCAATAAACATATATGTGCATGTGTTTTTATAGTAGAATCATTTATATTCCTTTGAGTATATACCCGGTAATAGGATTGCTGAGTCAAATGGTTTTTCTGGTTCTAGATCCTTGAGGAATTGCCACACTGTCTTACACAGTGGTTGAACTAATTCACTATCCCACCAACAGTGTAAAAGCATTCCTATTTCTCCACAGCCTCTCCAGCATCTATTGTTTCCTGACTTTTTAATAATCACCATTATGACTGGCATGAGATGGTATCTCAATGTGGTTTTGATTTGCATTTCTCTAATGATCAATGATGATGAGCTTTTTTTCATATGTTTGTTGGCCACATAAAAGTCTTCTTTTGAGAAGTGTCTGTTCATATCCTTTGCCCACTTTTTGATGAGGTTGTTTGTTTTTCTTGTAAACTTGTTTAAGTTCCTTGTAGATTCTGGATTTTAGACCTTTGTCAGATGGGTAGATTGCAAAAATTCTCACCCATTCTGTAGGTTGTGTGTTCTCTCTGATGATAGTTTATTTTGCTGTGCAGGAGCTATTTAGTTTAATTAGATCCCATTTGTCAATTTTGGCTTTTGTTGTGATAGTTTTTGGCATTTTTGTCATGAAGTCTTTGCCCATGTCTATGTCCTGAAAGTTATTGCCTAGGTTTTCTTCTAGGGTTTTTATGATTTTGGGTTTCACATTTAAGTCTTTAATCCATCTTGAGTTAACTTTTGTATAAGGTGTAATGAAGGGGTCCACTTTCAGTTTTCTGCATGTGGCTAGCCAGTTTTCCCAGCCCCATTTATTAAATAGGGAATCTTTTCCCCATTGCTTGTTTTTGTCAGGTTTGTCAAAGATCAGATGGTTGTAGATGTGTGGTGTTATTTCTGAGGTCTCAGTTCTGTTCCATTGGTCTATATATCTGTTTTGATATCAGTACCATGCTGTTGTGGTTACAGTTGCCTTGTAGTATAGTTTGAAGTCAGGTAGCGTGATGCCTCCAGCTTTGTTCTTTTGTTTGGGATTGTTTTGGTGATACGGGCTCTTTTTTGGTTCCATATGAAATTTAAAGTAGTTTTTTTTTTTAAATTTTGTGAAGAAAGTCAAGGGTAGCTTGATGGGAATAGCATTTAATCTATAAATTACTTCGGGCAGCATGGCCGTTTTCATGATATTGATTCTTTCTATCCATGATCATGTAATGATTTTCAATTTGTTTGTGTCCCCTCTTATTTCCTTGAGCAGTGGTTTGTAGTTTCCCTTGAAGAGGTCCTTCACATCCCTTGTAAGTTGTATTCCTAGGTATTTTATTCTCTTTGTTGCAATTGTGAATGGGAGTTCACTCATGATTTGGCTCTCTGCTTGTCTATTATCGGTGTATAAGAATGCTTGTGATTTTTGTCATTGATTTTGTATCTTGAGACTTTGTTAAAGTTGCTTATCAGCTTAAGGAGTTTTTAGGATGAGACACTGAGGTTTTCTAAATATAGAATCACGTCATCTGCAAACAAAGACAATTTGACTTCCTCTCTTCCTATCTGAATGCCTTTATTTCTTTCTTTTGCCTGATTGTCCTGGCCAGAACTTCCAATACTATGTTGAATAGGAGTGGTGAGAGAGGGCGTTCTTGTCTTGTGCCATTTTCAAAGGGAATGCTTCCAGCTTTTGCCCATTCAGTATAATATTGGCTATGGGTTTGTCAAAAATAGCTCTTATTATTTTGAGATATGTTCCATCAATACCTAGTTTATTGAGAGTTTTTAACATGAAGGATGTTGAATTTTATCGAAGGCCTTTTCTGCATCTATTGAGATAATCATGTGGTTTTTATCATTGGTTCTGTTTATGTGATGGATTATGTTTATTGATTTGCATATGTTGAACCAGCCTTGCATCCCAGGGATGAAGCAATTTGATCATGGTGGATAAGCTTTTTGATGTGCTGCTAGATTTGGTTTTTACTAACTTTACTGAGGTATAATTGAATAAAAATTGTATATATTTAAGGTATAAAAAGTGATGTTTTGATATATATATTTATAGTGAGATATTCATCACAGTGAAGCTAATTCACATATTCATTAGCTCACATACTTGCCATTTCAGGTATAAAATAAAATATTTTTACCTACAGCCACACTACTGTACACTAGGTCTGCAGAGCTTATTTACCTTGCATACCTGATCTTGGCCAAAGTGAATGTTTTAGGTCTTCATCTCCTTTACCCTGTCACCCCAGAAGAATCACAGTCAATGGATTTTGTCTCTTAGCCAAGTCTCCAAAGCACTCTAGGTACACAGTCTCAGAAGTTGGGATCCGTCCTGGAAGTCTACATCGTTAGCTCATCAGAGGTATTTCTAGCACTCCCATGCTGGTAGGAGGTCCCACAAAGGTAATCCAGGTCCCAGACTTTTCTATTTCTCTCAGAGCCAGTATAAATCAGTCCTTCCATTAGTGAATGCTTGGGTTGCATCATCAGTTCAGGGCCAAAAGCACCAGCCATCTGCCTATCATGACTTCTATGAATGTACACATTTTTCTACTTTCAGTCCGTCTTACATTCTTCTGATTTCCCTGAAAACACAAATGTTTATTTCCTTTAGATGCTTAATTTTGGCCTCATAAAGCATAGAAGATTGTTTTAACCCATTAGATAACTCAGAGATTATGGATTATGCAAAGTCATATGTGCCTGTTGCATAGTGTCTCAATCCTAAACTTTGTCCTTACTTAATTTTCCTGATAACATTTTTATCAGGAAGTCAAATTGTCTAAATGTTGCATAAGGTATGGTCTGTATTTTACATGGAATTACTTAATTCCATTTTGCTCTTTCAATGAAATTTCAGCAGGAGGCCAGATATGAATTTGATTTATTTGATACGAAGGAATTAGTCTCTTCAAATGAGGATATGATGCATTCTGAAAAGTTTTTGATGTGTCCTCTTGAAAACCAGAACAAGGCAAACATGCCATATCTCACCACTCCTATTCAAAATAGTAATGAAAGTCCTAGCCAGAGAAATATGGCAAGAGAAATAAAGTAAAGGTATCTAGATAGGAAAAGTGGAAGTTAAACTATCTCTGTGTGTGAAGAAGATTTTACACCCAGAAAACCTCATTGTCTCTACCCAAAAACTCCTTGATCTGATTAGCAACTTCAGCAAAGTTTCAGGATACAAAATTATTGTACAAAAATCAGTAGCATTCCTATACACCAACAACATCCAAGTTGAGAGCCAAATCAATAATGTAATCCTTTTCACAATAGCCACAAAAAACAACAAAATACCTAGGAATACAGCCAACCAGGGAGGTGAAAGATCTCTGCAACAAGAATTGCAAAACACTGCTCAAAGAAATTAAAGATGACACAAACAAATTGAAACATATTTTATGCTCATGGGTAGAAAGAATCAATATTGTTAAAATGGCCATACTCCCTAAAGCAATTTACAGATTCAGTATCACTCCTATCAAACTACCAATGACAGCCTTCACAGAATGAGAAAAAAAATGTTTTACAATTCATATGGAACCAAAAAAGAGCCTGAATGGCCAAGGCAATCCTAAGCAAAAATAACAAAGCTGAAGACATCGCATTATCTGACTTCAAACTACATTACAGGCTGCAATAACCAAAACCGCATGGTACTGGTACAAAAACAGACACACAGACCAATGGAACAGAATACAGAGCCCAGAAATAATGTTGCACACCTACAACATGTGATCTTCAGCAAAGTTGATGAAAATAGGCAGTGGGGAAAAGACTCCTGATTTAATAAATGGTGCTGAGATAACTGGCTAGTCATTTGCAGAAGATTGAAACTGGACCCCTTCCTTACATGGTATACAAAAATCAACTCAAGATGGATCAAAGACTTACATGTAAAACCTAAGGCTATAAAAACGCTGGCAGACAACCTAGGCAATACCATTCTAAACATAGGACCAGGCAAGGATTTTATGATGAAGTCACCAAAAGTAATTGTAAAAAGAGAAAAAATTGACAAATGGGACCTAATTAAACTTAAGAGCTTCTGCACAGCAAAAGAAACTATCAACAGAGTAAACAGACAACCTACAGAATGGGAGAGAATATTTGCAAGCTATCTATCCAACAAAGGTCTAATATCCAGAATCTGTAAGGAAGTTAAACAAATTTACAAGCAAAAACCAAACAATCTCATTAGAAAGTGGTCAAAGGACACGAACAGACACTTTTCAAAAGAAGACATTCAAGCGGCCAAAAAGGATATGAACAAATGATCAACATCACTGATGATTAGAGAAATGCAAGTTAAAACCACAATGAGATGCCCTCTGACACAAGTCAGAATAGCTCTTATTAAAGTCAAAAAATAAAAGATGCTGGCAAGTTTTTGTAGAAAAAGAAACACTTATACACTGTTGGTGGAATTGCACATTAGTTTAACCATTATGGAAAGCAGTTTTGGGATCTCTCAAAGAACTTAGAATTAATATTTGACCCAGCAATTCAATTATTGGGTATATACCCAAATGCATATAAATTGTTCTACCATAAAGACACATGCATGCGTATGTTCATTGCAACACTACTCACAATAGCAAAGACATAGAGTCAACTTAAAATGTACATCAAAAGTAGACTGGATAAAGAAAATGTGTTTCATATACACCATGGAATACTATACAGAAAAAAAAGGAAAAAAAGAACAAGATGATGTCCTTTGCAGCAACACAGATGGAGCCGGAGGCCATTATCCCAAGGGAACTAACACAGGAACAGAAAACCAAATAACACATGTTCTCACATAAGAGTGGGGGCCAAACATTGAATACATATGAACACAAAGAAGGGAACAACAGACACTGGAACTTACCTGTGGGTGGACTGTGGGAGGAGAATGAGAATCAAAAAACTGCCTATCAGGTATTATGCTTATTACCTGGGTGAAGAACTAATCTGTACACCAAACCCTGCAACACACAATTTAACTATAAAATAACCCGGCACACGTACCCCTGAACCTTAAAAAAAGGTTAAAAAATTTCTTTGATGCACGTGAATTGAATGATTGGCTGGTATAGGCCAATAGGATCCCTGCATTCATGACAGCTGCTAAATGCAGACCCTGCTGCTGTATCATGTAGCTGTTGCTCACTGACGGGTGGGCAATTAATTTGGGAAGACTTTTGTGAACTGAAATGTTATCTCTTGCCAAATACTAGAGATTATTATTTCCATTGTTAAATAAACTCAAGTGCATAACTTGCTAGTGCTGAATCCCAATGTCATTACTACTTTATTGAGAGTTAAATGTAAGTGTCTTTGGACAGAAAGAGAAGACGCAACCTTGCATCAGAGTCTGTCCACTATTAGCTACATAACATCACACATTAAAACTTTCCCAGTTGGAAAATGGAGGCAATAATACATGACTGTCTGTTTTGAGAATCAAATTGGGTAATACATATGGTATGTGATATATGTGTAAATCCCATATCAGGAATGTTTTCAAATAAAACAAATCACCATATGGTATGAATAATAGTTCCAAATTTATTTATTAAGAAATATATAGGTAAGATCCCTGGTTATAGGGAGATAACCCAAAGTGATCATTAAAAGAAGGAAGCAGGATACAAGAATCATGAGTATATTGAAAAGAAAACATAGTTGTGAAGATTCTTAATCATTTGCAGCAACTTAAGTTTCTTAAGTGAAGAGAATGAAGCTCTTGACTTTTGAGTCAAAGCTGAGACCATGACTCAAAATTGAGAACAGATGAAGCTGGCACATGATTCACAAGGTATAAGAAAAAGAGAATCAGGATGAAGTATTCTGCCCTCCCTCAAGCTGATTCACAAGATTTTAAATATGCAGAGAATTCATAAAAATTTGGGTGAGAACATGGTTGCTGTCAGCAGTAAGGTAAATTAGTCCTCCAAAAGATAAGTCAGTTGAGCAGAAGGTTGTTGTGTGAAGATGGTTGTTCTCTTGGGACTTGATCAGCAGCAAGAAGGCTGGCAGCAGCTGGACACACAGGTGGGCTGGAAGCAAGTGGTCCTGCAGCAGGTGGTCTCACAGCAGGCGGGGCGGCAGCAGGGCTGGCAGCAGCTGGATCCACAGCTCTGGTTGAGGCAACCAGGCAGGCAGACAGTCGTCGGGTAGTAGCAGGTTCTTCTGCAGTACACAGGTGCACAGGAGCTGCTCTGGCCACAGCTGGACCCACAGCTGGTTTGGCCACAGCAGCTGGACCCACAGCAGATGGGCTGGCAGCAGGTTGTGCTGCAGCAGGAAGGCTGGCAGCAGCTGGTCAGACAGGTGGGCTGGCAGCAGGTGGTCCTGCAGCAGGTGTTTTGACAGCAAGCTGGGCGGCAGCAAGGCTGGCAGCAGCTAGACACACAGCAGGAGGGCTGGCAGCAGGGTGTGCTGCTGCAGGTGGTCACAGTGGTGGGCTTCCAGCAGGTGGTCCTGCAGCAGGTGGTCCTGCAGCAGGTAGGCTGACAGCAAGGGGAGCAACAGTGGGTCATGGTGTCAGGGGTGGAGGGTGGGTTTCTGTTCAGAGGTGAGTTTCCCAGAATCTGATGACCCCTTGCAATCTGGACCTTTTATACACCTGGCTTCCAAAGTTTCCACCAATCAGCAGGACTTTTCCTTGTTGCTGTTTACACTGTTTTCCACAGTACCTTTGGGATTGTCAAAGGGGAAATTGTTTCTGAAAACTTATGAATCTTTTGAAAGTAAGGGTTTAATCTGTTTCTTAATTGTGAATTACTCATAGAAACTTCCTTTCAGATAAAAGGAAGCCCATCTCATCATCAGCATCATTCCTGCTCTGACCATCATCTAGTCATGTGATAGTTCTTGGTGATCTGGGAAGCTCAGGAAATTCTCTCTGCCCAGCCTCACAGTTGGCTGTATGTAGACTGGGAAGTGTCTGTGGGGAGAAGCATGATGCTGATATATTTACAGTGACAAAATGAATCCATGCCTGGGCCCAAGACAATTCACCCACCAAATTCTGACTCAAGACTAACAGGCATCTCTGTGCAATCCTCACCACCTGTGTCTTTCAGTTATTTGAACGTCACTTGGGAAGAGGGTGTCTGTCACAGTGTGTTCCATGTGGCAGAGCCGATCGAGAGCAGGTGGATGCAGAGAAATCCACTGGGATTTAGACAGCATCAAGCAATCTACGCCCAGGGGTGAGCATTCATTCTCACTTGTCTGCGAGTGTGGGGATTACCGGGATGAGAATGTAGAACTTTCTATGACATAACTGCTTGAGATTCAGGCCAACGTGCATAAGCTGTGGCTCTAGCCATAACCCTGGTTACTAGCACAGTCAGTATCATTTCTTCTCTTTCTTTCTTAGACGGAGTCTTTCTCTGTCGCCTAGACGGGAGTGCAGTGGCGTGATCTCGGCTCACTGCAACGTCTGATTCCTCGATTCAGGGGATTCACCTGCCTCAGCCTCCTGAGTAGCTGCCACTACAGATGCCGGCCACCATGCCCGGCTAATTTTTGTATTTTTAGTAGAGAGAGGGTTTCACCATATTTGTCAGGCTGGTCTCGAACTCCTGACCTTGTGAGCTGCCTGCCTCGGCCTCCCAAAGTGCTGATATTACAGGCATGAGCCACCATCCACAGCCTCTCCTTCTATTTAATGAATTAATTAGATGAGTTGAGATGACACCTGATTCATCGTGGAGTTCTAACATGTTTAAAACATTTTCTAGGAATTACCATTCATTTCAGAGGAATGCAAATTATTAATTTCCAACTTGATACATTATTATATTGTAAATACATCTATGTCCCCATTACATCTATGTTAGAAAATAGAAATTAATCCCATTCTCTCCCAATTATATCCTCTTACTCATTCCCAAAGACAGCTAATCACTCTGTCAAGTTGTAATCCTATAGCTAACTTTTGGCTTTAAAAAATATTCATGTAAATAAAAATTACAGTATTTGCTTCTCTATTTCTTTAGCATAATCAAAAGTAATCGTTATTGCATAGTCACTTTGGACTCTTCATGTCAGGAGAGCAGCAGACAGAGAAAGGAGTTACTATTTGGTGAGGGGTAATTATCCTCAAGCCACATAGTGTAGGAGAATGTATCTATAGCTCAGGTGATTTACTGAGTATATTAACTTACTAGCAGTGCCATGGTAAATTACTGCAAACCAAGTGGCTTAAATTTATTTTTTCACAGTTCCAAAGGCCTCTAGTCTGGAATTAAGCTGTTGGCAATGTTGTTTTCATCTGAAGCCTGCGAGGGAAGTATCTGTTCCAGGTCTCTCTCCTTGACTTGTAGATGTCTATCATTTCCATGTGTGTTTGACATAAGTTTTCTACTATATGCATACTGTCTCTGAATTTCCCCCTTGTGTATAGATATCAGTCATATTTAATCAGAAGCCTAATTGTTTCCAATATGACCTTTTCTTATCACATAACATTTTAAATGATTCTATTTGAACATGAATTTTGGAGGACACAAATTAACCCATAACACTGCAGAATCTCATAGTGTGTCCATGCCCAGTGATAACCACAAAACAGTAAAAACAGTAATCACAGCGGACAGTGGTATAGTAACCAGGGGCTCAGACCCTTCAGGAAGGATGCTCTGAGCTACTCCCTCAGGCAGTTATCTAGACAAACAAGAGTGCTGGCCAGGGGTGAAGGGAGAATAGGACTGGTGGTAATTAATGGAGCTTATGAATCTCAGGTGCACTGTATTATAGCAGCAGTAAGTGTAGCTTATTTCATTGGCCTTCATTTTATATCTCACTTCCTCCCCCAGCTTTTCGTTTCCTTCTTCATTTTTCTTTCTTTCTTTTTCTTCAATCACCCCTTCTCCTTCCTTCCTTCATGTTTTTTTTGGTTCCTTTATCCCTTCCCTTCCCTTCCCTTTCCTTTTCCTTCCTTTCTTCCTCCCTTCTCTTTTTCTTTTTTGTTTCTTTTCTCTTTCCTCCTCTCATCTTCTGTTCCTTCTCTTCCTCTCCTCTGCTTCTTCCTTCTTCTAGAGCTTGTGGCTCTCCATCACATTTAAACAGCAAAGATTTGACTTGAGTGGAGCTAATTGTAGGTCTCAGACAAGTTTTCGTAAGTGCGCCCATATATCTTGCAAGTTAGTGTGCTTGGATTAATTTCCATCTGTCAGAGTCCGCATCTCTGTGGCTAAGGGCTCTTGTATTGCAGCTGTAGAAAGTCATGCCACCTGTGAATGCAACACAGAGAAAAACACTCAACCAATGATTCTGGAGAGCTGATTTATAAAGACTCTAGCTTCCTCATTCCTGAAGTAGGATAATTCTAGCTGTGTGTTTTTCATCATTTCTGATAGTTTTCCCTTTAGTTTAAGCTTTAGTTGGTGACTGTGATACTGACTTTATAGTGTACCCTTTTCTGTATCACTTCCCCAATTCCTACCGGTGTGATCTGCACTTCCCAGTAAACTAGTTTCACTGGAATCTTTTCTTCAAAGTCTTTTCGGGAGAAACTAATCTATGACATTATGTTAACTCCCTCAGCCTCAATTTTCTTATCTCTACGCTGGGAATATTAATACCTATTCTGAAAGTTTGTTAAAGAGTTAATAATAATGTACACAAAGTGTTTAGCAAATACCCATCCTATAGCAGGCAATCCAGAACATATTAGTGTTTCTTGTTCAGAAAATTACCAATTTTAATGTTGAAGATAGGAATATTTTTGTAATAATTAACTAGATCAACTAAATACTTTTTTCCTAGCTGTATTGAGGTATAATTGACAAATAAAAGTTGTATCTATTTCAGGTATACAAGGTGATGTTCTGATATATATATTCCTTGTGAATAATATGTTTATTAGGTCACGAAGCTACCATTTCCTTTTAATTTTTGTGGTGTGAACATTTAAGATCTACCTTCTTGGTAAATTTCAGGTATATGATAAAGTGTTATTAACTATAGTCACATTACTGTACAGTAGACATGCTGAACTTATTCATCTTTCATAAATGATGCTAGTCAAAGAGAATGTCCTAGTTTTCATCTCCTTTACTTCAACCCTGAACGATGATCACAGTAAGTGGCCGTTGTCTCTTAGCCAAGTCTTCAGAGCATTCTAGATTCACAGTCTCAGAAGTTGGCATCTGTCATGGAAATCTACATTTTTAGCTGATCAGAGGTACTTCTAGCACTCCAGTGCTGGTAGGAGGTCCGAAGAAGGTGACCCAGGTCCCCAACTTTTATATTTCTCTCAGAGCCTGTATCAATCAATCTTTCCATGGGTGAATGCTTAGCTTACATCGGTTCAGGACCCAAAGCACTAACCTCTGTCTATTATGACTTCTATGAATGCACAAGTTCTACTTTGCTCCTTTCTTACATTCTTCTGATTTCCCTGGAAACACAAGTTTTTCATTTCTTTGAATGCTTCCTATTGGCCTCACAAAATGCAGAAGGCTGTTTCATTCCCTTACTTGGCTCAGAGATTATGGATTGTGCCAAGTCTTACATGCCCATTGTGTAGTTTCTCAATTCTCAGCTTTGTTCTTACATAATTTCCCTCATAACATTACAATTAGGGGACAAATTTTCTTAATGTGGCAAAATGTATGGTCTGCATTTTACAAGAAATAACTTAGTTTCATTTACTTCATCAATAGGTATTCAGGAGATGAAGGCTGTATAAGTATTTTATTTACATGATATTGACAACAAGTTTCTTCAGATGAGACTCTCTCTCATGAGTCCACAATAAATTCCCAAGCTTTTTTTGATGTAGATGAATTGAATGAGTGGCTGGTCAGAGGCTGAGACAAAAAGAGATCCCTGCATTCAGGGCAGCCATTAAATGCAGTCCCTGCTGCCATATCACGCAGCTGTTTCTCACTGAGGTGTGGGAAATTGGGAATTTTTTGTAAACAAAAACGTTATCTGCAAATATAAGAGATTATTTGTCCTATTGTTAAAAAAACTCAAGTATATGACTTGCTAATACTTACTTCCAATGTCATTTCTACTATATTGAGAGTTAAATGTAAGTGTCCTTGGGCAGAAAGAGAGGACCTCAGCTTGGACAAGAGTCTGCCCTTTACTAGCTACATAACATCACACATTAAATTGTTCTCAGCTGAAAAAATGGAGGTAATAACACACGACCATCTGTTTTGAGAATCAAATTGGATAATACCTATGGTATGTGATATGTGTGTAAATCTCATATCAGGAATGCTTTCATATAAAACAAAACACCATATGAGATGAGGATGGTTCAGAGTTTATTCAGAAACATATAGCTAAGAATCTCTGCTGGTAGCAGAAACATAACCCAAAGTTATGAAAAGAAGAAAGAAGGATACAAGAACCATGAGGAGGATATTGAAAACAAAAATATGATTGCAAAGATTATTGATCAGTTGCAGAAACCTAAATTCCTTAGAAGCAGAGAATGAAGCTCTTGACTTTTGAGTCAAAGCTGAGACCATGACTCAAAATTGAGAACACACGAAGCTGGCACATGATCCACAAAGTGTAAGGAAAAAGAGAATCAGGATGAAGTATTCTGCCCTCCCTCAAGCAGATTCCCAAGATTTTAAACATGTAGAGAATTCATAAAAATTTGGGTGAGAGCATGGTGGCTGTCAGCAGCAAATTAAATTAGTCCCCCAAAAGATAAGTCAGTTGAGCAGAAAGTTGTTGTGTGAGGATGGTGGTTCTCTCGGGACTTGATCAGCAGCAAAAAGGCTGACAGCAGCTGTACACACAGGTGGGCTGGAAGCAAGTGGTCTCACAGCAGGCTGGGCGGCAGCAGGGCTGGCAGCAGTTGGAGCCACAGCTCTGGTTTAGGCAACCAGGCAGGCAGACAGTTGTGGGGTAGTAGCAGGTTCTTCTGCAGTACACAGGTGCACAGGAGCTGCTCTGGTCACAGCTGGACCCACAGCAGGTGGGCTGGCAGCAGGGTGTGCTGCAGCAGGAAGGCTGGCAGCAGCTGGTCACACAGGTGGGCTGGCAGCAGGTGTTTTGACAGCAAGTTGGGCGGCAGCAAGGCTGGCAGCAGCTGGACACACAGCAGGAGGGCTGGCAGCAGGGTGTGCTGCTGCAGGTGGTCACAGTGGTGGGCTTCCAGCAGGTGGTCCTGCAGCAGGTGGTCCTGCAGCATGTAGGCTGACAGCAAGGGGAGCAACAGTGGGTCATGGTGTCAGGGGTGGAGGGTGGGCTTCTGTTCAGAGGTGAGTTTCCCAGAATCTGATGACCCCTTGCAATCTGGACCTTTTATACACCTGGCCTCCAAAGTTTCCACCAATCAGCAGGACTTTTCCTTGTTTCCGTTTACATTGTTTTCCCAGTCCGTTTGTGATTCTCAAAGGGTAGTTGTTTCCTTAAGGTTAAACAGATTAAGGTTTAATCTGTTTCTTAATTGTGAATTACTCATAGACACTTTGTTTCAGATAAAAGGAAGGCAATCTCATCATCAGCATCATTCCTGTTCTGACCATCATCTGGTCATGTGATAGTTCCTGTTGATCTGGGAGGCTCAGGAAGTTCTCTCTGGCCAGCCTCATGTTTGGCTGTATGTAGACTGGGAAGTGTCTGTGGGGAGAAGCATGATGCTGATATATTTACAGTGACAAAATGAATCCATGCCTGGGCCCAAGACTAGTCACCCACCAAATTCTGACTCAAGACTAACAGGCATCTCTCTGTGCAACCCACACCACCTGTCTTTCAGTTCTTTGAACATCACTTGGGAAGAGGGTGTTTGTCACAGTGTGTTCCATGTGGCAGAGCAGATCGAGAGCAGGTGGATGCAGATAAATCCACTGGGATTTAGACAGCATCAAGTAATCTATGCCCTGAGTGACCATTCATTCTGACTTGTCTGTGAGCGTGGCGATTCCAGAATGAGAATGTAGGACTCTCTATGGCATAAATGCTTGAGATTCAGGCCAACCAGCATGTGCTGTGGCTCTAGTCGCAACCCGGTTACTAGCACAGTAAGCAGCATGTCTTCTCTCTCTCTCTCTATTTCTTTTTAATGAAGGAATTAGATGAGTTGAGATGATGCCTGATTCATCATGGAGTTCTAACATGTTTAAAACATTTTCTAGGTATACCATTCATTTGAGAAGAATGCAAATTATTAATTTTCAACTTGATATAGTATTATATTGTAAATACATCTGTGTCCCCATTACATCTATGTTAGGAAATAGAAATTAATTCCATTCTCTCCCAATTATATGCTCTTACTCATTCCCAAAGACAGCTAATCACTCTATCAGTTGTAATCCTGTAGGTAACTTTTGGTTTTTTAAAGTTTTCATGTGAATAAAAAGTATAGTATTTGCTTCTCTATTTCTTTGGCATAAACAAAAGTAATCTTTATCGCCTAGTCATTTTGGACTCTTCATATAAGCAAAGCAGCAGACAGAGAAAGTAGTTACTATTTGGTGAGGGATAATTACCCTCAAGCCATATAGTGTAGCAGAATATATCTATAGCTCAGGAGATTTACTGAGTATATTAATTTACTAGCACTGCCCTGATGAATTACTGAAAAAAAGTGGCTTAAATTTATTTATCAAAGTTCTGAAGGCCTCTTTTCTGAAATTAAGGTGTTGGCAATGTTGTTTTCATCTGAAGACTGCGAGGGAAGTATCTGTTCCACGTCTCTCTCCCTGACGTGTCAAAGTCTATCATCTCCAAGTGTGTTTGACATAATTTTTCTATTATATCCATACTGTCTCTGAATTTCTCCCTTGTGAATAGACACAGTCATATTTAATCAGAGGCCTAATTGTTTCCAATATGACCTTGTCTTATCAGATAACACTTTAGATGATTCTATTTGAATATGAATTTTGAGGGACGCAAATGAACCCATAACACTGCAGAATCTCATAGTGTGTCCATGCCTAGTGATAACCACAAATGAGTAAAAACAACAATCACGGTGGACAATGGTATAGTAACCAGGGGCTCAGACCCTTCAGGAAGGATGCTCTGAGCTACTCTATCAGCAGTTATCTAGACCAACAAGAGTGCTGGCCAGGGGTGAAGGGAGAATAGAACTCTTGGTAATTAACGGAGTTTATGAAACTTAGGTGCACTGTATTATAGCAGAAGTAAGTGTAGATTATTTAATTGGCCTTCATTTTATATCTCACTTCCTCTCCTTTCTTTTCCTTTCCTTCCTCTTTCTTCTTTCTTTCTTTCTTTTCTTTCTTTCTTTTCCTTCCTTCCTTCCTTTTTTCCTCCCTTCCTCCCTCCCTTCCCTTCCCTTCTCTCTCCCTTTCTCTCTCTTTCTTTCTTTCTCTTTCTTTCTTTCTTTTTATCTTTCTTTCTTTCTTTTTTCCTTCCTTCCTTCCTTCCCCTCCCTCAGTTCCTCCCCGCTCCCTCCTTTCCCTCCCTCCCTCCTTCCTGTCCTTCCTTCCTTCCTTCCTTCTTTCCTTCCTTCCTTCTCTCTGTCTTTCTGTTTTTCTTTCCTTCTTTTCTCTTTCCTTCTCCTCTCATCTTCTGTCCCTTCTCTTCCTCTGCTTCCTCTCTTCCTCTTCTTCCTTCTCCTAGAGCTTGTGGCTGCCCATCCTATTTAAGTAGCAAATATTTGACTTGAGTGGAGCTAATTGTAGATTGTAGACAAGTTTTCATGACTGCACCCATATATCTTGGATGTTACTGTGCTTGGATCAATTTCCATCTGTCAAAATCTGCATCTCTGTGCCTAAGGGCTCTTGTATTGCAGCTGTAGAAAGTCATGCCACCTGTGAATGCAACACAGAGAAAAACACTCAACCAATGATTCTGGAGAGCTGATTTATAAAGACTTTAGCTTCCTCATTCCTGAAGTAGGGTAATTCTAGCTGTGTGTTTTTCATCATTTCTGATAGTTTTCCCTTTAGTTTAAGCTTTAGTTGGTGACTGTGATACTGACTTAATAGTGTGCCTTCTTCTGTATCACTTCCCCAGTCCCTACCGGTGTGATCTGCACTTCTCAGTAAACTAGTTTCCCTGGAATATTTTCTTCAAAGTCTCTTCTGGGAGAAACTAATCTATGACAATACGTTAACTCTCTCAGCCTCAAATTTCTCATCTCTACAAGGGGAACATTAATACGTATTTTGAAAGTTTGTTAAATAGTTAATAATAATGTACACAAAGCATTTATCCAGTACCCATCATAGAGCAGGCAACACAGAATTAGTGTTTTTTGTTCAGAAAATTCCCAAGTTTTATGTTGAAGATAAGAATATTTTTGTAATAATTAAATAGATCAACTAAATAGTTTTTTTCTAGCTGTATTGAGGTATTATTGACAAACAAAAATTGTGTACATTTCAGGTATAGAAGGTGATGCTCTGATATATATATTGATTGTGAATAACATATTTATTAGGTCACTTAGTTACCATTTCCTTTTTATTTTTCTGGTGTGAACATTTAAGATCTACCTTCTCAGTAAATTTCAGGTATATGATAAAGTGTTTTTAACTATAGTCATATTACTGTACATTAGACCTACTGAACTTATTCATCTTTCATAACTGATGCTAGTCAAAGAGAATGTCCTAGTTTTCATCTCCTTTACTTCATCCCTGAACGATGATGACAGTAAGTGGCTGTTGTCTCTTAGCCAAGTCTTCAGAGCATTCTAGATTCACAGTCTCAGAAGTGGCATCTGTCATGGAAATCTACATTGTTAGCTCATCAGAGGTATTTCTACCACTCCCCTGCTTGTAGGAGGCCCCAAGAAGGTGACCTAGGTCCCCAATCTTTGTATTTCTCACAGATCCAGTATCAATCAACCTTCCGTGGGTGAATGCTTAGCTTGAATCAGTTCAGGACCCGAAGCAAAAACCTCTGTCTATCATGACTTCTGTTTCTTTTTTTTTTCTTTCTTTTTTTTTTTTTTTTACTTTAAGTTCTAGGGTACATGTGCACAATGTGCAGGTTTGTTACATATGTATACGTGCACCATAATGGTGTGCTGCACCCATTAACTCGTTATTTACATTAGATATATCTCCTAATGCTATCCCTCCCCACTCCCCTCACCCCATAATAGGCCCCGGTGTGTGATGTTCCCCTTCTTGCGTCCAACGGTTCTCATTGTTCAATTGCCACCTATGACTGAGAATGTGTGGTGTTTGGTTTTTTGTCCTTGCGATAGTTTGCTGAGAATGATGGTTTCCAGCTTCATCCATGTCCCTACAAAGGACATGAACTCATCCTTTTTTATGGCTGCATAGTATTCTGTGGTGTATATGTGTCACATTTTCTTAATCCCATCTATCATTGATGGACATTTGGGTTGGTTCCAAGTCTTTGCTATTGTGAATAGTGCTGCAATAAACATACGTGTGCATGTGTCTTTATAGCAGCATGATTTATAATCCTTTGGGTATATACCCAGTAATGGGATGGCTGGGTCAAATGGTATTTCTAGTTGTAGATCCTTGAGGAATCACCACACCGTCTTCCACAATGGTTAAACTAGTTTACAGTCCCACCAACAGTGTAAAAGTGTTCCTATTTCTCCACATCCTCTCCAGCACCTGTTGTTTCCTGACTTTTTAATGATAGCCATTCTAACTGGTGTGAGATGGTATCTCATTGTGGTTTTGATTTGCATTTCTCTGATGGCCAGTGATGATGAGCATTTTTTCATGTGTCTTTTGGCTGCATACATGTCTTCTTTTGAGAAGTGTCTGTTTATATCCTTCATCCAGTTTTTGATGGGATGGTTTGTTTTTTTCTTGTAAATTTGTTTGAGTTCTTTGTAGATTCTGGATATTTGCCCTTTGTCAGATGAGTAGATTTCAAAAATTTTCTCCCATTCTGTAGGCTGCCTGTTCACTCTGATGGTAGTTTCTTTTGCTGTGCAGAAGTTCTTTAGTTTAATTAGATCCCATTTGTCAATTTTGGCTTTTATTGCCATTGCTTTTTGTGTTTTAGACATGAAGTCCTTGCCCATGCCTATGTCCTGAATGGTATTGCCTAGGTTTTCTTCTAGGGTTTTTATGGTTTTAGGTCTAACATTTAAGTCTTTAATCCATCTTAAATTAATTTTTGTATAAGGTGTAAGGAAGGGATCCAGTTTCAGCTTTCTACGTATGACTAGCCAGTTTTCCCAGCACCATTTATTAAATAGGGAATCCTTTCCCCATTTCTTGCTTTTGTCAGGTTTGTCAAAGATCAGATGGTTGTAGATGTGTGGTATTATTTCTGAGGGCTCTGTTCTGTTCCATTGGTCTATACCTCTGTTTTGGTACCAGTACCATGATGTTTTTGTTACTATAGCCTTTTAGTATAGTTTTAAGTTAGGTAGCATGATGACTCCAGCTTTGTTCTTTTGGCTTAGGAGTGTCTTGGCAATGCAGGCCCTTTTTTGGTTCCATATGAACTTTAAAGTAGTTTTTTCCAATTCTGTGAAGAAAGTCATTGGTAGCTTAATGGGAATGGCATTGAATCTATGAATTACCCTGGGCAATATGGCCATTTTCATGATATTGATTCTTCCTATCCATGAGCATGGGATGTTCTTCCATTTGTTTGTGTCCTCTTTTATTTCATTGAGCAGAGGTTTGTAGTTCTCCTTGAAGAGGTCCTTCACGTCCCTTGTAAGTTGGATTCCTAGGTATTTTATTCTCTTTGAAGCAATTGTGAATGGGAGTTCCTTCATGATTTGGCTCTCTCTTTGTCTGTTATTGGTGTATAACAATGCTTGTGATTTTTGCACTTTGATTTTATATCCTGAGACTTTGCTGAAGTTGCTTATCAGCTTAAGGAGATTTTGGGCTGAGATGATGGGGTTTTCTAAATATACAATCATGTCACCTGCAAACAGGGACAATTTGACTTCCTCTTTTCCTAATTGAATACCATTTATTTCTTTCTCCTGCCTGATTGCCCTGGCCAGAACTTCCAACACTGTTGAATAGGAGTGGTGAGAGAGGGCATCCCTGTCTTGTGCCGGTTTTCAAAGGGAATGCTTCCAGTTTTTGCCCATTCAGTATGATATTGGCTGTGGGTTTGTCATAAATAGCTCTTATTATTTTGAGATCGTCCCATCAATACCTAATTTATTGAGAGTTTTTAGCATGAGGAGTTGTTGAATTTTGTCAAAGGCCTTTTCTGCATCTATTGAGATATCACGTGGTTTTGTCTTTGGTTCTGCTTATATGCTGGATTATGTTTATTGATTTGCATATGTTGAACCAGCCTTGCATCCCAGGGATGAAGCCCACTTTATCATGTTGGATCAGCTTTTTGATGTGCTGCTGAATTCAGTTTGCCAGTATTTTAATGAGGATTTTTGCATCAATGTTCATCAGGGATATTGGTCGAAAATTCTCTTTTTTTGTTGTGTCTCTGCCAGGCTTTGGTATCAGGATGATGCTGGCCTCATAAAATGAGTTAGGGAGGAGTCCCTCTTTTTCTATTGATTATAATAGTTTCAGAAGAAATGGTACCAGCTCCTCCTTGTACCTCTGGTAGAATTTGGCTGTGAATCCGTCTGCTCCTGGACTTTTTTTTGGTTGGTAGGCTATTAATTATTGCCTCAATTTCAGAGCCTGTTATTGGTCTATTCAGGGATTCAGTTTCTTCCTGGTTTAGTCTTTATTCATTTCTTCAAGATTTTCTAGTTTATTTGCATAGAGGTGTTTATAGTATTCTCTGATGGTAGTCTGTATTTCTGTGGGATTGTTGGTGATATCCCATTTATCATTTTTTATTGCGTCTATTTGATTCTTCTCTCTTTTCTTCTTTATTAGTCTTGCTAACGGTCTATCAATTTTGTTGATCTTTTCAAAAAACCAGCGACTGGATTCATTGATTTTTTGAAGGGTTTTTCATGTCTCTATTTCCTTCAGTTCTGCTCTGATCTTAGTTATTTCTTGCCTTCTGCTAGCTTTTGAATGTGATTGCTCTTGCTTCTCTAGTTCTTTTAATTGTGATGTTAGGGTGTCAATTTTAGATCTTTCCTGCTTTGTCTTGTGGGCATTTAGTGCTATAAATTTCCCTGTACACACTGCTTTAAATGTGTCCCAGAGATTCTGGTATGTTGTGTCTTTGTTCTCATTTGTTTCAAAGAATATCTTTATTTCTGCCTTCATTTTGTTATGTACCCAGTAGTCATTCAGGAGCAGGTTGTTCAGTTTTCATGTAACTGAGTGGTTTTGAGTGAGTTTCTAAATCCTCAGTTCTAGTTTGATTGCACCGTTGTCTGAGAGACAGTTTGTTATAATTTCTCTTCTCTTACATTTGCTGAGGAGTGCTTTACTTCCAACTATGTGGTCAATTTTGGAATAAGTGTGATGTGGTGCTGAGAAGAATGTATATTCTGTTGATTTGGGGTGGAGAGCTCTGTAGATGTCTATGAGGTCCGTTTGGCGTAGAGCTGAGTTCAATTTCTAGATATCCTTGTTAACTTCCTGTCTCGTTGATCTGTCTAATGTTGACAGTGGGGTGTTACATTCTCCCATTATTATTGTGTGGGAGTCTAAGTCTCTTTGTAGGTCTCTAAGGACTTGCTTTATGAATCTGGGTGCTCCTGTATTGGGTGCTTATATATTTAGGATAGTTAGCTATTCTTGTTGAGTTGATCCCTTTACCATTATGCAATGGCCTTCTTTGTCTCTTTTTATCTTTGTTGATTTAAAGTCAGTTTTATCACAGACTACAATTGCAAACCCTCCTTTTTTTTTTCCATTTGCTTGGTAGATCTTCCTCCATCCCTTTATTTTGAGCATATGTGTGTCTCTGTATGGGAGATGGGTCTCCTGAATACAGCACACTGATGGGTCTTGACTCTTTATCCAATTTGCCAGTCTGTGTCTTTCAACTGGAGCATTTAGCCCATTTACACTTAACGTTAATATTGTTATGTGTGAATTTGATCCTGTCATTATGATGTTAGCTGGTTATTTTGCTCGTTAGTTGATGCAGTTTCTTCCTAGCATTGACAGCCTTTACAATTTGGCATGTTTTTGCAGTGGCTGGTACCGGTTGTTCCTTTCTATGTTTAGTGCTTCCTTCAGGAGCTCTTGTAAGGCAGGCCTGGTGGTGACAAAATCTCTCAGCATTTGCCTGTCTGTAAAGTATTTTATTTCTCCTTCACTTATGAAGCTTAGTTTGGCTGGATATGAAATTCTGGGTTGAAAATTCTTTTCTTTAAGAATGTTGAATATTGGCCCCCACTCTCTTCTGGCTTGTAGAGTTTCTGCCGAGAGATCTGCTGTTAGTCTGATGGGCTTCCCTTTGTGGGTAACCCGACGTTTCTCTCTGGCTGCCCTTAACATTTTTTCCTTCATTTCAACTTTGGTGAATCTGACAATTATGTGTCTTGGAGTTGCTCTTCTCGAGGAGTATCTTTGTGGTGTTCTCTGTATTTCCTGAATTTGAATATTCGCCTGTCTTGCTAGGTTGGGGAAGTTCTCCTCGATAATATCCTGCAGAGTGTTTTCCAACTCGGTTTCATTCTCCCCGTCACTTTCAGGTACACCAATCAGATGTAGATTTGGTCTTTTCAGATAGTCCCATATTTCTTGGAGGCTTTGTTCCTTTCTTTTTACTCTTTTTTCTCTAAACTTCTCTTCTCTCTTCATTTCATTCCTGTGATCTTCAATCACTGATACCCTTTCTTCCAGTTGATTGAATTTGCTACTGAAGCTTGTGCATTCGTCACGTAGTTCTCATGCCATGGTTTTCAGCTCCATCAGGTCATTTAAGGACTTCTCTACACTGGTTATTTTAGTTAGCCATTTGTCTAATCTTTTTTCAAGGTTTTTAGCTTCTTTGCAATGGGTTCGAACTTCCTCTTTTAGCTTGGAGAAGTTTGATCATCTGAAGCCTTCTTCTCTCAACTCATCAAAGTCATTCTCCGTCCAGCTTTGTTCCGTTGCTGGCAAGGAGCTGTGCTCCTCTGGAAGGTGAGAGGCACCTGATTTTTAGAATTTTCAGCTTTTCTGCTCTGTTTCTCCCCATCTTTGTGATTTTATCTACCTTTGGTCTTTGATGATGGTGACATACAGATGGGGTTTTGGTGTGGATGTCCTTTCTGTTTGTTAGTTTTCCTTCTAACAGTCAGGACCCTCAGCTGCAGGTCTGTTGGAGTTTGCTGAAGGTCCACTCCAGACGCTGTTTGCCTGGGTATCGGCAGCGGAGGCTGCAGAACAGCGAATATTGCTGAACAGTAAATGTTGCTGCCTGATCGTTTCTCTGGAGCTTCATCTCAGAGGGGTATCTAGCCATGTGAGGTCTCAGACTGCCCCTACTGGAGGGTGTCTCCCAGTTAGGCTACTTGGGGGTCAGGGACCCACTTGAGGAGGCAGTCTGTCTGTTCTCAGATCTCAAACTGTGTGCTAGGAGAACCACTACTCTCTTCAAAGCTGTCAGATGGGACATTTAAGTCTGCAGAGGTTTCTGCTGCCTTTTGTTTGGCTATGCCCTGCCCCAGAGGTGGAGTCTACAGTGGCAGGCAGGCCTCCTTGAGCTGTGGTGGGCTCCACCCAGTTTGAGCTTCCTGGCCACTTTATCTACTCAAGCCTCAGCCATGGCAGGCGCCCCTCCCCCAGCCTCACTGCCACCTTGCAGTTCGATCTCAGACTGCTGTGCTAGCAATGAGAGAGGCTCTGTGGGCGTGGGCTCTCTGAGCCAGGCACGGGACATAATCTCCTGGTGTGCCGTTTGTAAGACCATTGGAAAAGGGCAGTATTAGGGTGTGAGTGACCCAGTTTTCCAGGTGCCATCTGTCACAGCTTCCCCCGACTCCTTGCAATTCCTGGGTGAGGCAATGCCTCGCCCTGCTTTGGCTCATGCTCAGTGGGCTGCACCCACTGTCCTGCACCCACTGTCCAACAAGCCCCAGTGAGATGAACCCGGTACCTCAGTTGGAAATGCAGAAATCAACCATCTTCTGCGTCACTCATGCTGGGAGCTGTAGACTGGAGCTGTTCCCATTCAGCCACCTTGGAACTTCCCCCTATCATGACTTCTATGAATGCAGAAGTTCTACTTTGCTCCTTTCTTACATTATGTTGATTTCCCTGAAAACACAAGTTTTTCGTTTCTTTAGATGGTTCATATTATCCTCAAAAACTGCAGAAGGTTGTTTCATTCCCTTCCTTCTCATAGAGATAATGGATTGTGCCAAGTCTTACATGCCCATTGCACACTTTCTCAATTCCCAGCTTTGTTCTTACTTAATTTTCCTCATAACGTCTCAATTATGGGACAAATTTTCTTAATGTGGCATAAGGTACAGTCTGTGTTTTACAAGGAATAACTTAGTTTCATTTACTTCGTCAATAGGTGTTCAGGAGATGGAGGCCATATAACAATTTTATTTACATGATATCGAGAATAAGTTCCTTCAGATGAGACTCTCTCATGAGTCCACAATGAATTCTCAAGCATTTTTTGATGCAGATGAATTGAATGAATGACTGGTCAGAGGATGAGACAAAAAGAGATCCCTGCTTTCAGGGCAGCCATTAAATGCAGTCCCTGCTGCCATATCATGCAGCTGTTGCTCACTGAGGTGTGGGAAACTTATTTGGGAAAACTTTTTTGTGAACAAAAATGTTATCTGCAAATATAAGAGATCATTCCTCTCATTGTTAAATAAACTCAAGTGCATGTCTTGCTAGTGCTGACTTCCAATGTCATTTCACTACATTGAGAGTTAAATGTAAGTGTCCTTGGGCAGAATGAGAGGACCCCAGCTTGGACCAGAGTCTGTGTTTTATTAGCTACATAACATCACGCATTAAATTGTACTCAGCTAAAAAAATGAAGGTAATAATACATGACCATCTGTTTTGAGAATAAAATTGGATAATACCTATGGTATGTGATATGTGTGTAAATCCCATATCAGGAATGTTTTCAAATAAAACAAAACACCATATGAGATGAGGATGGTTAAGAGTTTATTCAGAAATATATAGGTAAGAATCTCTGTTACCAAGGACATAACTCAAAGTTATCATGAAAAGAATAAAGAAGAATACAAGAACCATGAGGAGGATATTGAAAACAAAAATGTGATTGCAAAAATTATTGGTCGGTTGCAGAAACCTATATTCCTTAGAAGCAGAGAATGAACCTCTTGACTTTTGAGTCAAAGTTGAGATCATGATTCCAAATTGAGAACAGACGAAGCTGGCACATGATCCACAAGGTGTAAGGAAAAAGAGAATCAAGATGAAGTATTCTGCCCTCCCTCAGGCTGATTCACAAGATTTTAAACATGCAGAGAATTCATAAAAATTTGGGTGAAAGCATGGTGGCTGTCAGCAGCAAATTAAATTAGTCCCCCAAAAGATGAGTCAGTTGAGCAGAAATTTGTTGTGTGAGTATGGTGGTTCTCTTGGGACTTGATCAGCAGCAAGAAGGCTGGCAGCAGCTGTACACACAGGTGGGCTGGAAGCAAGTTGTCCTGCAGCAGGTGGTCTCACAGCAGGCTGGGCGGCAGCAGGGCTGGCAGCAGCTGGAGCCACAGCTCTGGTTTAGGCAACCAGGCAGGCAGACAGTCGTGGGGTGGTAGCAGGTTCTTCTGCAGTACACAGGTGCACAGGAGCTGCTCTGACCACAGCTGGACCCACAGCTGGTTTGGCCACAGCAGGTGGGCTGACAGCAGGGTGTGCTGCAGCAGGAAGGCTGGCAGCAGCTGGTCACACAGATGGGCTGGCAGCAGGTGTTTTGACAGCAAGTTGGGCGGCAGCAAGGCTGGCAGCAGCTGGACACACAGCAGGAGGGCTGGCAGCAGGGTGTGCTGCTGCAGGTGGTCACAGTGGTGGGCTTCCAGCAGGTGGTCCTGCAGCACGTAGGCTGACAGCAAGGGGAACAACAGTGGGTCATGGTGTCAGGGGTAGAGGGTGGAGTTCTGTTCAGAGGTGAGTTTCCCAGAATCTGATGACCCCTTGCATTCTGGACCTTTTATACACCTGGCCTCCAAAGTTTCCACCAATCAGCAGGACTTTTCCTTGTTGCTGTTTATCTTGTTTTCCACAGTCCGTTTGTGATTCTCAAAGGGTAGTTGTTTCCTTAAGGTTAAACAGATTAAGGTTTAATCTGTTTCTTAATTGTGAATTACTCATAGACACTTTGTTTCAGATAAAAGGAAGCCCGTCTCATCATCAGCATCATTCCTATTCTGACCATCATCTAGTCATGTGATAGTTCCTGTTGATCTGGGAGGCTCAGGAAGCTCTCTGGCCAGCCTCATGTTTGGCTGTATATAGACTGGGAAGTGTCTGTGGGGAGAAGCATGATGCTGATATATTTACAGTGACAAAATGAATCCATGCCTGGGCCCAAGGCTAGTCACCCACCAAATTCTGACTCAAGACTAACAGGCATCTCTCTGTACCACCCTCACCACCTGTGCCTTTCAGTTATTTGAACGTCACTTGGGAAGAGGGTGTCTGTCACAGTGTGTTCCATGTGGCAGAGCAGATCGAGAGCAGGGGGATGCAGAGAAATTCACTGGGATTTAGACAACATCAAGCAATCTATGCCCTGAGTGACCATTCATTCTGACTTGTCTGTGAGTGTGGCGATTCCAGGACGAGAATGTAGGACTCTCTATGACATAACTGCTTGAGATTCAGGCCAACCAGCATGTGCTCTGGCTCTAGCTGCAACCCAGTTACCAGCACAGTAAGCATCATGTGTTCTCTCTCTATTTCTTTTTAATGAAGGAATTAGATGAGTTGAGATGATGCCTGATTCATCATGGAGTTCTAACATGTTTAAAACATTTTCTAGGTATACCATTCATTTGAGAAAATGCAAACTATTAATTTTCAACTTGATATAGTATTATATTGTAAATACATCTATGTCCCATTACATCTATGTTAGGAAATAGAAATTAATTCCATTCTCTCCCAATTATATGCTCTTACTCTTTCCCAAAGACAGCTAATCACTCTATCAGTTGTAATCCTGTAGGTAACTTTTGGCTTTTTAAAATTTTCATGTGAATAAAAAGTATAGTATTTGCTTCTCTATTTCTTTGGCATAAACAAAAGTAATCTTTATCGCCTAGTCATTTTGGACTCTTCATATAAGCAAAGCAGCAGACAGAGAAAGTAGTTACTATTTGGTGAGGGATAATTACCCTCAAGCCATATAGTGTAGCAGAATATATCTATAGCTCAGGAGATTTACTGAGTATATTAATTTACTAGCACTGCCCTGATGAATTACTGAAAAAAAGTGGCTTAAATTTATTTATCAAAGTTCTGAAGGCCTCTTTTCTGAAATTAAGGTGTTGGCAATGTTGTTTTCATCTGAAGACTGCGAGGGAAGTATCTGTTCCAGGTCTCTCTCCCTGACGTGTCGAAGTCTATCATCTCCAAGTGTGTTTGACATAATTTTTCTATTATATCCATACTGTCTCTGAATTTCTCCCTTGTGAATAGACACAGTCATATTTAATCAGAGGCCTAATTGTTTCCAATATGACCTTGTCTTATCAGATAACATTTTAGATGGTTCTATTTGTATATGGATTTTGAGGGACGCAAATGAACCCATAACACTGCAGAATCTCATAGTGTGTCCATGCCCAGTGATAACCACAAATGAATAAAAACAGCAATCACGGTGGACAATGGTATAGTAACCAGGGGTTCAGACCCTTCAGGAAGGATGCTCTGAGCTACTCTATCAGCAGTTATCTAGACCAAAAAGAGTGCTGGCCAGGGGTGAAGGGAGAATAGAACTCTTGGTAATTAACGGAGTTTATGAAACTTAGGTGCACTGTATTATAGCAGAAGTAAGTGTAGATTATTTAATTGGCCTTCATTTTATATCTCACTTCCTCTCCTTTCTTTTCCTTTCCTTCTTCTTTCTTTCTTTCTTTTCCTTCCTTCCTTCCTTTTTCTCCCTTCCTGCCTCCCTCCCTTCCCTTCCCTTCTCTCTCTCTCTCTATTCTTTCTTTCTTTCTTCTTTCTTTCTTTTTTCTTTCTTTCTTTCTTTCTTTCGATCTCTTTCCTTCCTTCCTTCCTTCCTTCCTTTCCCTCCCTCGGTTCCTCCCTGCTCCCTCTTTTCCCTCCCTCCTGTCCGTCCTTCCTTCCTTCCTTCTCTCTGTCTTTCTGTTTTTCTTTCCTTCTTTTCTCTTTCCTTCTCCTCTCATCTTCTGTCCCTTCTCTTCCTCTGCTTCCTCTCTTCCTCTTCTTCTTTCTCCTAGAGCTTGTGGCTGTCCATTCTATTTAAGTAGCAAATATTTGACTTGAGTGGAGCTAGTTGTAGATCGTAGACAAGTTTTCATGACTGCACCCGTATATCTTGCATGTTAGTGTGCTTGGATCAATTTCTATCTGTCAAAATCTGCATCTCTGTGCCTAAGGGCTCTTGTATTGCAGCTGTAGAAAGTCATGCCACCTGTGAATGCAACACAGAGAAAAACACTCAACCAATGATTCTGGAGAGCTGATTTATAAAGACTCTAGCTTCCTCATTCCTGAAGTAGGATAATACCAGCTATGTGTTTTTCATCATTTCTGATAATTTTCACTTTAGTTTAAGCTTTAGTTGGTGACTGTGAAACTGACTTAATAGTGTACCCTTTTCTGTATCACTTCCCCAGTCCCTACCAGTATGATCTGCACTTCCCAGTAAACTAGTTTCACTGGAATTTTTTTTCAGAGTCTCTTCTGGGAGAAACTCATCTATGCCTATACGTTAACTCAGCCTCAAATTTCTCATCTCTACAAGAGGAACATTAATACCTATTTTGAAAGTTTGTTAAATAGTTAATAATAATGTACACAAAGCATTTATCCAGTACCCATCATAGAGCAGGCAACACAGAATTAGTGTTTTTTGTTCAGAAAATTCCCAAGTTTTATGTTGAAGATAAGAATATTTTTGTAATAATTAAATAGATCAACTAAATACGTTTTTTTCTAGCTGTATTGAGGTATAATTGACAAACAAAAATTGTGTACATTTCAGGTATAGAAGGTGATGCTCTGATATATATATTGATTGTGAATAACATATTTATTAGGTCACTTAGTTACCATTTCCTTTTTATTTTTCTGGTGTGAACATTTAAGATCTACCTTCTCAGTAAATTTCAGGTATATGATAAAGTGTTTTTAACTATAGTCATATTACTGTACATTAGACCTACTGAACTTATTCATCTTTCATAACTGATGCTAGTCAAAGAGAATGTCCTAGTTTTCATCTCCTTTACTTCATCCCTGAACGATGATGACAGTAAGTGGCTGTTGTCTCTTAGCCAAGTCTTCAGAGCATTCTAGATTCACAGTCTCGGAAGTTGGCATCTGTCATGGAAATCTACATTTTTAGCTCATCAGAGGTATTTCTACCACTCCCCTGCTGGTAGGAGGCCCCAAGAAGGTGCCCCAGGTCCCCGACTTTTCAATTTCTCTCAGAGCCAGCATCAATCAATCCTTTCATGAGTGAATGGTTATCTTACATCAGTTCAGGACCCGAAGCACCAACCTCTGTCTATTATGTCTTCTATGAATGCACAAGTTCTACCTTGCTCCTTTCTTACATTCTTCTGATTTCCGTGGAAAAAGAAGTTTTTCATTTCTTTAGATTCTTCATATTGGCCTCACAAAATGTGGAAGGTTGTTTTTATTCCCTTCCTTAGCTCAGAGATTATGGGTTGTGCCAAGTCTTACATGCCCATTGCATAGTTTCTCAATTCCCAGCTTTGTTCTTACATAATTTTACTCATAACACTTCAAGTAGGGGACAAATTGTCTTAACGTGGCATAACGTATGGTCTGTATTTTACAATGAATAACTTAGTTTCATTTACTTTGTCAATTGGTATTCAGGAGACCGATGCTGTATAAGAATTTTATTTACATCACACTGAGAATAAGTTTCTTCAGATGAGGCTCCGTCTCCTGAGTCCACAATAAATTCTCAAGCATTTTTTGATGCAGATGAATTGAATGAATGGCTGGTCAGAGGCTCAGACAAAAAGATCTCTGCATTCAGGGCAGCCATTAAATGCATATCATGCAGCCTTTGCTCACTGAGGTGTGGGGAACTACTTTGGGATTTTTTTGTGTGTGAACAAAAGTGTTATCTGCAAATATGTCAGATTATTCCTCTCATTGTTAAATAAACTCAAGTACATGTCTTGCTAGTGCTGACTTCCAGTGTCTTTTCTACTATATTGGGAGTTAAACGTAAGTGTCCTTGGGCAGAAAGAGAGGACCTCACCTTTGACCAGAGTCTGCCCTTTACTAGCTACATAACATCACACATTAAATTGTTCTCAGCTGAAAAAATGGAGTTAATAATACACGACCATCTGTTTTGAGAATCAAATTGGATAATACCTATGGTATGTGATATGTGTGTAAATCCCATATCAGGAATGCTTTCAAATAAAACAAAACACTATATGAGATGAAGATGGTTCAGAGTTTATTCAGAAACATATAGGTAAGAATCTCTGCTACCAGAGACATAACCCAAAGTTATCGTGAAAAGAAGAAAGAAGGATACAAGAACCATGAGAAGGATATTTAAAATGAAAATATAATTGCAAAGATGATTGATCAGTTGCAGAAACCTAAATTCCTTAGAAGCAAAGAATGAAGCTCTTGATTTTTGAGACAAAGCTGAGATCATGACTCCAAATTAAGAACAGACGAAGCTGGCACATGATCCACAAGGTGTAAGGAAAGAGGGAATGAGGATGAAGTATTCTGCCCTCCCTCAAGCAGATTCCCAAGATTTTAAACATGTAGAGAATTCATAAAAATTTGGGTGAGAGCATGGTGGCTGTCAGCAGCAAAGTAAATTAGTCCCTCAAAAGACAAGTCAGTTGAGCTGAAGGTTGTTGTGTGAGGATGGTAGTTCTCTTGGGAGTTGATTAGCAGCAAGAAGGCTGGCAGCAGCTGTACACACAGGTGGGCTGGAAACAAGTGGTCCTGCAGCAGGTGGTCTCACAGCAGGCTGGGCGGCAGCAGGGCTGGCAGCAGTTGGAGCCACAGCTCTGGTTTAGGCAACCAGGCAGACAAACACTTGTGGGGTGGTAGCAGGTTCTTCTGCAGTACACAGGTGCACAGGAGCTGCTCTGACCACAGCTGGACCCACAGCATGTGGGCTGGCAGCAGGGTGTGCTACAGCAGGAAGGCTGGCAGCAGCTGGTCACACAGATGGGCTGGCAGCAGGTGGTCCTACAGCAGGTGTTTTGACAGCAAGTTGGGTGGCAGCAAGGCTGGCAGCAGCTGGAAACACAGCAGGAGGGCTGGCAGCAGGGTGTGCTGCTGCAGGTGGTCACAGTGGTGGGCTGCCAGCAGGTGGTCCTGCAGCAGGTAGGCTGACAGCAAGGGGAGCAACAGTGGGTCATGGTGTCAGGGATGGAGGGTGGGCTTCTGTTAAGAGGTGAGTTTCCCAAAATCTGATGACCCCTTGCAATCTGGACCTTTTATACACCTGGCCTCCAAAGTTTCCACCAATCAGCAGGACTTTTCCTTGTTGCTGTTTACATTGTTTTCCACAGTCCATTTGGGATTGTCAAAGGGGAAGTTGTTACTGAAATCTTATGAACCTTTTAAACTAAGGGTTTAATCTGTTTCTTAATTGTGAGTTACTCATAGAAAGTTTGTTTCAGATAAAAGGAAGCCCGTCTCATCATCAGCATCATTCCTGCTCTGACCATCATCTGGTCATGTGACAGTTCCTGTTGATCCGGGGGGCTCAGGAAGTTCTCTCTGGCCAGCCTCATGTTTGGCTGTATATAGACTTGGAAGTGTCTGTGGGGAGAAGCATGATGCTGATATATTTACAGTGACAAAATGAATCCATGCCTGGGCCCAAGACTATTCACCCACCAAATTCTGACTCAAGACTAACAGGCATCTCTTTGTGCCACCCACATCATCTGTGTCTTTCAGTTCTTTGAATGTCACTTGGGAAGACGGTGACTGCACAGTGTGTTCCATGCGACAGAGCAGATCGAGAACAGGTGGATGCAGAGAAATCTGCTGAGATTTAGACAGCATCAAGCAATGTATGCCCTAGGACGACCATTCATTCTGACTTGTCTGGGAGTGTGGGGATTTCCGGGATGAGAATGGAGGACTTTCTATCACGTAACTTCTTGAGATTCAGGCCAACCAGCATGTGCTCTGGCTCTAGCCCTAAACCTAGTTACTAGCAGTAACTAGAAGTAAGCGTTGAAATTCAGGCCAACCAGCATGTGCTGTGGCTCTAGCCCTAAACCTAGTTACTAGCAGTAACTAGAAGAAGAAGTAAGTAGAAGTAATTTCTTCTATTTCTTTTCAATGAAGGGATTAGATGAGTTGAGATGACACCTGATTCATCGTGGAGTTCTAACATGTTGAAAACATTGTCTAGGTATATCATTCACTTGAGAAGAATGCAAATTATTAATTTCCAACCTGATATAGTATTACATTGTAAATACATCTATGTCCCCATTACCAGGTTAGGAAATAGAAATTAATGCCATTCTCTCCCAATTATATCCGCTTACTCATTTCCAAACAGCTAATCACTCTATCAAGTTATAATCCAGTAGATGACTTTGGCTTTTTAAAATTTCCATGTGAATAAAAATTATAGTATTTGCTTCTCTGTTTCTTTGTTATAATCAAAAGGAATCGTTATCGCCTAGTCATTTTGGACTCTTCCCGTCAGCAGAGCAGCAGACAGAGAAAGGAGTTACTATTTGGTGAGGGGTAATTATCTTTAAGCCATATAGTGTAGCAGAATATATCTATAGCTCAGGATACTTAGTAAGTGTATTAACTTACCAGCACTGCCATAATAAATTACTGTAAACCAAGTGGCTTAAATTTATCTTTTCACAGTTCAGAAATTAAGGTTTTGGCAATGTTGTTTTCATCTGAAGCCTGTGAGGGAAGTACATGTTCCAGGTCTCTCTCCTTGACTTGTTGATGTCTATCATTTCCATGTGTGTTTGATATAATTTTTCTGTTATATGCATGCTGTCTCTGAATTTCCCCCTTTTATATAGACATCAGTCATATTTAATCAGAGGCCTAATTGTTTCCAATATGACCTTGCCTTATCACATAACACTTTAAATGATTCTATTTGAATATGAGTTTTGGGGGACACAAATTAACCCATAACACTGGAGAATCTCATAGTGTGTCCATGTCCAGTGATAACTACAAATCGGTAAGAACAGCAATCACAGTGGACAGTGGTATAGTAACTAGAGGCTCAGACAATTTAGGAAGGAAGTTATCAAGGCAGTTATCAGGCAGTTATCCAGACCAAGAAGAGTGCTGGCCAGCGGTGAAGGGAGAATAGAACTGGTGGTAATAAACGGAGACTGTGAATCTCAGGTGCACTGTACTATAGCAGCAGTAAGTGTAGCTTATTTCATTGGCCTTCATTTTACATCTCACTTCCTCTCCTTTCTTTTCATTTCCTTCTTCTCTCTCCTTCCTCTTCCTTCCTTTCTTCCTTCCTTTCTTCTTCTTTCTTTCTTTCTCTTTCTTTCTTTCTTCTTTCTTTCTTTCTCTCTTTCTTTCTTTCTCTCTCTCTCTCTCTCTCTCCCTTCCTTCCTTCTTTTTCTCTTTCTCTCTCTCTCTTTCTTTCTTTTGTCCTCCACTCATCTTCTGTCCCTTCTCTTACTCCTCTTTCTCACCTCCTCTTCTTCCTTCTTCTAGAGCTTGTGCCTGTCCATCACATTTAAGTAGCAAAGGTTTTACTTGAGTGGAGCTAATTGTAGATCATAGGTAAGTTTTCATGACTGCACCCATATATATTAGATCTTAGTGTGCTTGGACTAATTTCCATCTGTTAGAATCTGCATCTCTGTGCCTAAGAGCTCTTGTATTGCTGCTGTAAGAAGTCATGTCACCTGTGAATGCAACACAGAGAAAAACTCTCAACCAATGATTCTGGAGAGCTGATTTATAAAGACTCTAGCTTCCTCATTCCTGAAGTAGGATAACTCTAGCTGTGTGTTTTTTTGTCATTTCTGATAGTTTTCCCTTTAGTTTAAGCTTTAGTTGGTGACTGTGATACTGACTTGATAGTGTACCCTTTTCTGTATCACTTCCCCAATCCCTACCAGTGTGATCTGCACTTCCGAATAAACTAGTTTCACTGGAATGCTTTCCTCAGAGTCTCTTCTGGGAGAAACTAATCTATGACAATACACTAACTCTCTCAGCCTCAATTTTTTCATCTCTACAAAGGGAACATTAATACCTGTTTTGAAAGTTTGTTAAAGAATTAATAATAGCCGGGTGCAGTGGCTCACGCCTGTAATCCAAGCATTTTGGGAGGCCGAGGCGGGCGGATCACAAGGTCAGGAGATCGAGACCATCCTGGCTAAAATGTTGAAACCCCGTCTCTACTAAAAATACATAAAATTAGCCGGGCGTGGTGGCGGGTGCTTATAGTCCCAGCTACTCGAGAGGCTGAGGCAGGAGAATGGCATGAACCAGGGAGGCAGAGCTTGCAGTGAGTCAAGATTGTACCACTGCACCCCAGCCTGGGTGACAGAGCAAGACTCCATCTCAAAAAAAAAAAAAAAGAATTAATAATAGTGTACACAAAGCATTTAGCCAATATGTCTCCTATAGCAGGCAGCCCAGAATTAGTGTTTTTGTTCAGAAAATTTCTAATTTTAATGTTGAAGATAAGAATATTTTTGTAATAATTAACCAGATCAACCAAATACTTTTTCGAGCTGTATTGAGGTGTAATTGACAAATAAAAATTGTGTCTATTTCAGGTATGGAAGATGATGCTCTAATATATATATCCATTGTGAATAACATGTTTATTAGCCCACGTAGTTACCATTTCCTTTTTATTTTTGTGGTGTGAACATATAAGATCTAACTTCTTGGCAAATTTCAGGTGTATGATACAGTGTTTACAACTATAGTGACACTACTGTACAGTAGACATGCTGAACTTATTCACCTTTCATAACTGATGCTAGTCAAAAGGAATGTCCTAGTTTTCATGTCCTTTACTTCATCCCTGAACGATGATCACAGTAAGTGGCCTTCATCCCTCAGCCAAGTCTTCAGAGCATTCTAGATTCACAGTCTCAGAAGTTGGCATCTGTCATGGAAATCTACATTGTTAGCTCATCAGAGGTATTTCTACCACTCCCATGCTGGTAGGAGGTCGCAAGAAGGTGACCCAGGTCCCCAAACTTTGTATTTCTCTCAGAGCCAGTATCAATCTATCTTTCCCTGAGTGAATGCTTAGCTTGCACCAGTTCAGAACCAAAAGCACCAACCTCTGTCTATCATGACTTCTATGAATGCACACGTTCTACTTTGCTCCTTTCTTACATTCTTCTGATTTCCCTGCAAACACCGTTTTCAGTTTCTTTAGATGCCTCATATTGGTCTTACAAAATTCAGAAGGTTCTTTCATTCCCTTCCTTGGTTTAGAGATTATGGATTGTGCCACGTCTTACATACCCATTGCGTACTTTCTCAATTCCCAGCTTAATTCCTTACTTAATTTTCCTCATAACATTTCGATTAGGGGACAAATTGTCTTAATGTGGCATAAGGTGTGGTCTGTATTTTACAAGGAATAACTTAGTTTCATTGACTTTGTCAACAGGTATTCAGGAGGGGGAGGCTGTGTAAGAATTTTATTTACATCATACTGAGAATAAGTCACTTCAGATGAGACTCTCTCTTATGATGATATAATGAATTCTCAAGCATCTTTTTGATGCGGATGAATTGAATGATTGGCTGGTCAGAGGCTGAGACAAAAAGATCCCTGCATTCAGGGCAGCCATTAAATGCAATCCCTGCTGCCATGTCATGCAGCTGTTGCTCACTGAGGTGTGGGAAAAAATAATTTGGGATTTTTTTGTGAATAAAAATATTATTTGCAAATATGAGAGATTATTTCTCTCATTGTTAAATAAACTCAAGTGCATGTCTTGCTAGTGCTGACTTCCAATGTCATTTCTACTATGTTGAGAGTTAAATGTAAGTGTCCTTGGGCAGAAAGAGAGGACCTCAGCTTGGATCAGAATCTGTCCTTTATTAGCTACATAACATCACATATTAATTTTTTTTTCAGGTGAAAAATGAAGGTAATAATGCATGACCACCTGTTTTGAGAATCAAATTGGATAATAACTATGGTATGTGATATGTGTGTAAATCCCATATCAGGAGTGCTTTCAAATAAAACAAAACACTATATGAGATGAGGATGGTTCAGAATTTATTCAGAAACATATAGGTAAGGATTTCTGCTACCAGGGACACAACACAAATTTATCATGAAAAGAAGAAAGAAGGATACAAGAACGATGAGGAGGATATTGAAAACAAAAAAAAGATTGCAAAGATCATCGATCAGTTGCAGAAACCTAAATTCCTTAGAAGCAGGGAATGAAGCTCTTGACTTTAGAGTCAAAGCTGAGACCATGACTCAAACTTGAGAACAGATGAAGCTGGCACATGATCCACAAGGTGTAAGGAAAAAGAGAATCAGGATGAAGTATTCTGCCCTCCCTCAAGCAGATTTCCAAGATTTTAAACATGTAGAGAATTCATAAAAATTTGGGTGAGAGCATGGTGGCTGTCAGCAGCAAATTAAATTAGTCCCCCAAAAGATGAGTCAGTTGAGCAGAAATTTGTTGTGTGAGGATGGTGGTTCTCTTGGAACGTGATCAGCAGCAAGAAGGCTGGCAGCAGCTGGACACACAGGTGGGCTGGAAGCAAGTGGTCCTGCAGCAGGTGGTCTCACAGCAGGCTGGGCGGCAGCAGTTGGAGCCACAGCTCTGGTTTAGGCAACCAGGCAGGCAGACAGTCGTGGGGTAGTAGCAGGTTCTTCTGCAGTACACAGGTGCACAGGAGCTGCTCTGGCCACAGCTGGACCCACAGCTGGTTTGGCCACAGCAGCTGGACCCACAGCAGGTGGGCTGGCAGCAGGGTGTGCTGCAGCAGGAAGGCTGGCAGCAGCTGGTCACACAGGTGGGCTGGCAGCAGGTGGTCCTACAGCAGGTGTTTTGACAGGAAGTTGGGCGGCAGCAAGGCTGGCAGCAGCTGGACACACAGCAGGCGGGCTGGCAGCAGGATGTGCTGCTGCAGGTGGTCACAGTGGTGGGCTTCCAGCAGGTGGTCCTGCAGCAGGTGGTCCTGCAGCATGTAGGCTGACAGCAAGGGGAGCAACAGTGGGTCATGGTGTCAGGGGTGGAGGGTGGGCTTCTGTTCAGAGGTGAGTTTCCCAGAATCTGATGACCCCTTGCAATCTGGACCTTTTATACATCTGGCCTCCAAAGTTTCCACCAATCAGCAGGACTTTTCCTTGTTGTTGTTTACACTGTTTTCCATACTCCCTTTGCGATTGTCAAAGGGGAAGTTGTTTCTGAAATCTTATGAATCTTTTGAAAGTAAGGGTTTAATCTGTTTCTTAATTGAGAATTACTCATAAAAACTTTGTTTCAGATAAAAGGAAGGCAGTCTCATCACCAGCATCATTCCTGCTCTGACCATCATCTGGTCATGTGATAGTTCCTGGTGATCCGGGAAGCAGATAGTTCTCTCTGTCCAGCCTCATGGTTGACTGTATGTAGACTGGGAAATGTCTGTGGGCAGTCGCGTGATGCTGTTATGTTCACAGTGATGCATTGAATCCGTGCCCGGCACCAAGCCTATTTACCCACAAAAGTCTGATTCAAGAGTAACAAGCATCTTTCTCGCTACAAACTATTCCACCTGTGTCTTCCAGTTCTATTACACTCACTAGGGAAAGGGTGTTTGGCACAATGTATTCCAAAATGCAGAGCTAGACCAAAGCAGGTGGGTAGAAAAAGGAGTCCACTGGGATTCAGAAAGCATCGAGTGTCTCTGTGATGGTGTTGCCATTTACCCTGATTTGCCTGGGACTGAAGGGTTTACCAGCATGGGACTCTCTGTGACGTAAGTGCTCTAGATTCGGGCAAATCAAGCTGAGTTCTGGTCCTAGCTTGTTAATTCTAATACTTTTTGTATTTTTTTTTGGTGTGACAGAAAATTGCACATGTGCAGTCATGACTCATAAAAAATAGTAATAGTTTTCTTCGCTTTATAAGAGTATTTTTAATCTTGCTTTTTTTTTGGCCCTTGTCCAGGGGTAGACCCTCCAGGGCAATGTCTAATAGAATGGTGTAGTGTATATCTTTTTATATTCGTTGGATAGAAAGGAGAACTCTCAGTATTTCACAATTAATTACGATGCTTTCTGTCTTTTTTGTAGATTCATTTCATCATAGCAACAGGGCTTGTTCTATTCCTTATTTTCTGAGAGACAGAAAACTGAAAATGTACTGAAATTTACAAAATGCTTTTTCTTTATAAGCTGAAATAATGTTATGATTATTCTACCTTTTCAGTAAGTGTTGTTTTATTCTATGTTTTTTGAGACAGAGTCTTGCTTCGTCACCCAGGCTGGAGTGCAGTGGTACAATCTTGGCTCACTGCAATCTCCACCTCCCGGGTTCAAGAGATTCTCTTTCCTCAGCCTCCCGAGTAGCTGGGACTATGGGAGCACACCACCATGCCCAGCTAACTTTTGTATTTTTAATAGAGACAGAGTTTCACCATGTTGGCCAGCTGATCGCGAACTCCTGACCTCAAGAGATCCACCTGCCTCGGCTTCCCAAAATGTGTTATTTTAAAAGTTGATTAATGTTCAAATATTAGCCCAGTCTTGCATTTCTGAAAACAATTCATGTGGTTACGATCATATGTATATGCCATTGGATTTTATTTACTTATATTTTGTTTAGGATATTTACTATCATTGCATTCCAAAAATATATTCTCCTATTCTTACTCTATTTCCTCTACCTTCTCTAAGTAAAGAAATTCCGAATATAGCAAAATTCCTACCCTTCTGTGCCCAATTTGACCTTGATGTGACCCCCTGTATTGGTTTTTCTAAAGGCAATTTCATGCCCCATGAAATACTCTAGCAGTTCTATTGCAGAGTGTGGGCTTGGGGATCAACAGTTCTTTTTTCAACAGGGGCACTAGACTATCCCATGGGTCCCTTTCAAACACACACACCCCATGGGGGGAACTCCCAGGAGATACTTGTAGCCCAGTTGTAGTCTTTCTTATCTACTTTGACAGAAACAATGAAGTCTAGCCCAATTATCTGAAATCTGTACTTAGTCATTTCTACAACAATATTGTGTTAATCTAGAAAACGTGAGTGAGGAATTGTCTTTAATCTGCAACTCAAATTATAGGAGGAGGAAATTACATCAGCATATGTAGGTATCAGTTAAATTCATTGAGGAGAACCTGGGGGAAAGTGTGATTGGTGGATCCCAAATAACGAGACAGTGGTATCAGATTATCACTTGATTAACAAACACATAAAACATGAGAGCCCATGCAGCTCTCTAACAACAGGCCTATTGCACTGAGTTTTACATGTAGATTTTTGAAGAGAGTGGAAAGTAAACACTGAGTTTCCTGAGAATATAAGTAGACGTGTATGACAGAATATCATTATCGGTTCTTAAATATTATGGCAGAAATGAATGAAGTGAAAGTTTACACTAACATGTAAGAAATATCACTATTTAGACCCTACAGAGGGATGGCTTTGGATAGAAAAATAAGATTAGATTGCCCTTGGAACTTCAAAGTTACACAAAAAGAAACAGAGCAAAGTTATGCACAGGCATCTTAAAAAGAATGAATGGCTTCGAAGCTAGCCAAATTTATTCTAGTCTGGTAAGGATTTGAAAATGAATATTTCTTATATGGGAATGTGGCATTCAAATTCTTCCCTCTGGGAATATATGTAGGAGTGAAATTGCCACGTCATAGGAAACACTTATAATCAGCATTAGTAGAAAGAAAAAAGCAGTGTTTCAACATTTTACAACCAGTAGTGACTCCTGCTTGACCCTAATATTGTGAACCTTCTGAATTGTACTGGTATGTATTTATGTTTTAGATTTGCATTTATTTGATGACTAATGTCTAATAGGCATTGGTTGTTCCTTTTTCCTTTTTCATAAGATGCCTGTTCAAGTCTTCTACCCATACTTCTTCATGGTTGTTAATTTCTTAGTGTTTTATAGATTTTGGACGTATGTTCTGACTAGTGTATAGATAGATAGATAGATAGATAGATAGATAGATAGATAGATAATGTGGAGATTATTTTCTATAAACTTATATAAGATATATATGTATCAGGAGTTTATCATTTATTGAGTGGATATGGTATAAATATTTTGTCACATGCTGTGTTTTATCTTTCCTTTTTGCTCTCTTTTTTTTGTTAAATTTTGTTTTTAATTTTTACCAAAACATGAATCCTGTTATTGTCATTTAACAATGGGGATAGGTTCTGAGGAATGAACCACTAGGTAATTTTGTCATTGTGTGAACATTGTAGAGTGTACTTAAACCTGGATCATATAGCTTACTATACATCTAGGCTATTTGATATGGCCTATTTTTAAAAATTATACTTTAAGTTCTGGGGTACATGTGCAGAACGTGCAAATTTGTTACATAAGTATACACGTGCCATGGTGGTTTGCTGCACCCATCAACCCGTCATCTACATTAGGTATTTCACTTAATGCTATCCCTCCTGTATCCCCCTACTCCCTGACAGGCCCTGGTGTGTGATGTTCCCCTCCCTGTGTCCATGTGTGCTCATTGTTCAGCTCTCACTTATGAGTGAGAACATGCAGTGTTTGGTTTTCTGTTCTTGTGTTAGTTTGCTGAGAATAATGGTTTCCAGCTTCATCCATGTCCCTGCAAAGGACATGAACTCATTTTTTTTATGGCTACATAGTATTCCATGGTGTATATGTGCCACATTTTCTTTATCCAGTCTATCACTGATGGGCATTTGTGTTGGTTCCAAGTCTTTGCTATTGCAAACAGTGCTGCAATAAACATATGTGTGCATGTGCCTTTATAGTAGAATGATTTATAATCATTTGGGTATATACTCAGTAATGGGATTGCTGGGGCAAATGGTATTTCTGGTTCTAGATCCTTCAGGAATTGCCACACTGTCTTCCACAGTGGTTGAACTAATTTACAGTCCCACCAACAGTGTAAAAATGTGCCTATTTCTCCACATCCTCTCCAGCCTCTGTTGTTTCTTGCCTTTTTAATGATTGCCATTCTAACTGGTGTGAGATGGTATCTCATTGTGGTTTTGATTTACATTTCTCTAATGACCAGTGATGATGAGCTTTCTTTCATATGTTTGTTAGCTAAATGTCTTCTTTTGAGAAGTGTCTGTTCATATCCTTCACCCACTTTTTGATAGGGGTTTTGCCCATGCCTGTGTCCTGAATGGTACTGCCTAGGTTTTCTTCTAGGGTTTTTATGGTTTTAGGTCTTATGTTTAAGTCTTTAATCCATCTTGAGTTAATTTTTGTATAAAGTGTAAGGAAGGGGTCCACTTTCAGTTTTCTGCATATGGCTAGCCAGTTTTCCCAACACCATTTATTAAATAGGGAATCCTTTCCCCATTGCTTGTTTATGTGAGGTTTGTAAAAGATCAGATGGTTGTAGATATGTGGTGTTATTTCTGAGGTTTCTATTCTGTTCCATTCGTCTATACATCTGTTTTGGTACTAATACCATGGATTTTGGCTACTGTAGCCTTGTAGTATTGTTTGAAGTCAGGTAGCATGATGCCTTCAGCTTTGTTCTTTTTGCTGAGGATTGTCTCAGCTATGCAGGCTCTTTTTTGGTTCCATATGAAATTTAAAGTAGTTTTTTCTAATTCTGTGAAGAAAGTCAATGGTAGCTTGATGGGGATAGCATTGAATATATAAATTACTTTGGGCAGTATTGTCATTTTCATGATATTGATTCTTCCTATCCATTACCATGGAATGTTTTTCCATTTGTTTGTGTCCTCTTTTATTTCCTTGAGCAGTGGTTTGTAGTTCTCCTTAAAGAGGTCCCTCACATCTCGTGTAAGTTGTATTCCTAAGTATTTTATTCTCTTTGTAGCAATTGTGAATGGGAGTTCACTTATGATTTGGCTCTCTGCTTGTCTATTATTGGTGTATAGGAATGCTTGTGATTTTTGCACATTGATTTTGTATCCTGAGATTTTGCTGAAGTTGCTTATCAGCTTAAGGAGTTTTTGGGCTGAGACGATGGGGTTTTCTAAATATAGAATCATGTCATCTGCAAACAAAGACAATTTGACTTCCTCTCTTCCTATTTGAGTATGCTTTATTTCTTTCTTTTGCCTGATTACTCTGGCCAGAACTTCCAATACTATGTTGAATAGCAGTGGTGAGAGAGGGTATCCCTGTCTTGTGTCGGTTTTCAAAGGGAATGCCTCCAGCTTTTGCCCATTCAGTATTATATTATCTGTGGGTTTATCATAAATAGCTCTTATTATTTTGAGATACGTTCCATCAATACCTAGTTTATTGAGTGTTTTTAGCATGAAGAGGTGTCGAAGTTTATTGAAGGCCTTTTCTTCATCTATCAAGATAATCATGTGGTTTTTGTCATTGGTTCTATTAATGTGATAGATTACATTTATTGATTTGCTTATGTTGAACCAGTCTTGCATCCGAGGGATGAAGTCGACTTGATTGTGGTGGATAAGCTTTGTAATGTGGTGCTGGATTCGGTTTGCCAGTATTTTATAGAGGATTTTCGCACCAATGTTCATCAGGGATATTGGCTTGAGATTTTCTTTTTTTGTTATGTTTTTGCCCAGTTTTAGCATTAGAATGATGCTGGCCTCATAAAATGAGTTAGGGAGGAGTCTACCTTTTTCTATTGTTTGGAATAGTTTTAGAAGGAATGGTACCAGCTCCTCTTTGTGCCTCTGATAGAATTTGGCTGTGAATCCGTCTGGTCCTGGGCTTTTTTTTTGGTTGGTAGGCTATTAATTACTGCCTCAATTTCAGAACTTGCTATTGGTGTATTTAGGGATTCGAATTCTTCCTGGTTTAGTCTTCGGAGGGTGTGTGTGTCCAGGAATTAACCCATTTCTTCTAGATTTTCTAGTTTATTTGAGTAGAGGTGTTTATAGTATTCTCTGATGGTAGTTTGTATTTCTGTGGGATCAGTGGTAATCTCCCGTTTATCATTTTTTATTGTGTCTCTTTGAGTCTCCTCTCTTTTCTTCTTTATTAGTCTGGCTAGTGCTCTATTTTGTAAATCTTTTCAAGAAATCAGCTCCTGGATTCATTGATTTTTTGAAGGATTTTTTGTGTCTCTATCTCCTTCAGTTCTGCTCTGATCATAGTTATTTCTTGTCTTTTGTGAGCTATTGAATTTGTTTGCTGTTGCTTCTCTAGTTCTTTAAATTGTGATGTTAGGGTGTCGATTTTAGATCTTTCCCACTTTCTCATGTGGGCATTTAGTGCTATAAATTTCCCTCTAAACACTGCTTTAGCTGTGTCCCAGAGATTCTGGTACATTGTGTCTTTGTTCTCATTGGTTTCAAATAACTTATTTATTTCTACCTTAATTTTGTTATTTACCCATAGTCATTCAGGAGCAGGTTGTTCAGTTTCCATGTAGTTGTGTGGTTTTGAGTTTCTTTCTTTCTTTCTTCTTTCTTTCTTTCTTTCTTTCTTTCTTTCTTTCTTTCTTTCTTTCTTTCTTTCTTTCTTCTTTCTTCTTTCTTTCTTTTTTTGAGACAGAGTCTCGCTCTGTCACCCAGGCTGTAGTGCAGTAGCGTGATCTTGGCTCACTGCAACCTCTGTCTCCTGGGTTCAAGCGATTCTCCTGCCTCAGCCTCCTGAGCAGCTGGAATTACAGGCGCTTGCCACCATGCCTGCCTAAATTTTTTGTATTTTTCGTAGAGACACGGCTTCACCGTGTTAGCCAGAATGGTCTCGATCTCCTAACCTTGTGATCTGCCCACTCGGCCTCCCAAAGTGCTGGGATTACAGGCATGAGCCACCGTGCCTGGCCTTGAGTGAGTTTCTTAATCCTTAGTTCTAATTTGATTGCACTGTGATCTGAGAGACTGTTTTACTTCCAATTATGTGGTGAAATTTAGAGTGCTATGTTGTAGTGAGAAGAATGTTTATTCTGTTGATTTCAGGTGGAGAGTTCTGTAGATGTCTATTAGGTCCACTTGGTCCAGAGTTGATTTCAAGTCCTGAATATCCTTGTTAATTTTCTGTCTCATTGTTCTGTCTGATATTGACAGTGGGGTGTTAAAGTCTCCCACTTTTTTTTTTTTGAGATGGAGTCTTGCTCTGTCGCCCAGGCTGTAGTGCGGTGGTGTGATCTCGGTTCACTGCAACCTCCACTTCCTGGGCTCACTCCTGCCTCAGCCTCCTGAGTAGCTGGGATTATAGGCACGTGCCACAATGCCTGGTTAATTTTTTTTTGTATTTTTAGTAGAGACGGGGTTTCACCATGTTATCCAGGATGGTCTCCATCTCCTGACCTCATGATCTGCCCGCCTCGGCCTCCCAAAGTGCTGGGATTACTGATGTGAGCCACCATATTCAGCCTTGAGTGAGTTTCTTAATCCTGAGTTCTAATTTCATCGCACTGTGATCTCAGAGACTGTTTGTTATGATTTCCATTCTTTTGCATTTGCTGAGGAATGTTTTATTTTTAATTATGTGGTCAATTTTAGAGTAAGTGCTATGTGGTGCTGAGAAAAATGTATATTCTGTTGATTTGGGGTGGAGAGTTCTGTAGATATCTACTAGGTCTGCTTGGCCCAGAGCTGAGTTCAAGTCCTGAATATCTTTGTTAATTTTCTGTCTTGTTGATCTGTCGAATACTGACAGTGGGGTGTTAAAGTCTCTCACTATTTTTTTTTTTAAGATGGAGTCTTGCTCTGTCACCCAGGCTGGAGTGCAGTGGCATAATCTTGGCTCACTGCAACCTCTGCCTCCTGGGTTCAAGCGATTCTCCTGCCTCAGACTCTCCAGTAGCTGGGATTACAGGTGCGTGCCACCATGCTCAGCTCATTTTTGTATTTTTTAGTAGAGACGGGGTTTCACCATGCTCGCCAGGCTGGTCTTGAACTCTTGACCTCATGATCCACCCACCTTGGCCTCCCAAAACGCTGGGATTACAGGTGTGAGTCACCATGCCCGGCCAGTCTCCCATTATTATTGTGTGGGAGTCTAAGTCTTTTTGTAGGGCTCTAAGAACTTGCTTTATAAATCCGGGTGCTCCTGTATTGGGTGCATATATGCTTAGGTTAGGTTTCTCTTCTTGTTGCATTGATTCCTTTACCATTATGTAATGCCCTTTGTCTTTTTTGATATTTGTTGGTTTAAAGTCTGTTTTATCAGAGGCCAGGATTGCAACACCTGCTTTTTTTTTGTTGCTTTCCATTTGCTTGGTAAATATTCCTCCATCACTTTATTTTGGGCCTATGTGTGTCTTCGCATGTGAGACGGGTCTGATGAATACAGTATACCGATAGGTCTCAATTTTCGCATGTGAGACAGGTCTGATGAATACAGTACACCGATAGGTCTTAATTCTTTATCCAATTTGCCAGTGTGCGTCTTTTAATTGGGGCATTTAGCCCATTTACTTTTAAGGTTAACATTGTTATATGTGAATTTGATCCTGTCTTTATGATGCCAGCTGGTTATTTTGCCCATTAGTTGATGCAGTTTCTTCATAGTGTCGATGGACTTTAAAATTTGGTATGTTTTTGCAGTGGCTGGTACCAGTTTTTTCTTTCCATATTTAGTGCTTCCTTCAGGAGCTCTTGTAAGGCAGGACTGGTGGTGACAATATCCTTCACCATTTGCTTGTCTGTAAAGGATTTTATTTCTCCTTTACTTATGAAGCTTAGTTTGGCTGGATATGAGATTCTGGGTTGAAAGTTCTTTTATTTAAGAATGTTGAATATTGGCCCCCACTCTCTTCTGGCTTCTAGGGTATCTGCAGAGAGATCCACTATTAGTCTGATGGGCTTCCTGGCTTCCCTTTGTGGGTAACCCGACCTTTCTCTTTGGCTGCCCTTAACATTTTTTCCTTCATTTCAACCTTGGTGAATCTGACAATTATGTGTCTTGGGGTTGCTCTTCTGGAGGAGTATCTTTGTGGTGTTCTCTGTATTTCCTAAATTTGAATGTTGGCCTGTCTTGCTAGGTTGGGGAAGTTCTCCTGGATAATATCCTGAAGTGTGTTTTCTAACTCGGTTCCATTCTCCCCATCACTTTCAGGTACACCAATCAAACATAGGTTTGGTCTTTTCACATAGTCCCATATTTCTTGGAGGCTTTGTTCATTCCTTTTTATTCTTTTTTCTCTAATCTTGTCTTCACGCTTTATTTCATTAAGTTGATCTTGAATCTCTGATATCCTTTCTTCTGCTTGATCCATTTGGTCATTGATACTTGTATATGCTTCACAAAATTCTCGTGCTGTGTTTTTCAGCTACATCAGGTCATTTATGTTCTTTTCTAAACTGATTATTCTAGTTAGCAGTTCCTGTAACATTTTATAAAGGTTCTTGGCTTCCTTGAATTGGGTTAGAACATGCACCTTTAGCTCAGAGGAGTTTGTTATTACCCACCTTCTGAAACCTACTTCTGTCAATTCATCAAACTTATTCTCTGTCCAGATTTGTTCCCTTGCTGGTGAGGAGTTGTAATCCTTTGGAAGAGAAGAGGCATTCTGGTTTTTGGAATTTTCAGCCTTTTCTTGTGCTGGTTTTTCCTCATCTTCTTGGATTTATCCACCTTTGGTCTTTGATATTGGTAACCTTTGGATTGGGTTTTTGCGTGGGCATCCTTTTTGTTGATATTGATGCTGTTGCTTTCTGTTTGTTAGTTTTCCTTCTAACAGTCAGGCCCCTCTTCTGCAGGTCTGCTGGAGTTTGCTGAAGGTCCACTCCAGACCCTGTTTGCCTGGGTATTGCTGCCTGCTCCTTCCTCTGGAAGCTTTGTCCCAGGGGGCACCTGCCAGATGCCAGCCGGAGCTCTCCACTATGAGGTGTCTGTTGACTCCTGCTGGGAGGAGTCAGGAGGCATGTGGGTCAGAGACCCACCTGAGGAGGCAGTCTGTCCCTTAGCAGAGCTTGAGCGCTGTGCTGGGAGAACAGTTGATCTCTTCAGAGCCCGCAGGCAGGAACGTTTGAGTCTGCTGCTGAAGCTGTGCCCACAGCTGCCCCACCCCACAGGTGCTCTGTCCCAGGGAGATGGGAGTTTTATCTGTAAGCCCCTGAATGGGGCTGCTGCCTTTCTTTCAGAGATGACCTCCCGAGACAGGAGGAATATAGAGCGGCAGTCTGGCCACAGTGGCTTTGCTGTGCTGAGGTGGTTCCGCACCCAGTTCGAAATTCCCGGCAACTTTGTTTACACTGTGAGGGGAAAACTGCCTACTCAAGCTTTGGCAGTGGTGGGCGCCCCTCCCCGCACCAAGCTCGAGTGTCCCAGGTCGACTTCAGACTGCTGTGCTGCCAGCGAGAATTTCAAGCCAGTGAATTTTAGCTTGTTGGGTGCCTTGGGGGTGGGATCTGCTGAACAAGACCACTCGGCTCCCTGGCTTCAGCCCCTTTCCAGGGTAGTGAACAGTTTTGTGCCGCTGGCATTCCAGGCACCACTAGGATATGAAAACAACAACAACAACAACAAAGCAAAACAAAAACACAAAACTCCTACAGCTAGCTTGGTGTTTGCCCAAACAGCCACCCAGTTTTGTGCTTGAAGCCCAGGGCCGTGGTGGTAGGCACCCGAGGGAATCTCCTGGTCTGTGAGTTGTGAAGACCATAGAAAAGCATAGTAGCTGGACCAGATAGCACCATCCCCAGAAATACCATTTGATTCAGCAATCCCTTTACTGGATATATACCCAAAGGAATAGAAATCATTCTATCATAAAGATACATGCATGCATATGTTCACTGCAGCACTACTCACAATAGCAAAGACATGGAACCAACCCAAATGCCCATCAAGAGTAGACTGGATAAAGAAAATATGATACATGTACACAATGGAATACTATGCAGCCATAAAAAGGAACTGGATCATGTCCTTTGTAGGGACATGGATGGAGCTAGAAGCTGTTATTCTCAGCAAACTAACACAGGAACAGAAAACCAAAATGACATGTTTTCATTTATAAGTGGGAGCTGAATGATGGGAACACATGGACAAACGTTGGGGTGGGAGAACAACACATACTGGGGCCTGTTGCAGGCAATGAGAGGGAGGGCATCAGGAAGAACAGTTAATGGGTTCTGGGCTTAATACTTGGGTGATGGGTTGATCTGTGTAGCAAACCACCATGGCACATTTACCTATGTAACAAACCTGCACATCCTGCACACGTATCCCAGAACTTAAAATAAAAGTTGATAAAATAAAAAATAAATAATTTAAAAAATTTTTTAAAATTTCTGGAGACAGATGATGGTTGTCTAACAACATGAGTGTACTTACTTCCACTGAACTGTATATGTAAAAATGATTATAATTGTGGTTGGGCACGGTGGCTCACACCTGTAATCCCAACACTTTGAGAGGCTGAGGCAGGTGGATCACGAGGTAAGGTATTTGAGACCAATCTGGCCAACATAGTGAAACCCCATCTCTACTAAAACTACAAAAAATTAACCAGGCATGGTGGCACATGCCTGTAGTCCCAGCTACTCGGGAGGCTGAGGCAGGAGGATCGCTCGAACCTGGAAGGCGGAGGTTGCAGTGAGCTGAGAACGTGCCACTGCACTCCAGCCTGGGTGACAGAGCAAAATTCCATCTCAAAAATAAATAAATAAATAAAGATTATAATTGTAAATTTTATGTGTATTTTACCACAATAAAAAAACAGTAAGCCAGGAATAAAAAGTTTTGATGTGAAAACAAATTATCTCTCAAAGTTTGGGTGCAAATGAAATGTGGCCTAAGTTTTTTGGGCCATGACTTAAACTTCTATTACCATTTATTTAGGTGACCAGAAGAATGAGGACAAACAGAATGCCAATTCCATTATTTCAACAAACAAGTATTTCTAGATGAGCCTCTCACACCAAAGTCCCAGGACAGAGGCAGGAACACAATGGGTGCTCAAAAATATTTAAAGAACTTCACCAGTGCCTGACAAGAGACTGAGAATATAAAATGTTCACATGATTCACGAGGGCTCTTAAAACGAGTTGTTGCTCTTAAGATGTGGCTATTGGTTAGGGGAATGAATTTGGAAAGAACTTTGTTAGTAGAAAATGGTCTGCAAATGCGTGGAATTGGTGTTTCCATTGTCAGAGAACAACTTCGAGTGCACCCCTTCCCGGTTCTAAGTCCTTAGTATAATTCTGTAAATGTGACATCAGTAGAGGTGAAATCAGAAACCCTGAGCCTAGAGCCAATTCTGTCCATCCTTAGCTACATGACACGATGCAGGCCACTTTACTCATCTTGGTTCTGTCCAAGTTTGAGGCTTCTATGTGACTTAGATGAGATAATATATGTGAGATGCAAAACAATCACTGAAACAAAACAAAACACAACACAGGAGGCACTATAGTAAACGCTTTATTAGGAAATAAATAAAGCAATGCTCCTTTCTGCTAAGAAGATAATACAGAGTTGTCATGGAAAGTCACAAAAGTGAGTATTAATTTGAAACAAAATGATATTTATCATTGTAAAGATCTAATAAGGGCCGGGTGTGGTGGCTCATGGCTGTAATCCCAACACTTTGGGAGGCCGAGGTGGGCAGATCTCCTGAGGTCAGGAGTTTGAGACCAGCCTGGCCAACATGGTGAAACCCCGTCTCTACTAAAAATACAAAAAATTAGTCAGATGTGGTGGCAGGAACCTGTAATCCCAGCTACTTGGGAGGCTGAGGCAGGAGAATCACTTGAACCTGGGAGCACAGAGGTGTCAGTGAGCTGAGATCGCGCCATTGCACTTTAGCCTGGGCAACAAGAGTGAAACTCTGTTTAAAAAAAAAGAAAAAAAAATTTAATAAGACAGCTATGAGAATTTTTTTTCTTTTTAGAAATTTTCCTAGAGTAAAAAAACAAAGATAATTTTGTCAACGCTCAGATCATAAATCCAGGTCAAGAACAGATGAAGCTGACCAGCAGCTGGCTCAATGAAGAGACTATCGGAGTGAAAAAGGCTACACTCATTAAGCAAGTTCATAATTTGTTAACAAGAAGATGACTGACAGTTTAGTGACAGTATGTATGTTATCAGCAGAGGAAGTGGAGTGAGTTTGCCATAGAAATGGATATCTGGCCTGGGCGTGGTGGCTCATGCCTGTAATCCCAGCACTTTGGGAGGTCAAGGCGGGTGGATCATCTGAGGTCAGGTGTTTGAGACCAGCCTGACCAACATGGAGAAACCCCATCTCTACGAAAAATACAAAATTAGCTGGGCATGATGGCGTATGCCTGTAATCTCAGCTACTCGGGAGGCTGAGGCAGGGGAATGGCTGGAACCCAGGAGGTGGAGGTTGCGGTGAGCTAAGATCATGCCATTGCACTCCAGCCTGGGCAACAAGAGCGAAACTGGGTCTCAAAAAAAAAAAAAAAAAAAAAGAATAAATGGATACCTGGCTGGTCTGATGATGGAAGTTTATTCTATGCAGGTAGTAATCTGTGGTAAGTTGATCAATAACTGCAAGGCTGGCAGCCCCTAGACACACAACAGGCTGATTGGCAGCAGGGCTAGCAGCAGCTGGATCCATAGCTCTGGTTTAGGCAACCTGTCAGGCAGACACACATGGGGTGGTAGCAAGTTCTCCTGTAGTAGATGGGTGCACAGAAGCTGGGCTGGCAGCAGCTGGACCCACTGCCAGTTTGGCCGTAACAGCTGGACCCACAGCAGGTGGGCTGGCAGCAGGGTGTGCTGCAGCAGGAAGACTGGCAGCAGCTTGTCACACAGGTGTACTGGCAGCAAGTGGTCCTGCAGCAGGTGGCCTCACAGTAGGCTGGGCAGCAGGCAGCAGGGCTGGCAGCAGCTGGATCCACATATCTGGTCTAGGCAACTAGGCAGGCAGACACACATGGAATGGTAGCACGTTCTCTGGTAGACGGGTGCACAGCAGCTAGGTTGGCAGCAGGATGTGTTGCAGCAACTGGGGGGGTGGCAACAAGACTGGCAGCAGCTGGACACACAGCAGGTGGTCCTGCAGCACGTCGTAGGCTGGCAGCAAAGGGAGCAGCAGTGGGTCATGGCGTCAGGGGTGGAGGGTGCACTCCTGTTCAGAGGTGAGTTTCCTAGAGTTTGATAACGTTATTCAATCTGAACCTTTTATACATGGTACCCCAAAGTTTGGATTAATGAGCAGAACTTGTCTTTGATACTTCTCTAGTCTTTTGGGAAATGTCCCAAGGAGGAAGTTGTCTATTCAGTGCTGTGAATTTTCTTTGAGTAATTGATTTATTTGCTTTCTTAATTGACAAATAACCAGTCAGGACTATTTTCCTGAACTGAGAAATGAATCATTCTCCCTACCAATTAAGCACTGATCCTCATTTTTAAAGCTGAGTACAGTATTTGGTCATCTAACAGGTCCTATGTAGCTTAGTGAGATGTCAGGACAATTGTTAGTCACCATCTGTTTTTCCTTATTGCTATTTACTTTGGAAAGTACCTCTGAAGATAGGATGATGTTGAGTCATGGTGATGAGTTAAAAACCAAGTTTAGGGAGGGCTTGTGATGCCACCTGTAATGTAGAAGCTAGTATAAGATTTATCCTCCTGCTATAAACAATAATAAAAGCTTTGTAAATATATAAAACAACTGTTTGCAGATATTGGATGACAATCAGCTTTGGGTTATGATCCTTGAAGGAAGACACATGGGGTAAAAAAAGAAACACGTGGGTTTGTATGTTTTCAAAATTGCTGCTGCAGCACATCCTGCTGCCAGTCCACCTGCTGCAGCAGCTGCAGCTGTTATGGCCAAATGCCAGAAGAAATAGAGTCCACATAGAGAGCAGAGGAGAGATAGGCGTTAAAGGGGTTTATCACAATTCCTTCTCTCAGTCTGAAATGTGATTTTTGATGGTTAAGTTTTCTAAAGCTTTATCCAGTTAAAATTATCAGTCATTTCTTTTCGAATAATAATATTTTTGTCTTGGTCAGGAGGTATTTATCTACCTAAAAATAAAAAAAATCACATAAATCATCTAGTGAGGATTTAAGATTTTTTTTGACCTTCAAGATATTGATACACCTGGAATTGATTTTTTTCCTACATGATGAGTGATCAGAATCCAAGTTCATCTTTTCCATGTAAATACTTTTCCATGTAAATACTGGAAACAGCTTTGATTATGATTCCTTTGATTATGGAACATTTTCAGCTTTATTGCTGGATATGTTCTCATTTTCATCCAGAATATTATTTATTTGTGTCTTCTTTACATTTCTTGATCAATCTTGTCAATGGCTTATCATTTATTGGTATTTTTTTTGAAAAAGAAATTTTGGCTTTGTTCATCTTCTCTGTGATATCATTTTTAACTAGTTCATTGATTTACATTTTATGCTATTTTGGTTGTTTTCCTTTTTCTTATTCACTTAGGTGAACACTTAGTTCATTTATTTTTAGGTTTTATTCTTGTTTAATATTTAAATATTAAAGGCTATTTAAAGTGTGTACATTTTATCAAAGATCATTTTATAACACCCCACAAGTCTTGATATGTAATATTTTCATTATAATTGAGTTACACATTTTTTCCTTAACATTAGAGATTCTTCCATTTTGGTCTTCCAAGTCAGTATATCTTCTGCAGCTTATCTCACTTATTGTGTACTTTAATGACTATATGCTCTATTATTAATTTAGTATCAGATATTATGCCTGCTTGTGTCTCCTACCCCATTATACATGTTTGTTTTTATTAATTTTTCATTTTGAAATAATTTCATACTCATAGAAAATTGTAAACACAGTACAAAGGATTCCCATATGCCTTCACTTGGATTCCTCAAATGTTAACATTTTACCATGCTTCTTTAACATTATTTCTATACATATATGTGTTACTACTGTTGGTTTTTAAAAGTAAGTTGCAGATAGAATTTCCCTTTATCACTAAATACCACTTTATCCCTATGTACTTCAGTGTGTGTTTCTTGTCACAGCCCAATGATCAAAACCAAAATGTTAATGCCGTTGCAGGATAGTCTCTGGTTGGTTCTTATTCATGTTGTGTGTGTGTGTGTTTTTGTATTTGTCTATATTGGTAATAGCTTCCTTTATGTCTTTAAATGCATTTATTATGTTTAGTTAAAACCCAGTTGAAGATTTGCTGACTGGGAAGATGGAGTGGACATACTTTTCCATATTCTTTCTGCTAAGTACAACTAAAAATTCTGGATATTATATATAAAGCAAACACGAGAGGACTCTGAAAGGTGGAGTGAAGAAAGCAGCCAGGCTAGAAGCCTCAGGACTTAAGGAACAATAAGGTGGGGTTCTCTGGGTTTTCTTTGTGCTGCAAGTACCCCCCAGACTTGGAGCTTGAGAAGCCTGTAACTCTGAAACTCTAGTGGATGCACACACACACACACACACACACACACAGTTCCAATAAATGCTTCTCTCTACCTAAAGGGTCAGAAAAGAGGTGGCTTAGCAAGAAGAAAAACATTTAGATGGTATCTGCTGTGCTCCAGAAACAACTACAGCTTCACTGCCAATCACTCCAGTAAAAGCCGGGTGAGGAGATAGACTTCCATCCCTGAGAAGCTGTAATGAGTTTCCCTAACACCTCCCACTGAGTTAATGTCTGAGAAGGCCAAGTAGGGCTGTGAAACCCTAATCTCTGCCAGCCAGTAATGACCCCCGTCCCCAACAGACATAGACATAGAGTGCCAGTGTAGACCATGTGAAGGGCTGGAGTTCTCATCTCTGCTCAGCAGTAATGATGTGCTCCCCTACCTTGATTGTCAGCACAGGTTGAATAGGGGAACTAATCTACCTTCATGTGACAGTAATGAGGTAGCCCCTAGTCCCTTGCTAGAACAATGTCAGAGAAAGCCAGCCAAAACAAAAGATTACATAAGATCCAGAGTTTCATAACATAATACAAACAGGGCCAGATACTAATAAAAATCACTTAACATACAAAAACCAGGAGGATATGTAACTGGATGAAAAAAGACAATCAATAAATGCCAACGTTGAGATATCAGATATGTTAGAATTATCTGACAAAGAGTTTAAAGCAAGTCATGATAAAAATACATCAATGAAGCCAGGCGTGGTGGCTCATGCCTGTAATCCCAGCACTTTGGGAGGCCGAGGTGGGAGGATCTTGAGGTCAAGAGATTGAGACCATCCTGGACAACATGGTGAAACCCTCTCTCTACCAAAAACACAAAAATTATTTGGGTGTGGTGGCGGCCCCCTGTAGTCCCAACTACTCAGGAGGCTGAGGCAGGAGAATCGCTTGAACCAGGGAGTTGGAGGTTGCAGTGAGCCAAGATCGGGCCACTGCACTCCAGCCTGGTGACAAAGCAAGACTCCGTCTAAAAAAAAGAAAAGTCAATGAGCAAAACATAAAGTGTATGTTTAAAATATACTTTAAACAAATGAAAGAGTAGAAAGTGCCACAAATAAATAAAAGATACAATGATATATGTGAATTTTGGAACTCAAAAACCCAATAACCAAAATAAAAGGCTCAGTTGATGGCTCAACAGCAGAACGGAGGTAAAAAGAAAAGTATCAGTGAACTAGAAGATAGAACATTAGGAAATGTCCAATCCAAACAACAGAGAAAATACACTGGAAAAGCCTAAAAATTTAACAGAGCTTAAGGGACCTGTGGGACTAAAACAAATTATCTAATATTCATCTCACCAGAGTCCTAGAAGGAAAGATGAAAGAGGGCAGGGGTGAAAAAGTACTCAAAAACAATATAGTTGAAAATCTCCCCAATTAACCGAGAGACATAAACCTACAAATTCAAGAAGGTGAACAAATCCCAAACAGGATAAGCTCAAAGAAATTTGTGCCAACACACATAGTAGTTAAACTTCTGAAAAGTAAAGATAAAGAAAAAGTTGTAAATGCAACAAGAGAAAGAAAAACTTTATCTTTAGGGGAAAACAATTAAAACTACAGTGGATTTCTCATTATTTTTCAAGTGCTGACAGAAAAGAACTAAAATGAGTAGAAAATCAACAAAGATATGGAAGAACTCAAAAACACCATCAACCAACAGGATCTAATTAACGTTTATAGAACAGTCCATCCAACAATAGTAAAATACACATTCATTTCAAGTGTCCATGGAATATATTTCAAGATGGACCACATCTTGAGCCATAAAACAATCTCAACAAATTTATAAGAGTTGAAATCATAGAGTATGTTCTCCAACTGCAATGGACTCAAACTAGAAATTAATGACAGAAAGATAACTGGGGAATCTTCAAACACTTGGAAACTAAACAGCATACTTTTGAATAATCTCTAGGTCATCAAAGAATACTTAAGGGAAATTTTTTAAAAATGCATTGAAATGAATGAAAATGAAAATACAACATGTCAAAACTTGCGAGACACAATTAAAGCTGTGATGAGAGGGAAAGTCATAGCATTAAATGCATACATTTGAAAAGAGGAAAAGTCTCAATTAATTATCTAAGCTCCCACCTCAAGAACCTAGAAAAAGAGGAGAAAAATAAACTAAAAGCAAGCGCAAGGAAGGAAATAATAAATATAAAAGCAGAAATCAATGAAATTGAAAACAGAATAATAATGAAGAAAACAATGTGAAATAGTGAAACAAAGAGCTGGTTCTTTGAAAATATAAATGACAGTGAAAGATCGAATGCTTTCCCCTGAACTGGAAATACTAAATCTCACTGCTTACTCTACACAGTGCTCAAAGTTTTAACCAGCACAATAAGGCAAGAAAAAAAAATAAAGGAAAGGAAGAAATAAAACTGTCTCTGTTTGTAGGTAGCATGATTATCTACATAGAAAATCTCAAGGAATCTATGAATACAAACAAACAAATAAGCAAGCAAACTCTGAGAACTAATGAATGAGTTTTGAAAGATTGGAAGCTACAAGATAAACATACACAATCAGCTGTATTCTATATATTGGCAATGAATGCATGGACACAGAAATTGAAATAAATGTCATTTACAATCTCTCTAAAACATACTTAGGTGTAAATTTAAAAAACATGTACAGGGCTTACCACAGCAGGTTTTTAAAAAAGTAGATATCAATAAGATCTTCCAAAATGTATACAGAAAGACAAAAGAACTAGAATAGCTAAAACAATTTCAAAGAATGAAGTGGATGGAATCAGTCTATTTAATTTCAAGATTTATGATGTAGCTACAGTAATCAAGGCTGTGTGGTATTGGAGGAGGAATGGACAGCTGAATGAACGGATTAAAACAAAGAACCTAGAAATAGACCTACACAAATACAGTTGATAGGTTTGAAGTGCACAGGTCCACTTATATGTGGATTTTCTTCTGCCTCTGCCACTAATGAGATGGCAAGACTAACCCCTCCTCTTCCTCCTCCTCTTCAGCTTACTCGACATGAAGACAACCAGGATGAACATCTTTATGGTGATCCACTTCCACTTAATGAACAGTAAATATATTTTCTATTTCTTATGATTTTCTTAATAGCATTTTCTTTTCTTCAGCTTGCTTTATTATAAAAATGCAATATATAATACATATAACATACAAAATATGTGTTAATTGACTGCTTATTTTATTGATAAGTCTTCCAGTCAACAGTAGAATATATGTAGTTAAGTTTTGGGGGAGTCAAATGTTATATGCATATTTTTAGCTGTGTGGAGGTTTGCTGCTCCTAACCCTTGCATTGTTTAAGGATTGGCTGTATCCCTAGCCAATTTTTGATAGAGGTACACCAACAATTCAATAGAGGAATGCTATCCCTTTAAACAAATTGTTCTAGAGCAATTAGACATCTAGAGGAAAAAAACCCCTAAAAATTAACTCGAATAAATTACAAGAGGAGGAGCCAAGATGGCCGAATAGGAACAGCTCTGGTCTACAGCTCCCAGCGTGAGCGACGCAGAAGACAGGTGATTTCTGCATTTCCATCTGAGGTACTGGGTTCATCTCACTAGGGAGTGCCAGACAGTGGGCGCAGGTCAGTGGGTGCGCGCACAGTGCACAAGCCGAAGTAGGGCGAGGCATTGCCTCACTTGGGAAGTGCAAGGGGTCAGGGAGTTCCCTTTCCGAGTCAAAGAAAGGGGTGACGGATGCACCTGGAAAATCGGGTCACTCCCACCCGAATATTGCACTTTTCAGACCGGCTTAAAAAACGGCGCACCACTAGATTATATCCCGCACCTGGCTTGGAGGGTCCTACGCCCACAGAGTCTCGCTGATTGCTAGCACAGCAGTCTGAGATCAAACTGCAAGGCGGCAGCGAGGCTGGGGGAGGGGCGCCCGCCATTGCCCAGGCTTGCTTAGGTAAACAAAGCAGCCGGGAAGCTCGAACTGGGTGGAGCCCACCACAGCTTAAGGAGGCCTGCCTGCCTCTGTAGGCTCCACCTCTGGGGGCAGGGCACAGACAAACAAAAAGACAGCAGTAACCTCTGCAGACTTAAATGTCCCTGTCTGACAGCTTTGAAGAGAGCAGTGGTTCTCCCAGCACACAGCTGGAGATCAGAGAACGGGCAGACTGCCTCCTCAAGTGGGTCCCTGACCCCTGACCCCCGAGCAGCCTAACTGGGAGGCACCCCCCAGCAGGGGCACACTGACACCTCACACGGCAGGGTATTCCAACAGACCTGCAGCTGAGGGTCCTGTCTGTTAGAAGGAAAACTAACAAACAGAAAAGACATCCACACCAAAAACCCATCTGTACATCATCATCATCAAAGACCAAAAGTAGATAAAACCACAAAGATGGGAAAAAAACAGAACAGAAAAACTGGAAACTCTAAAATGCAGAGCGCCTCTCCTCCTCCAAAGGAATGCAGTTCCTCACCAGCAACGGAACAAAGCTGGATGGAGAATGACTTTGACGAGCTGAGAGAAGAAGGCTTCAGACGATCAAATTACTCTGAGCTATGGGAGGACATTCAAACCAAAGGCAAAGAAGTTGAAAACTTTGAAAAAAATTTAGAAGAATGTATAACTAGAATAACCAATACAGAGAAGTGCTTAAAGGAGCTGATGGAGCTGAAAACCAAGGCTCGAGAACTACGTGAAGAATGCAGAAGCCTCAGGAGCCGATGCGATCAACTGGAAGAAAGGGTATCAGCGATGGAAGATGAAATGAATGAAATGAAGCGAGAAGGGAAGTTTAGGGAAAAAAGAATAAGAAGAAATGAGCAAAGCCTCCAAGAAATATGGGACTATGTGAAAAGACCAAATCTACGTCTGATTGGTGTACCTGAAAGTGATGGGGAGAATGGAACCAAGTTGGAAAACACTTTGCAGGATATTATCCAGGAGAACTTCCCCAATCTAACAAGGCAGGCCAACGTTCAGATTCAGGAAATACAGAGAACGCCACAAAGATACTCCTCGAGAAGAGCAACTCCAAGACACATAATTGTCAGATTCACCAAAGTTGAAATGAAGGAAAAAATGTTAAGGGCAGCCAGAGAGAAAGGTCGTGTTACCCTCAAAGGGAAGCCCATCAGACTAACAGCAGATCTCTCGGCAGAAACCCTACAAGCCAGAAGAGAGTAGGGGCCAATATTCAACATTCTTAAAGAAAAGAATTTTCAACCCAGAATTTCATATCCAGCCAAACTAAGCTTCATAAGTGAAGGAGAAATAAAATACTTTACAGACAAGCAAATGCTGAGAGATTTTGTCACCACCAGGCCTGCCCTAAAAGAGCTCCTGAAGGAAGCACTAAACATGGAAAGGAACAACTGGTACCAGCTGCTGCAAAATCATGCCAAAATGTAAAGACCATCGAGACTAGGAAGAAACTGCATCAACTAACGAGCAAAATCACCAGCTAACATCATAATGACAGGATCAAATTCACACATAACAATATTAACTTTAAATGTAAATGGACTAAATGCTCCAATTAAAAGACACAGACTGGCAAATTGGATAAAGAGTCAAGACCCATCAGTGTGCTGTATTCAGGAAACCCATCTCACGTGCAGAGACACACATAGGCTCAAAATAAAAGGATGGAGGAATATCTACCAAGCAAATGGAAAACAAAAAAAGGCAGGGGTTGCAATCCTAGTCTCTGATAAAACAGACTTTAAACCAACAAAGATCAAAAGAGACAAAGAAGGCCATTACATAATGGCAAAGGGATCAATTCAACAAGAAGAGCTAACTATCCTAAATATATATGCACCCAATACAGGAGCACCCAGATTCATAAAGCAAGTCCTGAGTGACCTACAAAGAGACTTAGACTCCCACACATTAATAATGGGAGACTTTAACACCCCACTGTCAACATTAGACAGATCAACGAGACAGAAAGTCAACAAGGATACCCAGGAATTGAACTCAGCTCTGCACCAAGCGGACCTAATAGACATCTACAGAACTCTCCACCCCAAATCAACAGAATATACATTTTTTTCAGCACCACACCACACCTATTCCAAAATTGACCACATAGTTGGAAGTAAAGCTCTCCTCAGCAAATGTAAAAGAACAGAAATTATAACAAACTATCTCTCAGACCACAGTGCAATCAAACTAGAACTCAGGATTAAGAATCTCACTCAAAACCGCTCAACTACATGGAAACTGAACAACCTGCTCCTGAATGACTACTGGATACATAACGAAATGAAGGCAGAAATAAAGATGTTTTTTGAAACCAACGAGAACAAAGACACAACATACCAGAATCTCTGGGACGCATTCAAAGCAGTGTGTAGAGGGAAATTTATAGCACTAAATGCCCACAAGAGAAAGCAGGAAAGATCCAAAATTGACACCCTAACATCACAATTAAAAGAACTAGAAAAGCAAGAGCAAACACATTCAAAAGCTAGCAGAAGGCAAGAAATAACTAAAATCAGAGCAGAACTGAAGGAAATAGAGACACACAAAACCCTTCAAAAAATTAATGAATCCAGGAGCTGGTTTTTTGAAAGGATCAACAAAATTGGTAGACCACTAGCAAGACTAATAAAGAAAAAAAGAGAGAAGAATCAAATAGACACCATAAAAAATGATAAAGGGGATATCACCACTGATCCCACAGAAATACAAACTACCATCAGAGAATACTACAAACACCTCTACGCAAATAAACTAGAAAATCTAGAAGAAATGGATAAATTCCTTGACACATACACTCTCCCAAGACTAAACCAGGAAGAAGTTGAATCTCTGAATAGACCAATAACAGGAGCTGAAATTGTGGCAATAATCAATAGTTTACCAACCAAAAAGAGTCCAGGACCAGATGGATTCACAGCCGAATTCTATCAGAGGTACAAGGAGGAACTGGTACCATTCCTTCTGAAACTATTCCAATCAATAGAAAAAGAGGGAATCCTCGCTAACTCATTTTATGAGGCCAGCATCATTCTGATACCAAAGCCAGGCAGAGACACAACCAAAAAAGAGAATTTTAGACCAATATCCTTGATGAACATTGATGCAAAAATCCTCAATAAAATACTGGCAAAACGAATCCAGCAGCACATCAAAAAGCTTATCCACCATGATCAAGTGGGCTTCATCCCTGGGATGCAAGGCTGGTTCAATATACACAAATCAATAAATGTAATCCAGCATATAAACAGAGCCAAAGACAAAAACCACATGATTATCTCAATAGATGCAGAAAAAGCCTTTGACAAAATTCAACAACCCTTCATGCTAAAAACTCTCAATAAATTAGGTATTGATAGGCCGTATTTCAAAATAATAAGAGCTATCTATGACAAACCCACAGCCAATATCATACTGAATGGGCAAAAACTGGAAGTATTCCCTTTGAAAACTGGCACAAGACAGGGATGCCCTCTCTCACCACTCCTATTCAACATAGTGTTGGAAGTTCTGGCCAGGGCAATTAGGCAGGAGAAGGAAAGAAAGGGTATTCAATTAGGAAAAGAGGAAGTCAAATTGTCCCTCTTTGCAGACGACATGATTGTACATCTAGAAAACCCCATTGTCTCAGCCCAAAATCTCCTTAAGCTGATAAGCAACTTCAGCAAAGTCTCAGGATAAAAAATCAATGTACAAAAATCACAAGCATTCTTATACACCAATAACAGACAAACAGAGAGCCAAATCATGAGTGAACTCCCATTCACAATTGCTTCAAAGAGAATAAAATACCTAGGAATCCAACTTACAAGGGATGTGAAGGACCTCTTCAAGGAGAACTACAAACCACTGCTCAAGGAAATAAAAGAGGATACAAACAAATGGAAGAATATTCCATGCTCATGGGTAGGAAGAATCAATATCGTGAAAATGGCCATACTGCCCAAGGTAGTTTACAGATTCAATGCCATCCCCATCAAGCTACCAATGACTTTCTTCACAGAATTGGAAAAAACTACTTTAAAGTTCATATGGAACCAAAAAAGAGCCCGCATTGCCAAGGCAATCCTAAGCCAAAAGAACAAAGCTGGAGGCATCACACTACCTGACTTCAAACTATACTACAAGTCTACAGTAACCAAAACAGCATGGTACTGGTACCAAAACAGAGATATAGATCAATGGAACAGAACAGAGCCCTCAGAAATAACGCCGCATATCTACAACTATCTGATCTTTGACAAACCTGAGAAAAACAAGCAATGGGGGAAGGATTCCCTATTTAATAAATGGTGCTGGGAAAACTGGCTAGCCATATGTAGAAAGCTGAAACTGGATCCCTTCCTTACACCTTATACAAAAATCAATTCAAGATGGATTAAAGACTTAAACGTTAGACCTAAAACCTAAAAACCCTAGAAGAAAACCTAGGCATCACCATTCAGGACATAGTCATGGGCAAGGGCTTCATGTCCAAAACACCAAAAGCAATGGCAACAAAAGCCAAAATTGACAAATGGGATCTAATTAAACTAAAGAGCTTCTGCACAGCAAAAGAAACTACCATCAGAGTGAACAGGCAACCTACAAAATGGGAGAAAATTTTCGCAACCTACTCATCTGACAAAGGGCTAATATCCAGAATCTACAATGAACTCAAACAAATTTACAAGAAAAAAACAAACAACCCCATCAAAAAGTGGGCGAAGGACATGAACAGACACTTCTCAAAAGAAGACATGTATGCAGCCAAAAGACACATGAAAAAATGCTCATCATCACTGGCCATCAGAGAAATGCAAATCAAAACCACAATGAGATACCATCTCACACCAGTTAGAATGGCAATCATTAAAAAGTCAGGAAACAACAGGTACTGGAGAGGATGTGGAGAAATAGGAACACTTTTACACTGTTGGTGGGACTGTAAACTAGTTCAACCATTGTGGAAGTCAGTGTGGCGATTCCTCAGGGATCTAGAACTAGAAATACCATTTGACCCAGCCATCCCATTACTGGGTATATACCCAAAGGACTATAAATCATACTGCTATAAAGACACATGCACACGTATGTTTATTGCGGCATTATTCACAATAGCAAAGACTTGGAACCAACCCAAATGTCCATCAACGATAGACTGGATTAAGAAAATGTGGCACATATACACCATGGAATACTATGCAGCCATAAAAAATGATGAATTCATGTCCTTTGTAGGGACATGGATGAAATTGGAAATCATCATTCTCGGTAAACTATTGCAAGAACAAAAAACCAAACACCGCATGTTCTCACTCATAGGTGGGAATTGAACAATGAGATCACATGGACACAGGAAGGGGAATATCACACTCTGGGGACTGTGGTGGGGTCGGGGGAGTGGGGAGGGATAGCATTAGGAGATATACCTAATGCTAGATGACGAGTTAGTGGGTGCAGTGCACCAGCATGGCACATGTATAGATATGTAACTAACCTGCACAATGTGCACATGTACCCTAAAACTTAAAGTATAATAAAAAAAGAAAGAAAACAAAACAAAACAAACAAAAAAGAATCAAAAAAATAAATTACAAACTTAAATATAAAATATAAAACTATAAAACTTTTAGAAAAAAATGGAAGAAAATCTTTAGCATGTAAGACCAAAGAGTTCTTAGGTAGCACCAAAAACATGATCCATTAAAGAGAAATTAATAAATTGATTAAAAAAATTATGTTCTGCAAAAGAACAGAGGAGAAAAAGACAAGCTGTGAACTATACATGATATATATTTGCAAATCACATATTTGACAAAGGAGTAGTACCTAGAATGTATAAAGAACTTTAAAAACTGAACAATTAGAAAGCAAACACTAAAAGTACAGCATGGGCAAAAGACATGAAGAAATATTTCATGGAAAAAGATATACAGATGACAAATAAGCATGTGAAAAGATGTTCAACATCATTAGCCATTAGGGAAATGCAAACTAAAACCACGAAAAGTTAGCACACCTATCAAAATGGCTAAAATAAATGCTGGTGAGTGTTCAAAGAAACAGAATCAGTCATACATGTAAAATGGTACAGACACTCTGCAAACAGTTGATGCTGTTGCTTAAAAATTAAACATGCTGGCCGGGCACAGTGGCTCATGCCTGTAATCCCAGCACTTTGGGAGGCTGAGGCGGATGGATTGCCTGAGGTCAGGAGTTTGAGACCAGCTTGGCCAACATGGTAAATCCCTGTCTCTACTAAAAATACAAAAAGTTAGTGGGCGTGGTGGCGCATGTCTGTAATCCCAGCAACTCGGGAGGCTGAGGCAGGAGAATCGTTAGAACCCAGGAGGCGGAGGTTGCAGTGAGCCGAGACAGTGCCACTGCACTCCAGCCTAGGTGACAGAGCAAGACTCTGTAAAAAAAAAAAAAAAAAAAAATTAAACATGTAACTACCATACAACTCAGTAATTGTACTTGTTCACACAAATGTTTGTACATGAATGTTTATGGCTGCTTTGAACTGGAAGCGACCCAGATGTCCTTCAACACATGATCAAACAAACTGTGGTACATACATACCAGAGGGTAATTCTTAGTGACAAAAAGGAAAAACTGTTCAACAATCTGTTTAAATTTTCACGGAATTATGCTGTGTTGAAAAAACCAGTCTCAAAATGTTAAGCACTGTATGATTCTTTTTATACAACATCCTTGAAATGACAGAATTATACAAATGAAGAACAGATTGGTGGTTGCCAGGTATAAAGAAAGGAGTGGGTGTGGGAGGCAGGTGAGTGTGGCTATAAAAGAACAATCAAAAGAGATCATTGCAGTGACAGAAATGTGTTGTACATTGGCTATGTCAATATCAATATCATATGCTGTTGGTGATGTTTTTCTATAGTTTTGGAGGATGTTATTTTTTGGGGAAACTGGGCAAAGAGTACATGGATCTCTTGTATCACATCTTACAATGGCATGCCAATCTCTATTCTTTAAAAATAAAAATTTTAATTAGAAATTTAATTTAACAAAGGAAGAAACAGGTTTTTGTGTGTGTGTTAGTGGTGTTTTTTTTTTTTTTTTGACGGAGTCTCACTGTTGCCCAGGCTGGAGTGCAGTGGTGCGATCTCAGCTCACTACAACCTCCATCTTCCTGGTTCAAGGAATTCCCATGTCTCAGCCTCCCAGGTAGTTGGGATTACAGGCACACGCCACTACGCGCAGCTAATTTTTTTCTATTTTTAGTAGAGATGGGATTTCATCATGTTGGCCAGGCTGGTCTCGAACTCCTGACCTCAGGCAGTCCACCTGCCTCAGCCTCCCAAAGTGCTGGGATTACAGGCGTGAGCCACCATGCCCCGATGAAACAGTTTTAAGAAGCATTTTATCTTTAAAAGGTAGAAGAACATGGGTTTTGGAGATCGGTCAAACATCTGACCACTTCCACTGTTACCACGAGATCATTCATCAGACAGAGCTGAGCAGCTTTTTTTTTAAAAAAAAAATTTACTTCCATAAGTTTTTGGGGAACAGGTGGTATTTGGTTACATGAGTATGTTCTTTAGTGGTGATTTGTGAGATTCTGGTGCACCCATCACCCGAGTAGTGTATGCTGAACCCAATTTGTAGTCTTTTATCCATCACCCCTTCCATCTTTTCCCCTGAGTCCCCAAAGTCCATTGTATCATTCTTATGCCTTTGCATCCTCATAGCTAGCTCCCACTTACAAGATTTCAGGTTCGGTTTTCCATTCCTGAATTACTTCTCTTAGAATAATAGTCTCCAATTCCATCCAGATTGCTGTGTCATTAATTCATTCCTTTCTATGGCTGAGTAGTATTCCATCATATATACAACCATTTCTTTTTCCACTCATTGATTGATGGGCATTTGGGCTGGTTTCATATTTTTTGCAATTGCGAATTGTGCTGTTATAAACATGCACGTGCAAGTATCTTTTTCGTATAATGACTTCTTTTCCTCTGGGTAGATATCCAGTTTTGGGATTGCTGGATCAAATGGTAGTTCTACTTTTAGTTCTTTAAGGAATCTCCACACTATTTTCCACAGTGGTTGTACCAGTTTACATTCCCAGCATGAGCAGCTTTTTAAATTAAAAAAAAAAAAACTAACTTCTTGGTGAATCTGGATTCATAATATCTGTACTCCATTCTGAGGGGACTTCAGATGTTGGCATGATTTTACTCCAGTATGTGTTTTAAAAAGAAAAGGAAGGACACTCCCTAAATCCAATCCCTAGAAGTTCTATCAACATCCTCTCAAGCCTTTATATCATTTATTTATACTTATATCAAGTACTCTCAAGCTTTTATATTAATTAGACAGGTACAGTAGAAAGCTTTTAGGTTGGGTAGATTCTGATATCGATTTTCAGAAGATTCCAATATTCTTATCTAAGCTGAAAGAAGGTATTGAAACATCATACAAATACCGTGGGAATCTCTCAGAACAACTTACATAATACAGTGTTATCAGTCTTCAAAATTTCTATAATTTCATATAATATCAGTATTATCAGTCTTCAAAATTTCTATAATTTCATGAAGTTCTTAATATCTTAGAAACAAATCTACACTTGTTAACCTCAGTGGGAATCATTATACATGTTCCTCTGATTCTTTTTCCATTTTTCCACATTTTACACATGAGCAAACTCTGAACATAACAAACCTCACAATTCTCCAGTGAGTCAATCTGATGTTGATAGGACTTCCAATATTGGCAGTTCTGGGGGCTCTCTCACACTTCTTAAACTATCAATGTTATAGCTGGGATTGGAATTAGGGAGTGTCATTCCTTTTCTTTTTAAAACACATACTGGAGTAAAATCATGCCAACATCTGCCATCTAGGGGGAATTCTGAATGGAGGTTCTCCAGTGGAAAAATAGGGAAGTTTTGTTACATACATTGTACACTGGACAGAGCTAAAGAAAATGAAAAACCATTTCGTGAAAGCATTACTTGGTCTTGTCCATAATAATATTATATTTTAATAGAGGACTGAAGTGTGGAATTGTCTTTTATGTTTAATGGCAGTCATAGGAAAAATTGCAGTAGGATGTGCATAAACCATCAGAACTCACTGAGGGATCCCAGGGGAAGGAGTGTGATGGGGGAATCACACAAACAGGTGTATGATGTCATGTTACTGTCTAATGATAACAAAGAGCCCATGCCAGTTTCTGAAGACAGACCTGCATGGCTGCAGCTTATATTTTTATTTGGAAGAAAGAGAAAGTGGACAAAATCCGGAGTTGCCTAAAATATAATTTGTATGCTATGGCCTGAAACTTCATAAATGATCCATAAATATGATGGCAAAAGTAAACAAAATTAAAAATGTTTTGTAGGTCTTTATGAGGCAAAGGCATAAATGAGGTTGTATCAGAAGTTGGGGAACATGGGAGGGGCTGCTTCAAGACCTGCAGAAATTACTGTAAGTTGATTGAAGATGGTTTTAAAAAGAACCTGGGACTTATAAATGGGGGTGGAGGTTTGGTGAGCCATGGCAGCTTAGAGAAAAGAGAGAGTCTGAGACAAATTCAGAAGTGCTGGTTACGACACATTGCATGGGGGAGGGAGAGCCACCCAAGGCACTTGAATTTTCCAGAGTGCCTGGCAAAATCTGTTTTAGAACAAATGCATTAGATGCCATTCCGTATTATTAGAACTTCTAGAATATTAGAATGTTCTAAATATTTGCTGAGAAAATAAGCTTTTAGGGCAATACAAGGGATCCTTGTGCTGATGGAGCTACTCTGTGTCTTGAAGGTATCAATGTCACCATTGGACTTGTGATACCGTACTGTAGTTTTGCAAGAAGTTATCATTGGGGGGAAACTTGGTAAAGAGTACAGAGGTTTCTTTGTATTATTTCTTGCAACTGCATGTGAATCTACAATTATCTCAAAAAGTTTAATTATAAAAAAGAAAATAACCTTTGGTTATAATTTCACTTTTCATGCAGGTATATCTATAGGAAGAAAATATCCTGGTCAAAAAGACCCATGAAAATGTCATCTTCTCTTTAAGTTATTTCTCATGTAGATTCTTCAACTGGTACTAATGTTATGGGCTTGGTGAAAGTGAGCCTGCTCCCAGAGGTGGTTTCACTCTTAGAATGTAAATAATTTCGGTTTCTGGAGTGTGCAAGGCTGAAGGCCAGATACTGGTACGTTTTTCAAGGTAGTATTTACTACCCTGGAAGACAGCCTTCCTGTTTCCTCCAAAGGATGCCTAATAAGTATGTATGGCACTTTGTGTTTCTTTTTAAATTTTACATATTTTACATATTTTGTTGCTTATGGACTTCAAAAATCAGCGAATGGTCAATTTTGAATCCAACAAAAACATTTGGGAACTTTTGAAGTATCTCAAGAACTGAAGTGACCTCTGAAGTCCAATAATAATAACCAATTACCAGACACTGCGAATCCTTGGCACAATGTTCTAATGATTGTCCAGCCAACGCTTGCATCCCAATAGTGTTTAGAATTCACATTGCCAGAATAATTTTTGCATTAGCTCCTTCCACTCTAGGCCTCTGGCAATTTTTCCTCATTGGGATCATTTGCAAATGGAATGAACCGAAAGGAATTCCTGTGAGGTTCCTACTCTTACTAGCCATCTTTTCTCCCAGTGCTTCGTCCCAAAAAAATCACCTTAAATTTCTTCTAAGCTCTGGCATCTGCCTTCTTACTGAACAGATGACATTCTTACCAGGCGTATTTCTTCTCCCCAGCCTTTGCAGACTTTAAGATGCTCACTGTTTCCCAAGGTCTTCATCACTGACTTTATTTCTTTATTTTTTTTCACTTTTATTTTAAGTTCAAGGGTACATGTGCAGGACTTTTTTTTTTTTTTCAGATGGAGTTTAGATCTTGTTGCCCAGGCTGGAGCACAATGGTGCGATCTCAGCTCACTGCAACCTCCGCCTCCTGGGTTCAAGCCATTCTCCTGCCTCAGCCTCCCAAGCAGCTGGGATTACAGGCATGCGCCACCACACCCGGCTAATTTTGTATTTTCAGTAGAGACAGGGTTTCTCTATGTTGGTCAGGCTGGTCTCGAACTCCTGACCTCAGGTGATCCACTCACCTCGGCCTCCCAAAGTTTTGGGATTACAGGCGTGAGCCACCACGCCCGGCTGCAGGTTTGTTATATAGGTAAACTGCATGTTGCAGGGTTTGGTGTACAGATTATTTTGTCACCCAGGTAATCAGCATAGTACCTGACAGGCAGTTTTTCAATCCTCACCCCCCTCCCACCCTCCACCCTTAAGTAGACACAGGTATCTCTGTTGTCCCTATCTTTGTGTCCATATTTACTCAATTTTTAGCTCCTACTTATAAGTGGAGATAATAAGCAGTATTTAATTTTCTGTTCCGGTGTTAGTTTGCTTAGGATAATGGCCTCCAGCTCCATCTATGTTGCTGCAAAGGGCATGATCTCATTCTTTTTTTATGCCTGTGTAGTATTCCATGGCATACATATACCACATTTTCTTTATCTAGTCTACCATTGATAAGCATTTAGGTTGATTCCATGTCTTTGCTATTGTGAAGACCATCACTGACCTTATTAACCACAACTTCTGCTTTGTTAGAATTGAGTTCACAGAACTTTTGCTGGATATTCACAATCTTACCTATTCTATTTTTTTCCCCATTTCATCTCAACTTTATTTTTTTCATTTTAACTTTTAACTGAAAGTTTTTGGGCAAAAATCTACATAGCCATGATATGATGCAATGTGTTTTGGATATCAGTTTACTTTTTTTAAAATTGTACTTTAATTTCTGGGATACATGTGCAGAACATGCAGGTTTATTACATAGGTATACATGTGTCATGGTGGTTTGCTGCACCTATCAACCCGTAATCTAGGTTTTAAGCCTGGCATGCATTAGCTATTTGTCCTAATACTCTCCCTCTTCTTGCCCTCCTCCCTAGACAGGCTCTGGTGTATGTTGTTCCCCTCCCTGTGTCCATGTGTTCTCATTGTTCAACTCCCACTTATGAGTGAGAACATGTGGTGTTTGGTTTTCTGTTCCTGTGCCAATTTGCTGAGGATGATGGCTTCCAGCTTCATCCATGTCCCTGCAAATGACATGATCTCAATCTTTTTTATGGCTGCATAGTATTCCATGGTGTATATGTGCCACATTTTCTTTACCCAGTCTATCATTGATGAGCATTTGGGTTTGTTCCAAGTCTTCACTATTGTAAATAGTGTTGCAATAAACATACGTGTGCATGTGTCTTTATAGCAGAATGATTTATATTCCTTTGGGTATATACCCAGAAATGGGATTGCCGAGTGAAATGGTATTTCTGGTTCTAGATCCTTGAGGAATCGCCACACTGCCTTCCATAATGGTTGAACTATTTTACATTCCCACCAACAGTGTAATAGCGTTCCCATTTCTCCATACCTCACCAGCATCTATTGTTTCTTAACTTTCTAATGATCGCCATTCAGAGTGACATGAGATGGTATCTCATTGTGGTTTTGATTTGCATTATCTAATGATCAGTGATGTTGAGCTGTTTTTCATATGTTTATTGGCTGCATAAATGTCTTTTTTTGAGAAGTGTCTGTTCATATCCTTTGCCCACTTTTTGAGGGAGTTATGTATTCATCTAAGAAATCTTCACCTAATCTACAGTCCTAAAACTTTTTTCTATGTTTCCTTCTAAAAGTTTTGTAGTTTTAGGTTTTACACTTTGGCCTGTGATCCATTTTGAGCTTATTTTTGTATATATGTAATGTATAAATCAAAGTTCTATTTTTTTTTCTTTTTGCTCATGGATGTTTAATTGTTCCAGCACTGTTTATTCAAAAGACCACAGATTATCTGTATATCCACTTGGCATCTTGTCAAAAAATCAATTGATAATATATATGTGAATCTCTTTCTTGTCTCTCAATATTTTCCATTGATCTATATCTCTCATTTCACCAGTACTTCCCCCAAACAGCTTTGTTTTGGAAAGCAGAAAAATGTTGTATCATTTATGCAACACATATGAGTTGCTTTAACTTCTTCAACACTGACTTCCTCAGCTTGAACATGGGGCCACTAATACTTACCTTTGGGATTGCCTGGGAATGAGACAGAGGGCGCATGGAGCAACTACCTCAATACCTAGTGTATAGCAGGCTCTCAGTAAATGTCAGCAAATTACCCATTCATTCCCCCTGTTGGAAAGTTAATAACCCGGCAGAGAATTCCAGATACATCCCCTAGGAAGATGACATGTCTCTGTCACATCTAGTAGTTCGCTCACCCAAAGCACCTTCAGGTCTCTTAAGAAGGTGGCCACAGTTGTGGGGTGGGGGGAGCGGGTAGAGATAGCATTAGGAGATATACCTAATGTAAATGATGAGTTAATCGGTGCAGCAAACCAACATGGCACATGTATACATATGTAACAAACCTGCACGATGTGCACATGTACCCTAGAACTTACAGTATAATAAAAAAATATAAAAATATATAAATTAAAATTAAAAAATAATAATAATAATTAAAAAGAAGGTGGCCACAGTCAAAACCTCTTAGTGTCCTCCCAAAGCTGAATTAGCCTTCGTACTGCTGCGTCCTCTGGCTATTCCTTTCCTTATTCAGTTTCTCATCAGAAGATCCAGTTTCCTCCATTTAGGAACCAACTTAATGCCCATCTTGGCTTTAAATAGTGCATCATTTGTTCCCATTTTCATGTTTCTAACATTTCTCCCTTTTTTTCTGAAAATTCTGATTTTGACTTCCTTTAGCATAATTGACTTTATCTTCTTTATCTCATAAAACACAGGGAGTTATTTTGTTTTCTTTTATGGCCCAGAGATTATGATTAGATCAAAGGGCATAAGTCCATTGCATGGTTACCTTAATTCTTAGGATTCTGTACAAATTTATCTTCCCTTAACAAAGTTCATGTTAGGAAACAAAATTGCCTCAAAATTTGGGAACCCAGGAAGCATGGTCCAATCTTGTGCGCTTTGCAAAAGTGATTCTTAATCCTAATTCCTGTTAAAATAAATGAAATGATACCCAGATGCTTAATCATGACAGCAAAGAGGAGGTTCTTCGTGGTGAGAGTAGGGCCGGGAAAACCCATGTCACACTAGTTGTTGGTGACAGATTCTTCAGTGGTGGATCAGAATCCAGAGACACAAAGCTCTTTTCATGGACTAGAACACTTTTTAAAAAGTTTTATTTATTTTTATTTTTTATTTTACTCTAAGTTCTGGGTTACACGTGCAGAATGTGCAGGTTTGTTACATAGGTATACATGTACCATGGTGGTTTGCTGCACCTAACAACCTGTCATCTAGGTTTTAAGCCCCGCATGCATTAGGTATTTGTCTCAATGCTCTCCCTCCCCTTGCCCCCCATCCCCCGACAGGCCCTGGTGTGTGATGGTCCCCTTCCTGTGTCCATGTATTCTCACAGTTCAACTCCCACTTATAAGCGAGAACATGCAGTGTTTTGTTTTTCTGTTTCTATGTTAGTTTGCTGAAATGATGGCTTCCAGCTTCATCCATGTCTCTGCAAAGGACATAATCTCAATCTTTTTATGGCTGCATAGTATTCCATGGTGTATATGTGACACATTTTCTTTATCCAGTCTATCACTGACAGACATTTAGGTTGGTTCCAAGTCTTTGCTATTGTAAATAATGCTGCAATAAACATACATGTGCAGGTGTCTTTATAGTAGAATGATTTATAATCCTTTGGGTATATACCCAGTAATGGGATTGCTTGGTCAAATGGCATTTCTGGTTCTAGATCCTTGAGGAATAGCCACACTGTTGTCCACAATGGTTGAACTAATTCACACTCCCACCAAGAGTGTAAAAGCATTCCTAGAACTCTTAAAGATGGTCTCTAGTGGTCATAGAGGTGGGGAGAGTATTTGGGAAGTGCTTTGTAGATAGAAAAGTGTTTGCTTGAGATGTGACTTAAAATGTACATCTTCCCTGCACTCAATCACCACTGTTGCATCTACCCGGAGAAAAATGTTTTTAAAAAAGTGTCCTTAACCTGGATTCAAAGTACCTGGTCATTGAACCTTCCCTTGTCAATTGCTAGTTGTATGGCAAATCATTTTCTCATCACTAAAATGTTTGCTCTGTCCAACTTGTAGGTCATTGTGAGACTTGAACAAGATAATAAATATAAACCACAACTCAAAAGTAAGGCTTCACAAAGCAACTGCTGCAAACAAACAAACAAATGGAACAAAAATCATACCATAGGATGCAGGATAATATAAATTTTATTAGGAAAGACCAGGTAGGGAGACAATTAAAAGTGATCATGAAAGAGTTTAGTAATCTGGCAGAGGCTACTAAATAAAATGTATATATCTAAAAAGATGATCAGTATTGATCATTATAGAGAGTTAGATATGCAGTCTTAAGAATTTTTTTTTAAGTTCCATAGGGGCAAAAGCTGATGACCACTTTCTGTGGCTGAGTCCATGTATCCATGTCAATTAGGTGGAGTTGACTGACCACCATCTGGTACATTAACACAGAGGGAATGAAGAAGAATGAAAGTGAGGTAGACTGCAAACCTTCAGCAGAATCCCAAGCATGGTAGGAAGAAGATGATCACAAAGTTCAGTGTCAGAATGTTGTTTCTCAGAAAAGCTTAGCGAATGTTTCTTGGTGGAATAGGAACTTTGACAAAATGTTTCAGGAAATATGTCTCTGGTGGGTGGTGGGTCTGCAGCAAGTGGATTAGCAGCAGGAAGGCTGGCAGCAGCTGGAGACACAGCAAGGACTGCAGCAACAGCTGGGGCGGCAACAGGTGGTCCTGTAGCAGGTGGTCTGGCAGCAGGTGGGACGGCAGCAAGGCAGACAATAGCTGGACTCATTGCAGGTTTGGCTACAGCAGCTGGACCCACCACAGGTTGGCTGGCAACAGGGTGTGCTGCAGCATCTGGTCACACAGGATGGTTGGCAGCAGGTGGATCTACAAATGGTTTGACAGCATGTTGGGTGGCAGCAAGGCTGGCAGCAGCTGGACCCACAGCTAGGCTGGCAGCAGCTGGACCCACAGCAGGTGGGCTGGCAAGAGGTGTTCCTGCAGCAGGTGGGCTGGCAGCAGGTAGGCTGGCAGCAGGTGGTCCTGAAGCAGGTAGTTTGATAGCAAGTCGGGTGACAGCAAGGCTGACAGCAACTGGACCCACAAATAGGCTGACAGCAGCTGGACCCACAGCTGGTTTGGCCACAGCAGCTGGACCCACAGCAGGTGGGCTGGCAGCAGGGTGTGCTGCAGCAGGAAGGCTGGCAGCAGCTGGCCACACAAGTGGGCTGGCAGCAGGTGGTCCTGCAGCAGGTGTTTTGACAGCAAGTTGGGTGGCAGCAAGGCTGGCAGCAGCTGGGCACACAGCAGGAGGGCTGGCAACAGGGTGTGCTGCTGCAGGTGGTCACAGTGGTGGGCTTCCAGCAGGTTGTCCTGCAGCAGGTGGTCCTGCAGCATGTAGGCTGACAGCAAGGGGAACAGCAGTGGGTCATGGTGTCAGGGGTGAAGGGTGGGCTCCTGTTCAGAGGTGAGTTTCCAAGAATCTGATGACCCCCTTCTAGTATCTGGACCTTTTATACACTGGTTCCCAAATCTGGAACCAATGAGCAGAATTTTCCTGGTTATTATTTATGACATTATTTTTCATAACCTATAGGGAATTGCCCAGGGACGAAGTGTTCCTTAAGTGTTATGAATCTTCTGAAAATAAATGATTGTTCTACTTAACAATAGATAACCCATAAAAACTTATATCCAGAAGTGAGAGAGGTGATCAACATCAATAGCATCATTTAACTATAAAGTATATATTTTTATTTATTATTTTACTGCTATTATTATCTTAGAGACAAGGTTTCACCTGTCACTCAGGCTAGTGTGCAGTGGCGCGATCATAGCTCATTGTGGCCTTGAACTTCTGGACTTAAGCGATCCTCCTACCTCAGCCTCCCAGAGTGATGGGATTACGGGCATGAGCCACTGTGCCTCGCCTGAATTATCATTCTTTAAGACAGAGTACATTGACTGATCCCCTGACAACTGAAACTAACTTGAAGAGGCCAGAACTATTGTCACCACCTACATTTTCCCCTCCAGCACTAGAACATGGTGATTAACTCAAGGTGACAAATGTAAACCATATTTTAAAATATTTTCCGTTAAAATGTATTTTTTATCAAACTTTTCATCTGTGTCACACAAACACAGATTCAATGACAGTAATTCTAATAGTAATAGCAACTCCACTTGGGTATCTCAATTCCTGAAACAGGGGACTGGGCTCAATTGTAATTGTCGTAATCTTTTCCATGCTGAGCTCCACATCTGTTGATGGCCCTAAGTACAAACATCCCTGGGTACATGATGTTTACGCTTAGTGGTGCAAAGAAAAGTTTAAAAGCAGTTAGTCAGACAACTAAAATATTTTGCTTTGAATTGCAGTTTGAAAATACAAACACCGTTGTGTGTTTTTTTTTTTTTTTTTGAGACGGAGTTTCGCTCTGTCGCCCAGGCTGGAGTGCAGTGGCGCGATCTCGACTCACTGCAAGCTCCGCCTCCCGGGTTCACGCCATTCTCCTGCCTCAGCCTCCCGTGTAGCTGGGACTACAGGCGCGCGCCACCATGCCCGGCTAATTTTTGTATTTTTAGTAGAGACGGGGTTTCACCGTGTTAGCCAGGATGGTCTCGATCTCCTGACCTCGTGATCCGCCCGTCTCGGCCTCCCAAAGTGCTGGGATTACAGGCGTGAGCCACCGCGCCCGGCCGTGTGTTTTAAATGAAGGAACAAACGGGACGAGAATGACTCCATCATGTGTATTAATGGGGAAAACACAGAATAAGTTGCATAATATTTTGGATGCTTAGCAATTTCCATATCTGGCTAATCTATTCAAATAAAGAGTTTCTTATTTTCACTGGCAACAAAATGGTCTTTTGATACAGCTTGACTTGCTCTGACTTAAACTGTGGCTAAAAATTTCTGCCATCTCTGCTGCTGAGGCATCCTGACCTTAGCTGTGAAGGTGGACACAGCCTCTGTTTGCTGGTCCAGCATATGGGTAATGGCATTGCCAGTTCATCCCATAAAATGATCTGGTGCAGTTCATTTAGTCAGAATGAAGTTATAGTGAAGGAGAGGATGGGGTGGAGTATTCTTCACTTGTGTCTCCACCCTGAGAATGGGTTTGGCACATAGCGGGAACCAAAACATGATTATTGAATGAAGAACTTTACATTTACTAGCTTGATTTTTTTTTTTTGGAGATAGAGTCTTACTCTGTTGCCCAGGCTGGAGTGCAGGGGCGTGATCTTGGCTCAATGCAACCCCCGCTTCATGGGTTCAAATGATCCTCCTGCCTCAGCCTCCTGAGTAGCTGGGACTACAGGCACGTGCCACCACTCCCGGCTAATTTTTTGTATTTTTAGTAGAGATGGACTTTCACCACGTTGACCAGGCTGGTCTTGAACTCCCGACCTCAGGTGATTCACCCACCTTGGCCACCCAAAGTGTTGGGATTACAGGCGTGAGCCACTGCGCCCAGCCCTAGCTTGAAAATTTGGACTAACAACCATTTGTAATAGGACTGGGGAATTAATTAGGGCATTGGTTCGGAAAAGAAACAGAATGAGCAATTCTATTCTGAACAAGTTAAATTTGAAGCCACGTGCCTTAGATGTTTTTTAGCTACTTCATAATTTATAAGTGTGCTATGCTGATTTCATTAGCAGCTATTTGCTATAATGTACTGGGGTCTTATTTTTTGGGTATTAACATATCCATGTTTACATCTATTTTAAATACTGTTCAAATTGAAGGGACTGTGGCTATGCAGCTCATTCAGGAACAGTAAATTAAATGGTTGGAACAAAAGAATGACTCGTCCTGTGCTCAGAATATCAAATGACACACTCTGAAAAGTATATGAAGGAATGGATGAGATGATGCTAAAACAAAAAAGGAAGAAAAATGGTGCTTTTAGGGATAAATAACTGATTAAATGGAAATTACCTTAGCATCCATTTTAAAAACCAAGGCTAACTGCTACAATGTCATGCTTCAATCAGAATATCTGATCATTTCTCTTCAGGTAAGATAAACAATAGCAAGGAAATAACCCAGGTCATGGTGATGGCAAGTCCTCAGCAGGGTAGAGAAGGAAACTTGGAAGGAAGAAGGCTTATGAACTCTAGTACCTTATGCCACTGAAAACCCACACCCAGAACCTCCACCTTCTGACACCATGGTCAGCTCCTGCTGCAGCTCCTTCTGCTGTCACCAGAGGTGTGGTTAAGACCTCTGCCAAGAGATCTGCTGCCATCCCAGCTGCTGCCAGACCACCTGCTGCAAGACCGCTTGCTGCTGCCGCAGCTTCTGTGAGTTCAGTTGCTACCATCCAGTCTGCTGCCAGACCACCAATCTGTGGATCCTGTTGTTGAATTTCATTCCTGACCACCAGCCTGAGTCAACTACCATGTTGAAAACATACTTGTTTTAAGGAGAAGGGTTATCTCTAAGCTGTCTCCCCTGCCTTCAGACAGAGAGGGCTATTTCTAAACAAACAAGTGACCATAGAACTGTGGCTCAGTTAGACCAGAATCCCAAGCCTATGATACCTGCACTTGCTTTGACCTTGATAGTGACTTCCTTATGATACATTAATTATGTCTGCAAAAATATTAATATTCTTGTTGTCATAAGAAGTTGGGCTACATTCAAACTAAGTGCAAAGAAAAAAACCTGTTATAAATAGACAGGAAGGTGATAAAACTGCAATCATAGCAGAGGCTTTAAACATACTATTTCAAAAACGGTCATTTGAAGAAGAAAAGTAAACAAAGATATGGAGAATTTGAGTAAAATCATTATCAACTTAGACACAATGGATATTTTTATGCCATTTTATGCCTAACGAACTGAATTTTCATAATTTTTATATATACCCCAAATAGTCATAAAATATGTCCATAAAAATATATTCTAAATATGTTCTTGTATCCTTCCTTCCATCCCCTCTTCCCTCCTTCCTGAATAACTCAGTCTAAATAGAAAGTAGGTGTCTGCATGGGATAGGGATGGCCTAAAGAGATAACATTCTTAATTTCTTTTTTTAAAAATTAATGTCGTCTTGCACTTATAGAAAAATTGCAAGAATAGGTCAAAGAGGTTTCTTTGGTGATAAAAAGAAAGTGATGCTTCACTGCCTCTGAGCACTAGTGTGTGTTGCCTACATCAAGGGCTTTCCCCTCCGTAAACACAATAGAATTTAAAATCAGGCTTTATTCTTGCAAACAATGTTGCAAAGAATACCCTTGAACTTACATCTTGGAAGGTATGTATAGGTGCATCTGTTGAATACATTTCTAGAAGTGAAACGGCTCAATCAAAACACACGCACATTTCAAAATATGCTAAATTAATTTAAGATACTGTTAAATTTCAGATTCTGTTAATTACCATCTAAAGAAGTTGCCTCAATTTAGATCCCTGCCAACTGTGTATTAAAATGTCAATGTCTTTATAATTTCACCAATTTATTAAAGTTTTTAAACTTAAATATTTTACATTTGTCATTACAAATAGCAAGTATTCACTGCCATATCCCGAGAGCATGCAGTAGAACCTGGCACACAGTAGGTATTCGGTAGATGGTTTGATGAGTGAATAAGTTGTTCAATTAAAATACCTTAAATTATGAGTGAGACTAAACATCTTTCAGAAGCTCAAAAGGCACTTAAATTTCTTTTTTTAGTGAAATCACTGTTAATATCCTTTACTCAATTTTCTGTTTGGTTGTTGTTGTTGTTGTTTTTCTCATTGGGTTGTAAGAGGTATTCATGGATTAAGAAAATTAGCTCATTTATTTGTAGATTGGTTAAGGTATTATTATTTATTTTCAGCTTACTCTTTAGCCTTCTTGTTTTTCAATCAGGCATTTGAGTTTTTTTCTGTTGTAAATTTTTTTCAATCTTTTTCTTCATTGCTATTAAGTTTTTCTGTATTAGAAAATCCACTCCACTTCTAATATTTTAAGACAATTTCTGCTGTTTTCTTCTAGTTGTTTCACAGTTTATTTTTCTCAGAAGAATCTTCAGAAAACAAGAAACATCATCCCATTTGAGGACTGCTGTGAGACACACAGTTTTCAGGATGACACAGAGAATGCTGAGTTCCAAGTGATCTGTCACCTGACAATCGACTGGATGAGTAAGATTACAAGTCTTTGAAATTAAATGACACACTAAATTAACTGAAGACAAGAGGAGGAGGAAAGACTGGATTGGCTAAACTCTAACACAGAGAAAGAATAAAAGTGCATTCCACCTTTTATACAGATTTTTTCCCACAATTAGCTAACTTGATAACTGCCTATCTATTAAGATAAACAATAACAAGGAAATAGCTTTTATGTGGTGACAACAGCTCCTCAGCTGAGTATAAAAGTGGACATGGGATAAGGAGATTCCCACATTTGAAAAACTCACTGTCTTGGAAACCTACCTAGAACCTCCACCCTCTGACACCATGGTTAACTCTTGTTGTGGCTCTGTCTGCTCTGACCAGGGCTGTGATCAAGGCCTCTGCCAAGAGACCTGCTGCCGCCCCAGCTGCTGCCAGACCACCTGTTGCTGCCCCAGCTGTGTTGTATCCAGCTGCTGCCGCCCATCCTGCTCTCAGACTACCTGCTGCCAGACCACTTGCTGTCGCCCCAGCTGCTGCCGCCCAGTCTGTTGTCAGACCACCTGCCGCCCCAGCTGTGGTGTGTCCAGCTGCTGCCGTCCACTCTGTTGTCAGACCACCTGCCGCCCCAGCTGTGGTGTGTCCAGCTGCTGCCGTCCACTCTGCTGTCAGACCACCTGCTGCCGTACAACTTGCTGCCGCCCCAGCTGCTGTGGATCCTCTTGTTGAACCTCATATTGGACTATCAACCATGAGCCAGTCACCATCCCATGATATGAAAGTGTCATTTATATCAATTTGTCCATGTGTTAAATGGCCATCAGCTTTATTATCCTGTTATTCCACTAAGTAACTGGTGAAAGGGCATCCATCTACATTTAATACCACTCATTTTTCCCATGGATCTCTTCCCAGCATTCAGACCTCAGATGCATGATGCAGTTAGACTAAGCCTCTAAGTCTCTGACTGTTATGCTTGATTTGACCTTCAAAATTACATATTAACTGTTCTTCAATAAATATTATCTTAATATCAGTAATTCTTTTCTCTTTTTTCAATTTTTTTGAGAATTAGTTGTCAGTTTATTTTTTAGCATTACTTCTCTCAAGATAAAGACAAATTTGGGTTCCCACGACCAGGAAAGAAAACTGATTTTGTAAATATAATGTAATGCTTATATTATAGAAAGGACTTCATAAATTTTTCAAAATAAGATAACTCGCTGTATTTAACTAACAAAAGTTTCTTATTCAGTCAATGAAATTATTGATCATCTGTCATGTTCATTGCACTGTTGGGCTCTGGAGATCACATCAAGATATGTGAGGCACAGGAGCTTCCTAAAAGGAGCTCACCGTCTAATCTTGGAAATAAGAGGAAAGAGCAAAGTAGATAGATTATGCTGGGTAGTACTGATCAGAGGAGAACTTTCTGTCTTGGGGAAGAGTAAGACATTAGGAATATACATATACACACATTTAATAATAGAATGAGTTAAGTTGGTACAGGGAAGATGTGCAGGTCACAGACCCATGAAATGAAGAGGAGGAAAATATAGGAAAATGTTTACATTCTTATGAGGACAAGACTGAGATGAGCTAAGAAACAGTTGGTGTTGACCAAATGTGGTGGAAGTTAAACCTCACTGGCCTCATCCCATCACCTCTATGTTAATGGTACTATACTAAAAGTCATAGGCAAATGAGAAAGCTCTTAGTCAAAGATGGAGCCACACAAGGACAAGGGAATATCCTCTTTGGGGAAGAGTCAGGGAGGAGTTGGGTAAGGGTTTGAATGGTAGGCAATGATAGAGTTGTAAAAGAGAAGGACTCAGGCTGTAATTTTAAGCTGTGAGCTAAGAATGCACTCTCGGGATATGCTTAGACTCTACAGCTTTCTTGTATCTCAGGTAAACTTGGTCATATTGAGACAAGCAAACCATATGTCTCCTGTAGCCACATGGCTTTGCTTATTCTGCCTGATGTCACTTCCACATGAAAAAAATATATACTTGAGCAAAATACAGGATTTAATAGAATAAAAATTATCCTCAGGAAAGGACCAAAAAAATTATAGATGTTCTAAAATGGGGAAATAATATTCTTTTCAATAATGATAATAATCATGAAGGATCAGAAAATATGGGCAGGAGTGCAGTAAGCAGTAATGCCAAGGCTGTCAAGGTGAAGCACAGATGCAGTGGAAGGTCATTGCAAATGATGGGGGTGCCACTCAGCTGATGGGTAGACAGCAGGAAGGTAAAGCGAGAAATACTGGTAGATTTCTCATTTTCATTGGTATGATTTATACCTAAATACCAATTACTGTCCACACTTGTCTGGGATAGGCAAAGCAAATTGTCAAGAAATGTTATCTGTTTTGTCTTTATAGCGTGTGTCACCATGTTTACAGCAGCCTCTTATCTCCCCATGACAAGTGAATGTTTTACCCAAGGCAGCCTAGCTCCAAGGCAGCCATCTGGTTGTTTCCTCTGCTCTTTAGCAACTACTTTCCCTTTTGGAAGTTCAAACTTATCACAGTTTCTCATGTCTTTGAGATAATTTCCATTCCATAACCAAATAATATCAATAGGCCCAAGAGTTAAGGACTTTAGTTAGAAGCAAAATTTAGACAAGGACGAAGAAGAAAATGGCAAAAATTAAAGTACATTATCATATCAGTAGAGCAATATAACATTAGTGTCATAAAGAAAGTCACATTCTTTTTTTTTTTTTTTTGAGATGGAGTCTCACTCTGTCGCCCAGGCTGGAGTGCAGTGGCGTGATCTTGGCTCACTGCAAGCTCTGCCTCCCGGGTTCACGCCATTCTCCTGCCTCAGCCTCCTGAGTAGCTGGGACTACAGGCACCCACCACCGTGCCCGGCTAAATTTTTGTATTTTTAGTAGAGACAGGGTTTCACCGTGTTAGCCATGATGGTCTCGATCTCCTGACCTCATGATCCACCTGCCTCGGGCTCCCAAAGTGCTGGGATTACAGGCATGAGCCACCACGCCCGGCCAAGGCTTTTAAGAGTTTCTTAGCCAACCTTCTATTTTCTTTCTGGATGAAAGAGTTCTAATATTTTAGTCTTTCTTGTAAGGGTATCGCTCTATTCTTATGAGAATCTAAATACACTTTTCTGGGTAAACATTAGCTTATGTCTCAGTTAAATTTTGAAATGAACATAGGCACAAAACAGGCAAGATGTGTTGCCAGAAGTATAAAAATGCAGGTTGTATTTATTCCTGTGGCCTATCTAATTATGGCTAATATTTGGAGGACTTTGGTGCATTCAGCACTAACCTAGTAATATGGTTGTTGGGAAAAATAATTTTTGAAGAGTTTATATCACTGTTTTAAGTCATAATTTAGGTTAGACAGAAATGTCTTTCGGGTATTTGTGGCTGGGTATTTTATTTTGAATTGCTTCTCTCCTAGGAGGAGCATGTAGGGAAAATTACTATATCTTATAGGATCCATACTCTTAAAAATGGGATTTTACATGACTGAACCTGAGGACAATTACAAATTTTAAAAGATAAGCGTGAACATGGATGGGAGGGATAAAGGATAACAATGAGTCATCAAGTAAAAGGGAATCAAAAAAAGTCATAAATGTATAGGTTTGTAAACTGGAAGTCACGTTAGAGATATCTAACCCAGAGATTTTCAAACAGTGAAGTTTGCCATTGAGTAGAGCCCAGAAATTGACTTAAAAGTCTATACATGGCTCACTCCTGTAATCCCAGCATTTTGGGAGGCCGAGGCAGGTGGATCACGAGGTCAGGAGATCGAGACCATCCTGGCTAACACGGTGAAACACTATCTCTACTAAAAATACAAAAAATTAGCCAGGCATGGTGGCGGGCACCTGTAGTCCCAGCTACTCAGGAGGCTGAGGCAGGAGAATGGCGTGAACTGGGGAGGTGGAGCTTGCAGTGAGTCGAGATAGCACCGCTGCACTCTGGCCTGGGCGAAAGAGCGAGACTCCGTCTCAAAAAAAAAAAGTCTATACAAATTAATTATATCCTAAAGCTGGTGTCTTAAAAGCAGTATGGAAAGGATTATTTCAAATAAACTATAAAACAGGTAGCCAAATTCAGGAATAAACGAAGGAAAGGGAAAAAAGGAAGAAAGAATAAAAGGGATTAATGAAAGATGTACAGAATGAAGAAAAAAAGGAGAGATTTTCATTTGTTAAATCAAAACAAATTTCATCCAGATAAAATATTCAACATAAAAATGAAACCGTTCAGTGGCCACACCTACCCGTGGATCCCAGCCAGTAGCCACAGCTGCACAAAAGCCCAGGCAGCAGCCCCACTGAACCTCAGGGCCTGGGCAGAAGTTTTACCCACCCAGAGACCCCCAAGAGTAAGCCCTGCCTGTTCACAAATGCTACCAGCTTCCCCGTCCAGAATCCCAGGCCGAGTTGACTGCTGAGAGTCTTTCCCTGCTGAAGGGAACTTGTAAAGTGTGGAAGAGGAGACTGTGTCCTCAAAGGCACAAACACCAATGTAAGATTGCAAGGATTTTACACACACACACACACTGAAATGTTATTAGCCATGAAATGAAGAAAATCCTGTCATTTGGGACAACATGGATGGACTTTGAGGACATTATGCTAAGTGAAGTAGGTCAGACAATGAAAGACAAATAATCTCATTTACATGTGGAATCTAAAAACTCATAGAAACAGAGGGTAGAATGGTGATTGTCAAAGGTTGTGGATGGAGGAAATGAGGAAATGTTGGTCAAAGGGAGAAAATATTCATTTATAAGAAGAATAGGTTCTGAGGATCTAATGTACAGCATGGTCACTGTAGTTAATTACACTGTATTGTATATTTAAAATTTGCTGAAAGACTAGATCTAAAATGTTCTCACTACACACACTCAAAAAATGGTAACTATGTGAAGTGGTGGAGGTGTTAACTAATTTGATCATGACAATAATTTCACAATATATACATATCAGAGCATCAGGGTGTACACCTTATATACATACAATTTTATATTTCAATTATAGCTGAGTAGAGGCAGAAAAAATGAAATTGTTAAAGTACTAGAAGAAATCGTGAGAGATTCCTAAATATAATGTAAATTTATCTTAAGGAAAACACACACACACACACACACACTCACACACACTCACATCATGAAGAAAAATAGTTAATATAAAGTGATCTCTACTGAATCATCAGCAGGCACCAATAGTCACGGCTTCTCAAGGGCACGATTCTTTTCCAGAATACAAGGTCTCCTGGAAATCTTAGAGTTGTTCTCGTACACCACCATGGGGCTCACAGGGTCTTAATCCCACAGCATCATGGAACCCACTTTCATCCCTCAATAAAATATGATGTCTGGGTACATCAGAGCCAGAGAACAGTGCAGGCTCAGAACACCAGCCAGCGCACCAAGCAGGGGTTCACTTGGGAGCCCAAGTTGTTTTCATTCTGCTTGAATCACCTGGAAATTAGGGCCAGGGCAGGAGTAGGAACTGGCTTGGAACATAGCAGCATCATAAGAACATCACAATTTGATTTATTAGACTTATAAGCACCTGAGAGAAGAAAGGGAATCTCCCTCATTCATCCAATCCCCTCCATCTGGTTCTTGGATCTCCCTCAGAAACACCAGCTTACACTGAAACTCCTCCCCTGATTATCTGCAGAGGCTGCCCAGTTCATAAAACATTTCTATCATGGTAAGTCAGACATTTTTCCACCCCCTTCCCTGGGTTCCTTGACTCCTCAGGGGTGGGGAAATACATATATATTTATTAACTGATGAGTTAATGAATTGACAACATAGCACATTTTTGTAACAATAGTCAGCCATCCCTACATGAAAAAATATAGGCTGATATCCTTTGTTCTTGATACCTGTTTTCTGCTTTCTTTCTCTCTTTATTGATTTATTTTTTGAAAACAAAGATGTAAAGTGTGAAATTGGATCAACAACTTCTATAAGGAAGCAGCAGAGTATAGGGCATCTTCAAGGCCCAGCAATTCAGCAGAGAAAGCAAGAGGGCTGGGAGCGAATTAGAGCAAGCAAAGGATACTGAGTCATCTAATTTGGGTTGGCCAGAAAATTTTGGAACCTGGAGAGATGAGCTCATGTGCCCTGTTAGAGCTAGGAAGGCAGAAAGGCAAAGTCACAAGGAAAATCTGCCCCAGGGAGCAAAAAAATGAGGGACTTGGACCTTTAAGTATAGCTGTTCTCTGAAGCCAACATTCCCCAAGAGGCCCTGAATCTGAATTTTGGAGGGTTGTTTCTGTAGAAAAGGAAACATCAAACTTTCACAGCTTAGTTTTCCACCTTAAAACAGCTCTGTATTTCTCATCAGAAGGTCTAGAAAATGGGTCACAATTCAGAGTGCGGAAGATAGAAAAGCGATAGGTCCTACGGTGTTCTCGTTCTCACACCAGTGGTCATCTGTTTCACACTGAAATCTGTTTCACACTGAAACCTTCACAGGCCATCTGACCCATAATGAAGGAGCCATCAGACTGAAATGCAGCTTTATCCTCCTGAGTCACCAGAAAGAGTCATGGGCCTGTAAGAATAGTAATCACCCAAGAGTAGTCATGATGTGTTAAGCAAATGAGACTGAAGCACATAGTATGTGCTTACAGGCAGATGTCACATGGCTGCTCTAGGAGGAAGCTACAGTAAGAGAGACACAGGAGGTGGTTCAGGAAGAGCTGAGCTAAGGAGTCCTAACACATTAGGGAAAGGAGATAGTGTTTCCATCTATGTGGATAAGTTAACCAGAACAACAAACTTGCCTAATTTGATAATTGCCTACATATCAGGACAAATAATAACAAGGAAAGAGTGTTGCATCTGATGACATCAGGCCTTAGCAGGGTATAAAAGAGGATCTGGGGCAAGGAAACTTCCAAACCTTCCAAACCCACTTTCCTGGAAATCCACCCAGAACCTCCACCCTCTGACACCATGGTCAACTCCTGTTGTGGCTCTGTGTGCTCTGACCAGGGCTGTGGCCTAGAGAACTGCTGCCGTCCCAGCTGCTGCCAGACCACCTGCTGCAGGACCACCTGCTGCCGCCCCAGCTGCTGTGTGTCCAGCTGCTGCAGACCGCAGTGCTGCCAGTCTGTGTGCTGCCAGCCCACCTGCTGCAGCCCCAGCTGCTGCCAGACCACTTGCTGCAGGACCACCTGCTGCCGTCCCAGCTGCTGTGTGTCCAGCTGCTTCAGACCCCAGTGCTGCCAGTCTGTGTGCTGCCAGCCCACCTGCTGCCGCCCCAGCTGTGGCCAGACCACCTGCTGCAGGACCACCTGCTACCGCCCCAGCTGCTGTGTGTCCACCTGCTGCCGCCCAACCTGCTCTAGTGGCTCTTGCTGCTGATGCCCTCACCTATACTCACCTGCCTTTATTAACCAGCATTCTTGATATGGTCCACCTGTGAACTGAATCATGCAAGGCCAATTGGACAACCTCAGTTCCAACCAATTCTTGGATTGAGTTTGGCCTCCAAATATGCTCACCAAACACTATGTTGCTACCCTCTACCAAATGAATACAAGTTTGAATTTTCTCTGAAATATGTCAACCCCATGTTCCCTGAATTGAAATATTTGCTCTCTACCATAATTTATCACATGGAGCTATTCCTCTATCTTAAATAAATTTTAATTTTTGAGGCATACAAATAATATACGGGCATTGTGTCTCATTTTTCCTTCTTGAATTCTCATCCTTACCTGTCAAATTTTCTGATGTTCTTCCCTGCAGAGGGAGAAGACCACAGCAGATGATATCAGGGGCTCCACCTCTATCCTATCAGCACTCTCCATTCAAACATAGGAAAATGGTTCCTTAGAGCAGGCACCTGGAACTCTCTACCTGAGGACTTTCTCTGGATAAAGGAGCAAACTCTGGGCTGGAGACTTAAAGCCTCTAGGAACAGCACTCAGAGAATTAGTGGGAGTTGGTAATATATGCCCTGGCTTGTTTCCCTCCAGTGGGGGGTATGTCAAACCAGTCTTCCAGAGGTCTTCAGCGGGATTTATACCAGATGCCTGCAGGAACATTCTGATCATGAACTCACTCTATAATGACTTTCCCTCCTTCCCAGGGTCATTCTTCAAGTTTCCTCCAGTGTTTCTTGGGTTAATCGTCCAAATATACCACATGTTCTCAGATCCTCTTTTGTGGGTTTGCCCCAGAGAGCACACAATCTAAAACAGCAGCATTCCTAATCTCAGTATTAGTGTCCTTCAAAATGTTTTTGTACAATATGAATGGTTACCATAGATTTTGATCAACTCTTGAGTTTACTGTCACCTGAATGGACACCTCTGAACATTTTGCTGTTTTTTTTCTTTTCAATTTTTGCGCATTACAATTTTTTTCTATTATTTGTTCATTTACTTTTTTGGTCTTCTTTTAAGAATTTTAATTTTTAAAGTTTTTATTTCAATATGCATGTTTGCTTTTAAACTAGTTGTCTTTGATTGTTTTTTTCTTCACATCGTTTTATCTGAGGGATAGGACACAACCACCGTGTTGGTGATTCTCATCCTAAAAAAGGCTATATTGAAAAAGGTTTCACCCTGAGCCATGCTGCTAAGTTGGAGGCACCAAAGAAAGATCTAAAACAGGATGTTTGCACAAGTGACTTTTATAAGAAGATGCTCTCAGGAGAAATCAGTAAGGAAATGTCGGAAACAGAATAGGATTGTAGAAGAGGCTAAGCCCAAAAGGATTTTATTGTCATTTGACCCCACAGGAAGCTCTAGAGTGTGAATGGTATTACAGACCCATCTTTCTGAGAGGTAAGGTCGTTGGAACTTTACAATCCTACATCAGTTACCACTAGCTATGGCCCACCCTGTGGGAGAGGAAGAGGATGCGAAGAGGGCGGAATCCTCCAGATGAGGTGGCTCCTGTAAGCTGAGGACAACTATCTGGAGAAGTGTGAAGGTGAACAAAGGGAGCTGCTGGCTGTCCTACTTACACTAGCTTGGGGATGGGGGTATCTTTCTGGTAAATGGGATCAGGATAGGGAGCCCTGTAGTCCACCTCTGGCACTGCTCAGCTGCAGCTGTTTCTCTCATTAGGCTCACTCCAACTGGTTGGTCACAGTTTCTAGAGAAACGTATGAGAGGAGGGGTCATGGGCACCCCTGCTTCTGGTCTAGGTCACTTGCTTGGTAGGGTAACCCGAGTCCTCATCCTGAGAGCTCTAAGCCTTGGTTACTGTGTCCTTATCAGGCTTGAGCCCTTGAACTTGCTCATATGCAGTCAAGGCTGGAAGTAGAAGCACCAAGCATGTCCCAGAGGATCACTTAAGTGCTAAATATATTCCTCCCTGTCCCCATTGGCATAGCAGTGGTCCTACTTCCTCATGATGATGAGGCCAATTGCCTGTGGCAACAGCTCTTTTCTTTATGTGCTTTTCTCCAGCCAAAGTGATAAGGTAACAACCATAGCTTTAATTCCAATCAAATCCTTACTATGCCCCCTGGAGGTGGCTCCTCCCTTCTTGGAGCCAGGACCTCTCCATAAAACTTACAGTTATTTGGGAGGGAGCACAAATTCCCTCAAGTGGCTCACAGGGCATGAAGGTGAGTGAGCAACTCCTCTGTCCACACTTTGGTTTTCTGTATTAATGTATTTTACCTGTTGTGGACACAGTACCATGTGATGGTGATTGGTGTAATAATTCTTACTGCATCCTGAAGAACAGTGCTCCACCTCACAGGGTGTCATCTCCAAGCTGAGACCTCCATTATGGCTTCAAGAGGTGGTTGCATCACACTATCCGTTCAGCTGTTTCTGGATGGTGCAGCATAAAGTATACTGTGGGTAACAGGGTATCTACAGTTACCTGCCCATTGCCACACACCTTGTGCTCCATATGGGGTTGATCAGTCAAAGGTGAAGTTAGGTAGGATTCCACACTGCCACAACAAGTTCTCTTGGGCCCCCATATAACGGTGCTGGCTGAGGCACTGCAAGCAGAAAATGCAAGCCCATCGCCTGACTGTATGTCAATTCCATCAGCAGCAAGTAACTGGCTGATCCTCTCATAGGATGGTACCTTACGAGGGACTCAGGGCCACTCTCTTGCTGGCAGGTCGGATGTTCAGCAGTGGTGTCCTGGTATGCTGTAGACAGGATGCTTAAAAATATTACCAGTATGGCAGCCTCTGGAATCCTTTTCTCTTCTCTTCTAGAGCACATGGATCCTTAGCAAGGTCTCCACAGTATTCACATTTTGTGTTCATCAAATCCGATTCACATGACATTATCAATATTGTGGATCAGCATGCTGTATTGTAGGATGCTCACAATGCCTAGATCTTTTGCGACTATACTGTGAAAAGATCAGGAGAATTACCATATCCCTAGTTCAGCACAGAGTGTTAACACCACTGTCTGTTCCAGGTGAAATGGATTCACTTCTGATGCTGCTTCCTGGTGGTTATTGAAAAGGATACATTTGCCAGTTTGGTTGCCATACACCCCATATTGGAGACTGTGTTCATTTGTCCCAGAAATGATTCTACATGCATCAATCACATTGGCTATAATTAGATTTTTATTTGACAGAGTTTGTGTTCATCCACTGTCATCTGCCATGATCTATGTGGTTTTTGTTGGGTCTGAACTAGTGAATCATATGAAGGTGGTATTCACCTCTCCTGCATTTGTAAGCCTTGAATATGTCTCTAATTTCTTGCTTCTATCCACTCACTTGAGTGGAGAATGTGTGAGAGGTCCCAAGCAATGTCACGAGCTCCCATTGGGCTTTTCCTATTGTAATAATTCTTACTCCATAGGTCAAGGAATGTTATTGGTGAACTCTACATTGGAGAACTGGGTAAATGACCACATGAGGGTCTGTGCACCCTGTGAAACTACTGTAAGACTAATCCGGATCAAGACTCCATTTATTTTCCGACCATCATTATGAGATCCTAATGGGGTTTGTGTTCACATTTTGGGTTTCCAACTGTCAATGTCAACTCAGATCTGGTATCGAACAGGATCCAAATGCATGGGGATTCCACTTTCCCCTGAGAAGATGGCTGTGGGTATTTATGGGAAAGGACTAGTGAGGCTACTATTTGCTGTGACCCCGTTTTTGGGAGGACTGGCCTCTCCTTCAGTTGATACATTCTAGGTCCAATAATCAACTCACATCTGGAAACTGGATAAAGGATTATGAATTTCCATTGGAGCAACTTATCTTTTTGCTTGTTTAATCTTAAGCTGTTGAAATATACATATACACAGGTGGAGATACAGATATACAGTTGGCCCTCAAATGAGACAAGTGTTATGGTGCCAATACCCTGTGCAGCCAGAAATTAAAGAATAACTTTGACTTTCCCAAAACTCAGTTATTAATAGCCTATTGTTGACCAGAGCCTTACTGAAAACATAAACAATCAACACACATTTTATGTGTTATGTGTATTGTATTCTGTATTCTTACATTAATGTAAGTTAGAGAAGAGAAAATGTTATTAGGAATATCACAAGGAGGAGAAAATATATTTACTGTTTATTAAGTGGAAGTGGATCATCATAAGGTCTTTATCTTGGTCATCTTCATGTTGATTAGGCTGAGAGGAAGAGGAAGAGGAGGAGGGGCTGGTGTTGCTGTCTCAGAAGTGGCAGAGGCAGAAGAAAATCCATGTGTAAGTGAACCCATGTTGTTCAAACCCGTTGTTCAAGGGTCAACTGTAGATGTAGATTATATAGCTATAGATGTAGCTAGCTATGGATATAGATATAGATATGGATATAGACATAGCTATTGATGCATAGAGTCTACAGTTATTCCTATGCCCTTTTGGCCACCTATGTCCTGTTCTGAGGACCACTATGTTCTATTGTCCATAACTACAGATCCCTGTAAGTCACAGATCACTCTGCCTAGTTTGCCATTCCTTGCTTGCTGCATATCATATAATGATACCTACACTAATTCTTAAAGTTAAATGCTACCTCCTGGCTTTGCTATTCTGGGATATTATCATTACCATTACTCCTGGGAAGCTTAGTTCTGTAACAAAACTTTTAATCACAAATGCTGACTTTATGGAATAGGCACTACTAAATTTCTCATTGATGTTGGTGGCTCTCTTACCTGCTCATTCCTTACTGCTTTTGTAAACAGAATGTCTCCAAGACTCACCCCAGAAATATAGTCAGCTGCTTGGCCTTAAGACCAGAGCTATTTTAATATTTCCACTTCTCTGTACTTTTTTTTTTTTTTGAGATGGAGTCTTGCTCTGTCTCCCAGGCTGGGGCGCAGTGGTGAGATCTCAGCTCACTGCAACTTCTGCCTCCCAGGTTCAAGCAATTCTCCTGCCTCAGCCTCCAGAGTAGCTGGGACTACAGGCACATGCCACCACGCCCGGCTAACTTTTTGTATTTTTAGTAGAGTTGGGGTTTCACCATGTTAGCCAGGATGGTCTCAATCTCCTGACCACGTGATCCACCCGCCTCAGCCTCCCTTCTCTGCACCTTTTGATCCCTTCCTGTTCTTCCATGGGCTGTATGTTACCAGATAAATCTATACTAGTTATCTACTGTTGCCTTATATTATCACTTCACAACTTAACAGCTTAAAACAACACACATTATCTCACAGTTTCTGTGGATCAAGAATTCAGGCATGCCTTACCTATGTTCTCTGCGTCATAGTGTTTTCCAAGGCTGTAATCAAGGTGTTCACTGTCACTAGAGTCTCATCTAAAGCCTCAACTAGGAAGCAGCCGCATCCAGGCTCACTAAATGGTTGTTGACAGGATTCAGCTCCCAAGGACAATTAGAGGGAGCCTCAGTTCCTTGTGGGCTGTTGGATGGGGGCTGTCTTCGAGTTGTTACCACATGGATCTCTGTCTCTTATAGCAGCTGGCTTCATCAAACCCAATGAGAGTGAGCGTGAGAGCAAACCAGAGCTGGCCAACAAGAAGAAAGTGACAATCTTTTGAATAATAACTTAATCATTCAATGTACCATATGATGTTGGTTAGAAGTAAGTTACTCAAAGGGTTGGAATTACTTAAGACCATGAGCACCAGGTGGCAGAAATAATGGGGCTAACTTAGAGGTTGCTGCCCCAGCTCTTACACAATATTGAGCAAGATAATCAAAACACAAAATACACATACTATGATTCCATTTAGATTAAATTTTAAAATGTGGGAAAATAAACTGTATTATTAGGGATGCATGTCTAGGTTGAAAAACTATAAAAAATACAGTAGAAGGATTTAAAATCAGAATAGTGATTACTTCTAGAATGGAGGGAGGGAGATACAGTCAAGAAAAGACATATAGGAGCACCTCTTATGGATGACAAGATTCTATTTCTTGACTAAGGCTTTGGGTACATACATGCTTGCTTAATAATTATTAGTTATATCAATTATTAATTAATTAATGTATATATGTTATATATTTTTAGTATATTTTTCACTTAAAAAGTTTTTTTAAAATCCAAGGTGAACTGAAATATCCTATTTAAGTTTTAAAAGTCAAGATAAAGCAGTGATTGAAGACAGTTTAGAACAAAGAGATTTACTGAATGGCATATGAGTATTCATATTATTTTAAATATTGCTCTAATTACACATACCACTTCATACCAAGAATGGTAGCATTGTTTAATGCTTATTCTTAAATATTTTAATAGTTTGATTTTTATTATAAATAGGAACTTAATTGAATTGGAAATATGATAATTTATCTATCAATTAGACATGCCTTTTGTAGGCCTCTCTGTGTATTTCACAGTCTTATAACTAAGTCACAGTAATTCACCTAATGAAATTACATTTTATTTCCAAAATACATACTAGGTTTTCATTCCAAAAATGTCAGAGTACTAACATAATAGATGTGATACCTGACAAGAGAAGCCCATTTCCCATGTCATTCTTTAAAGGGTATGTTAATACGATGCGTCCAGGTTGCGGGGTAAACACAACACATGTTCTTCAGTGTTGATTGCAAATATCAGTTGGGTTCACTTCATTCTAATTTCCTTGATGTTTACCTAAGTGAAGTCTTTAATCATGAACTTCTAAAAAGACAACCATAAAATTAGTTTAAAATTTAAAAAGGTATATGAAAGAAAAACTTACACTCCTTCTGCTAGTCTATATAATAAAAGAAGGACAGTTTAGATAGACTTGGCGTAACTTGTGTGTGTGGTCCTCAAGTTAATATCAAGTATGCTTCACCAGACAGTGAGTAGAATTTAGCAGCAAATACATACAGTGACAGACATCTCGCCTGCTTTTGAGGCTCATTTTGTAAAAATCCAGTGTGCTGTCTATACGAATTTCCCATGGTGGTTCATGCCCTGTTGTTCCATTATCATCCATGTGGACTGTCAGTTTTGGTATTAGAGTCATCTAAAATAGCAAAGATAATTATCAGTGTTTTAGTTTACAATACTCCAAATTCAGTGTTTAAAATCCAGTATCATTTTCTCTACTACGTAGATACTACCAATTGTATTTTAATTATTTTAGTTGCTTCTGTTTCCAGTTGAATATTATACAATGTATGTCATACAACAGTTTAAGCAGATGGGTCTCAAGCTTGGCTGCCCTTTACCTGAGAAACTTGAAAAATTCTGGTGCCCAGGCCATAACCCACAGCACTTAAGTCAGATTTTTTCTGAGCAAGAGTCAGGCATCAGTAGTTTTTAACACTCCCCGAGTGACTCTAATATTCAGCCAACTTGTAGAACCCCTGGATGAGGGGTTGTGATTCTCCATACATTTCCCTACATTCAGAATGTACCTGCCTTTGTAGCTGTGGCAATAGGGTTTTCTTAATCTCCATAAATTTATATAGAAACCTCTCCCCTCATAATCAAAACCTTTTTCTTTTATGTTTTTAATTTTTCCTCAGCCCCTGATATACAGCAAATCAAATGAACAACTGCCTCTTCAGGACACCATGTGGCTTCACAATACAATTGTTTCAATCTTTCATGTTCTCCAGCTTTGCAAACACAGCCCATAAAGTAAAGACTTGTAAATCAAGTGTTTGCTAAACAAGTTAATGTGACAGAAATATTGCAAGGTGTTTGGTCTTTAATGATCTTAATTAAGACATTTAAGGATGCTATCATAGAGTGAACAACCTGTCTCTTTCTTCTTGGGACTTCCTAGTTCTAGCAATGAGAGCCCTGAGTTCAGGGAATGCCCTCAGACTGGGCAATCAGAAACAGCTGGTCACCCTACCATGACATTGGTTGGTATAGTTAAAATGAAGCCCTGGCAGTTATTAGTATAGCTCTGAATGAACTAGTGATGCATGCATCAACATTGTGACTCTCACAGCCACATATCAAGGCAAAGATGACAGACAGAAAAAACAATTATGCTATATATAATTTGTTTGAATGTTCAAATCAAAACTAACCTATGGTGGAAAAATTATTAGAACATTGCTAATAATTTCCCCATATGGCTGCCTCTATGAAGTGATGAGTTTACTGAAGTGACATTTGGGAACTTTCTAGTATAATGAAAATGTTCTCTGTATTCATCCATTTTCATACTGCATGAAGAAATACCAGAGACTGGGTAATTTATAAAGAAAAGGAGGTTTAATTGTGAGTCTCTAAAAAAGACTCGCAGTTCCACATGGCAGGGGAGGCCTCACAATCATGGCAGAAGGTGAAGGAGGAGCAAAGGCATCTCTTACATGGCAGAAGGCAAAAGAGCATGTGCAGGGGAACTGGTCTTTATAAAACCATCAGATCTCATGAGGCTTATTCACTATTATGAGAACAGCATGGGAAAAATCAGCCCCCTTGATTCAATTACCTCCCACCGGGTCCCTCCCATGACACCACGACACCACGACACCATGACACATGGGGAGTACGGGAGCTACAATTCAAGATGAGATTTGGGTGGGGACACAGCCAAATTACATCATTCTCTATCTTAATAGGTGTGGAGGTTACATGGATGTACCCATTTATAAAAACTCATCAAATAGTACATTTGGGATTTGTTCATTTCAGTGTATGTAAATTTTACAATATCATAAAAATAGACACAAACTAAATTAAAATATTTATTTATGAATTAATCCACCAAATTGTCATGTTTGCTAATTTGTTTTAAGTATGATTCTTTTAATTAAACTATAATGAGCTCCTTTGATGTTACTTTATCACAGTATAATACTGTGTGTGTGTGTGTGTGTATGTGTGTGTGTGTTCCTTCTAGCAAGCTGTGAACTCCCCTGAAGGAGAATCTACATCAAATTTGTAATCCCAATGGCTGGCAACTTGGGTCTCTCAGATTATCCATTTAATGCCTCTGTTTTATAAGCAAGGCAGGACCTTGAGCCAGGTGCTTCTGTAAAGCTTGAATGAACAGAATAAAGCAGGAGGTGTCTGTGTGTGGCCATTAAACCTTTCCTCATTGCTCAAAAATGACACTCAAAATAGGACATTTTCTTCTTGTCCCAGGCCAGAGGCCACACTGAGTAGAAGGGCTTTCCTCTCCCTTGGTCAATGGAATAAATGAATAATTGGTAATGTAACTGACTAAATCTCATTCTGGTACTGGGTACAGGAAAAGAGAGTGAGAAATGTAATTTCAAATGCAGAGTATCACCTGATAGCCCTGTGTAGAGGAAGAGGAAGATAATTTGGTCTAGAAGATGCCATCAAGGTGAGAATCAAGGAAAAGTAGATGGTATAGATCTTATTACATCTGGACAAGAATATTTTCTTCCCAATGATTTTAAGCCATTAAATGGACAAACATTATTGTGTAATCTGATAATTATTTAGCAATTAAATAAACAAAAACAAGAAAAATATAGTGACAACAGGAAACTGGGGCAGTATATAAGAGGCTCAAGGAGACTTCTAAACTCCAGAACCTCATTCTCCTGGGAACCCACCCAGAACCTCCACCCTCTGACGCCATGGTCAGCTCCTGCTGTGGCTCTGTCTGCTCTGACCAGAGCTGTGGTCAAGGTCTCGGCCAGGAGAGCTGCTGCCGCCCCAGCTGCTGCCAGACCACCTGCTGCAGGACCACCTGCTGCCGCCCCAGCTGCTGCATTTCCAGTTGCTGCAGGCCTTCCTGCTGTATCTCCAGCTGCTGCAAACCCAGCTGCTGCCTGACCACCTGCTGCAGGACCACCTGCTGCCGCCCCAGCTGCTGCATTTCCAGTTGCTGCAGGCCTTCCTGCTGTATCTCCAGCTGCTGCAAACCCAGCTGCTGCAGGACCACCTGCTGCCGCCCCAGCTGCTGCATTTCCAGTTGCTGCAGGCCTTCCTGCTGTATCTCCAGCTGCTGCAAACCCAGCTGCTGCAGGACCACCTGCTGCCGCCCCAGCTGCTGCATTTCTAGTTGCTGCAGGCCTTCCTGCTGTATCTCTAGCTGTTGCAAACCCAGCTGCTGCCAGACCACCTGCTGCCGCCCCAGCTGCTGTATCTCCAGCTGCTACAGGCCCCAGTGCTGCCAGCCCTCCTGCTGCCGCCCGGCTTGCTGCATTTCTAGTTGCTGTCATCCCAGCTGCTGTGTGTCCAGCTGCCGCTGCCCTTTCAGCTGCCCGACCACCTGCTGTAGAACAACCTGCTTCCACCCCATCTGCTGCGGCAGTTCTTGCTGCTGAGTGAAGCTGCTCTGGATTTGTGCACCTTCTTGCTCTCAACCTTCAGTTCAGGCACAGAGTATCTATTCAGAGAACATGTGGACTTCCTGATGTCGTGAAAACAGAGGCATGGACTGATTTGGAAAATATTTTATTAGTATGTATTCTCTTTTATAGAAGTTTTTATTCCTATTGAATCTGAATTTACAGTCAAATTCCACATCACATGTTTTAGAATTCTTTATTCTAATTCAATATACATAAATCTTCAAATGGTATCCTTCTAGATGTTTCTTCCTAATGTTTTCTGTGGTATCAATTTTCATGTGGAATTGTTTGATGTTCCTCAATAAAACTTCATAGTGTTCAAAAGCACCAAAAATGCTCATCTCTTTTCATTTGTTATAATATAATGGTATATGTATATTTCTGTCTATTTTCTGCACCACACAAGAAGAGTACATGTTGTCAAACACCCTAATAATTAAAACATTAAATTGGCATTCTCCAATTAGATTTTATCCAAGCCAGAATTCAGTCTCATAGTAGAAACAGGAGAAGAATTTAAGAGACATTTTTGAACCTAACACATATAACATGAAAGCTGTGGAATATAACTGCCAGCACAAAAAAACTGTCTTCAATAAGCTGCATCCCATGATGTGATTTAAACTAATTTAAACAGAAGCAGCTCAATGTAGAGTATATTCTGTGGACTTGAGAATTATACAGAGTTGAGGCTGAATTCTGACTGTACTGCATGCCACCTATGATCTTAGACATGGCATTTAAACTCTGTCAACCTAGGATTACTTTTCTCTTAAGAAGGGATCATAATAACTCAAAAACACATGAAGGTAATCATAAAATGTCAATGAGATAAAGGTGCCTGGTTGACAAATAAAAGCATGCTCTCTCATCATCACTGGCCATCAGAGAAATGCAAATCAAAACCACAATGAGATGCCATCTCACACCAGTTAGAATGGCAATCATTAAAAAGTCAGGAAACAACAGGTGCTGGAGAGGATGTGGAGAAATAGGAACACTTTTACACTGTTGGTGGGACTGTAAACTAGTTCAACCATTGTGGAAGTCAGTGTGGCGATTCCTCAGGGATCTAGAACTGGAAATACCATTTGACCCAGCCATCCCATTACTGGGTATATACCCAAAGGAGTATAAATCATGTTGCTATAAAGACACATGCACACTCATGTTTATTGTGGCACTATTCACAATAGCAAAGACTTGGAACCAACCCAAATGTCCAACAATGATAGACTGGATTAAGAAAATGTGGCACATATACACCATGGAATACTATGCGGCCATAAAAAATGATGAGTTCATGTCCTTTGTAGGGACATGGATGAAATTGGAAATCATCATTCTCAGTAAACTATCGCAAGAACAAAAAACCAAACACTGCATGTTCTCACTCATAGGTGGGAATTGAACAATGAGATCACATGGACACAGGTAGGGGAATATCACACCTGGGGACTGTTGTGGGGTGGGGGGAGGGGGGAGGGATAGCATTGGGAGATATACCTAACGCTAGATGACGAGTTAGTGGGTGCAGCGCACCAGCATGGCACATGTATACATATGTAACTAACCTGCACAATGTGCACATGTACCCTAAAACTTAAAGTATAATAAAAAAAAAAGAAAACTAACAATTTAGAGTTGAAATATAAATCACTAAGCATATCCTCTAAAAGTTGTTTAACCAAGTGAAGATATGTACAATACCATGTACTAAGTTGCTATCATATATTTTCAAGTGAGGTGCAACTAGTATTAGTTTGTCATAGCCAAATAGCTAAACTACAATAATAATTATTAGCTAAGGGATTACTCCAATATAACTTTTAAAAAGTTTTCTCACTATATTCATGGGTTAGCCACTATTCCATATTATCTTGTAAGCCACAGTATGTTCGTTATAACCCAAACCTACTGTGACTTGTTAACTGTTAAAAAATAATTACTATATAATTCTTTGTATAAGCTGGGGGGTAATTGAATGATTAAAAAATTAATAAGAAATAGGCTATTTCAAAAAATGGAAATTTTTTTGTTATTAATTATTAATCAATGCAGAAAATACAATTTTCCATGAAGAAAATATTAGCAAAAACTTCTAGCTGAATAGCAGAAAGAATTTGGAATTTAAGTTTGGAAGGCGTATCAAGGATATGTTCATAATGGGATACAGTTGCATATTCTTAATTGCTTATTTTGCATGCTTTGATGAATATTGAATACTATTATCCATGTAACATAAATATTTAATTCCCTTCATAGTTCTGAAATGGAATTCAGGGCACTTAAAAAATCCCATTAACTAGAGTAAAAATAATTGTGTATTAAAATTATTGTAAGAAGGAGAACAAATCAAGAAAAAGATTTATAAAAATATGTGAAAATGCCTGACTTGCATGCAAATTACATGGAGGGAAAAGAAATGAATGCTTGCTGTGAACTTACCCTTTGGATCATTTTTAAGTTTAGCTCATTTATAAAAATAAATATTTCAGTACCCGATTTTTTTCCCAATTTACATTGCTTGTAGAAATATAGTTGGTGAATTGCATAAGATTCGGACTACTAAGAACTCAACAAGAACATAAATGCAGAGCCCCACCTTATTGTCTCCGAGTTTTACAGAAAGTATTTTAAACAAAAGTCTTATGAACTACTCAATAAGATAAGGAAAATAAAGTACATGTATAACTATTGGAAAAATGATGACAGAGTGTATGATATGCCTGATGTGTGTTTCTAATTGAAAGATAAAAGTTATTTAAAACACTGTAAATGCTCACAAACTGGCCAATTACCCAATCTTAAAAAGAATAATCTCTGAATTTTCCTATATACATATCCACACATCGAAAAAAAAATCCCATGTAGTTAAACATAGACACATGAAAAATAAGAATAAATATATGAAAATATCCAAAAAAAAAGCATGCTGTCTTTTACTACCAATTAGCCTCTTTTTTTTTTACTTTTGTAAATAACGATAGATTTTGAAATAACTATAGATTAACATGAAGTTGAATAAGACAAAGTTCCCTGTACCCTTCACTCAGTTTCCCTCAGTGGTTGCTTCTCATAGGATCATAGTACATGTCAAATCCCAAAATCTGACATTGGTACTAAATTCTAGGGATCTAGTAACTAGCATGGTGATTATAGTTAATAATACTGTATTGAGTACTTGAAATTTTCTGAAAAAGTAGATCTTAATTGTTCTCATTACACACACAGGAAACAATAACTACGTGAGGTGATAGGTATTAACTAACTTGGTTGTGATAATCATCTCACAATATATACATATCAAGGCATCATGTTGTACCCTTGATATACATAAAATTTTATTTGCCAACTCTACCTCAATAAAGCTGGGGAAAAATGAAAGTGCTGAAGTACTAGAAGAAATCGTGAGAGATTTCTAAACATAATGCAAATTTACATTAAGCAAAACACACACGCTGACCTTACAAAGAAAAAAAATAGTCAATTCATGTAAATAAAAGTGATCTCCACTGAGTCATCGGTAGGTACCAGTCATCAGGGTTCTTCAAGGATGTGATTCTTTTCCCATAATTCAAGTTCTCGAGGAAATCTTAGAGTTGTTCTCATACACCATAAACGGGCTCACCAGGGTTTTAACCCCGTAACAGCTTGGAACCTGCTTCTGTTCATTCTGACTGAGGACAAAGGCTCAGGACCTCAATACGATGCTGTGTCTGGGTGCATCAGAGCCAGTGCAGACTCAGAACACCAGCCAGTGCTGAAGCAGGGGCCCACTCAGGAGCCAGATTGTTATCATCCTGGTTGTGTAAGCCTGGAAATCAGGACCAGGGCAGCAGTAGAAACTGGTTAACAGTATAACATTATATTCCACTTATTAGACTTACATGGACCTGAGTGCAGAGAGGGAAGCTCAAAGTAATTTCATCCAATTCCCTCCATCTGGCTCTTGCATGTGCCTCAGTCAGAAACACCAGCTCACACTGAAACCCCCTCCCCTGATTATCTCTAGAGGCAGCCATTTCATAAAGCACCTTCCTCATGTTGTGTCAGATTTTGTTTCTCCCTAGGAACATCCTATCTTCCCTATCCTATATCAGCCCATGGCAGCCATCTGAGGAAGTCCATTCTCATACAGAGCCCCTTCAGGCTGCACTGCCATTGCTTTGTTCCACTTTTCTCCTTTTTAGGTTACATTTCCAAAGTGTTTCCATTTGTTCCTCATTGATCATAATGCCACCCTCACAGCAACTTTGCTTTTCATAAACCCCAATTTATCTTTATCCTTCTAGCCTGGATTGAAATGCATTTTCCAGATGTGTTCTGAACACTCTTGGAGGATTAGAAATGCCTCATCTACCTTAGTAAATGTTCCACTTTCATGAATGTTTCAAGTTTGCATGCAGGAGTTAACACAGTGTTAGTGGCAGTAAGTGGTTGGCAGTAAGTGTGAACTAATACTGAGGTTACTAAAGTGTGACACACCTAAGTAATCCTCATCATAAACTGCTTCAAGGTCTTCTTATACACATACAGTGGTTGTTTCTAGACGAGAAGTTCTCAACCTGCCTTTCTACTGCATGCCTGCAGTAATAGAGCTCATTGTGGTGATCCAGGTTGAGTACCCCATATCTGAAATGCTTGGCACCAGAAGTGTTTCAAATGTCAAGTTTTTTCAGAGTTGGAATATTCGCATTATACTTGTTGAGCATCCCTAATGCAAAAACATGAAATCCTAAATGTTCTATTGGGCATTTTCTTTGAGCATCATATAGGTACTCAAAAAGGTTTGGGTTTTGGAGAATTTCAGATTTCAGATTTTCAGATAAGATGTCCTCAACTTGTAATATTCTATCTGGTGAAGGGATGCTAAGAGGGGACACAACCTTAGGGTGTGTGTATAGTTAAATAAATACTCCCAGTAAATTTAGATATATTCACTCCTCCCCAATCTCGTTTGCCATGCTGCATTAATAACCACTCATTTGATCTACAATTGGTTCTGATATTTCATCTTGTTAGGTTTGATTCCTCGTGAGAGTATTTCTGTAGTTTTGGAAACATGGTTCTGCCATTTGGCATATTCACTTTTTCTTACCTTCATGGCCCCCAAATATTTAGATGAGCATGTTTTATGGAAAGACCCTCAGCAGAGTTGGGGTGTCCATAGTATCCTCAGAGAGACCAGTCCAAACAGAAATTGCTAACCCAAGAGCATCCCAAAGTGGAGGGTGGCACAAAGACAGGAAGTTTCTGCCTTCTTCCTTGGGTTTCTTTAACATCCAGGTTTGGGGGAGTGTGTGTGTGTGTGTGTTTGAGTGTGTGTGTGTGTGTGTGTGCATAATATTCCTAAGGTAAAGGGCCTTAGGAGATAAAGGTAAATACATATATATATAAATATATATATTTCTAAATATGTTATTGTATATATTATATATATATTTATACATACTATTAAATACAAACATATATGAAGAATATATATTATATATTCATAAATATGTAAATATATATATTCCTATATTACCTATATATAAGGTTCTCTATCTACCCATCTATATATGTATAATATATATATATATTCCTAAGGTCCTTTGGCGGAATATATATATTCCCCCAAACCTGTGTGTGTGTGTGTGTATATATATATATACATATACATCAAAAGAAAATTATGGGCCTAGAAGAATTAAAATCACCCAAGGTCAGACATAATGTGTGTGTATGTGTGCGTGTGTGTGTGTGTATATATATATATATATATATACACACACACACACGCACACATACACACACATACATACACACACATATATGTGTGTGTATGTGTGTATATTTATATATAGTGTGCATATTTATATATAGTGTGTATATTTATATATAGTGTGTATATACGTGTGTGTGTATACTATATATAGTATATATATGTATATATATAATATATATTATATATATATATATTATATATATATAGCAAGGACACTGGGTCCTTTACCTTAGGTTGGCAAGTAAACCTTAGAAATAGAGGAGATGACTCAATGTGATTGTTAAAGCCAGAGAGACAGGAAGGAAAAGTCAGAAGGAAAATCAGCCCCTCAGAGCAGAGAGCGGAGGGACCTGAACCTTTTAGTATAGCTGATCTCTGTAGCCAATTTCCCCTAAAGGCCCTGAAACTGAGTTTTGGAGTGTTGTTTCTCAAGAAAAAGAAGCATCGATAATTCATGACTTAGATGTCCACCTTAAAACAATTCTGCTTTCCCCAGTAGAACATCTAGAAAATGGGTCATGATTCATTGTATGGAAGGTGGCAAGGAATATATCCTAATAGTATTTGTTTTCATGCCACTGGTCACCTGTTTCACATTCAAACCTTCATTGCTCACTTGATCTATAACAAACATGCCATGAGATTAAAGCACAGCTTTCTCCTCCTGAGTCACCAAAAGAAAATTACGGGCCTAGAAGAATTAAAATCACCCAAGGTCAGACATAATGTATTAAGGAAAATGAGGCTGCAGCACATGGTACCTGCAGGCAGATGTCACATGGCAGCTCAAGGAGGAAGCTGCAGCAAGAGGCACACAAGAGGTTGTTCAAGAAGAGCTGACCTGAAGAATCCTAACACACCAGGGGAAGGAAATAATGCTTTTCTCCATGTTGACAAATTTAAGCAGAAAAACAAACTTGCCTAATTTGATAATTGCCTGCTCATCAGAACAAACAATGACAAGGAAAGAGTGCTGCATCCGATGACATCAGCCCTGAGCAGGGTATAAAAGAGGATCTGGGGCAAGGAGACTTCCAAGCCTTCCAAACCCTCCTTCCTGGAAACCCACCCAGAACCTCCACCCTCTGACACCATGGTCAACTCCTGTTGTGGCTCTGTGTGCTCTGACCAGGGCTGTGGCCTAGAGAACTGCTGCCGTCCCAGCTACTGCCAGACCACCTGCTGCAGGACCACCTGCTGCCGCCCCAGCTGCTGTGTGTCCAGCTGCTGCAGACCCCAGTGCTGCCAGACCACCTGCTGCAGGACCACCTGCTGCCACCCCAGCTGCTGTGTGTCCAGCTGCTGCAGACCCCAGTGCTGCCAGTCTGTGTGCTGCCAGCCCACCTGCTGCAGACCCCAATGCTGCCAGACTACCTGCTGTAGGACCACCTGCTGCCGCCCCAGCTGCTGCAGGCCCCAGTGCTGCCAGTCTGTGTGCTGCCAGCCCACCTGCTGCTGCCCCAGCTACTGTGTGTCCAGCTGCTGCAGACCCCAGTGCTGCCAGACCACCTGCTGCAGAACCACCTGCTGCCGCCCCAGCTGCTGTGTGTCCAGGTGCTACAGGCCCCATTGTGGCCAGTCTCTATGCTGCTAGCCCATCTGCTGGCAAACCACCTGCTACAGGACCACCTGCTGCCACCCCAGCTATTGCATTTCCAGCTGCTGCCAGCCTTCCTGCAGTATCTCTAGCAGCAGTAGCTCCTCCTGCTGTGGCTTCAGCTGCTGCAGGCTCTCCTGCTGCATCTCCAGTTGCTGCCGCCCCAACTGCTGCCAGACCATGTGCTGCCGCCCAACCTGCTCTAGTGCTTCTTGCTGCTGAGGCTGTCATCTGGACTCACCAGATTCTCATCAACCAGCATTCTTGATGTAGCTCATCTATGAGCTGAGTTATGGGAAGCTAGTTGGAAAACTTCAGTTCCAACCAATTCTTAGATTGAATCTGGCCTCCAAATATATGCTCCCCCCACATTTTACCTCTCTACCAAATGAACATAAGTTGTAATTTGCTCTGAAATCTGTCAACTATCTTAATTGAAATATTTGCTCTCTGCCATAATTTCTCATATGGAGCTATTCCATTTTAAACAAATATTTATCTAAATAAATCTTAAATAAATTTTCAGGCATAGAAATATACAGATACTGTGTCTCATTATTTTTCTTTTTTGAGTGTGGTCAATTACCAGTCAATTTTTCTGTTGTTCTTCTCTGCAGAATGTAATTTCAGGGGCACCACCTCTATTTCCTCAGCACACTTTATTCTAATATACAATGGTGGTTTCTTAGAGCAAGCACCTGGAACTCTCTTCTTGAAGAGTTTCTCTAGCCAAGGAGCAAGCTCTGGACTGTAGAGTTAAAGCCTCTTGGAATAGTATTCAACAAATGAGTGAGAGTTGGTGAACACATGCTTTAGTTATTTCTCCTCCAGTTGGGAGCATGTTGTACCAGCATGTCAGTGGTCCTCAGAGACACCAAATTCCAGCTACCTACAGGGCTATTCTGATCATTAACTCATCTTGTATTCACTTCCCTCCCTTTCCTGGAGCATTTTTCGTGTTCCATACAGCACTTCTTGGGACCACCTCCCAAATATACTCCTGGGTCGGCTCCAGTGGGGACCCAATCTAAGACACCAGTGTTCCTAACCTCAGTATTAGTGCCCTTCAAAACATTTTTCCTTTTTTATTGATATGTAGCAGATGCGCATATAAAATTTTGATACATCCATATAATTTGTAAAGATCCAATCAGGGTAATTGGATTATCCATCACAGTTTATCTTTTCTTTATGCTAGGAACATCTGAATTATTCTTTTGTAGCTACTTTGGAATGTTTAATAGATCATTGTTAACTATAGTCATCCTACAGTTATATTGAATACTAGGTCATATTTTTATCTCTAACTTATATTTGTACACGTCAATCCACCTCTTCATTTCCCACAGGCACCCTCCTCTGACTCTGATAACCAGCAATCTATTCTTTATCTTCATGAGTTCCATTCCATTAGCAATTTGTCTTTCTGTGCTTGGCCTATTTCACGTAACATAATTAAATCATTTTTATACAATATCAGTGGTTACCCTGGTGTCACGGTCAACTCTTGAGTATACTGTCTAGTAAATAGGTAAATGTTCTAAATAAATATTTTTCTTATCCTTCTTCCTCCTCCTCCTCTTCCTCCTCCTCCTCCTCCTCCTCCTCCTCTTCTTCTTCTTCTTCTTCTTCTTCTTCTTCTTCTTCTTCTTCTTCTTCTTCTTCTTCTTCTTCTTCCTCTTCTTCTTTTTCTTCTTCTCAGTTTTGGCACAGTTATCTCTGGACTAGTTGTCTTTATCTCTCTCTCTCTCTTTTTTTTTTTTTTTTTTTTTGAGATAGAGTCTTGCTATGTCACCCAGGCTGGAGGCCAGTGGTGCCATCTCAGCTCACTGCAACCTCCACCTCCCAGGTTCAAGTGATTTTCCCACCTCAGCCCCTCAAGTAGCTGGAATTACAGGTATGTGCCATCACGTCCAGCTAATTTTTGTATTTTTAGTAGACACGGGGTTTCACCATGTTGGCCAGGCTGGCCTCGAACTCCTGACCTCAAGTGATCCATCTGCCTCAGCCTCCAAAAGTGCTGGGATTACAGGCATGAGCCATCACACCCAGTCTTCAATCTCTTTTTCTTCCACATTATTATATCTGAAGGATAAGGCAGAATTGCCATGCTAGTAACTTTTATTCTAAAAGAAACTGTGTTTAAGAGGTGTGCTAAGTTGGATTCACTCAAAATAGAACCGAAAACAAGGATTCTTGGATAAGTGATTTATAAGAAAATGCTCTCAGGAGAAATCAGTAAGAAACTGGGAAGCAGAATAGAGGAGTTTAAAAACCTAAGGCAGAACATGATTTTTATTGAATTATTTTCTCTTCTGACCCCATAGGAAGCTCTAGAGTGTGATTAGTATCACAGACCCATCTTTCTGAGAGGCAAGGTGGTTGGAATTTTGCACTCAGACATCAGTTACCACTAGCTATGGGTCAACCTGTGGGAGAGGAAGAAGATTCATAGATGGTCCAATCCTCCAGATGAGGTATCAATTAGGTAAACATAAAAAAAAATGAACTTCTAAAATGACAACAAAACAATGAGTTTAAAGAGAAAAAAGTGTATAAAAGAAAAAATACAGCTGTTCTGTGTAATAAAAGAGGTATCATTTAGGTAGACTTGAGACAATCTGTGTGTATGGTTCTCTTTCACTGTTTATTATTAATAAATTGGCCTATGCATATTTCTGTCTCTTTTTCTGCACAACCCGAGAGTACATGTTATCAGGGGATCATACAATTGAAAAATTAAATTGATATTCTCTAATGAGATTTTTAATCAAAACTAGGATTCTGTCTCACAGCAGAAATAGGAAAATGTATCAAAGGAGGCATATTTGAACCTAATACATCTAACATAAGAGCTATGAATTGCAACAGCCACCGAAATAGAAAGTCGTCAATAAACTGCATCCCATGAAGTGATTTAAACTTATTTAAAGGGAGGGATTTAAACTGATAAGGAAGCTCTATATACAGTATAGACTGTGCACTTGGGAATTAGAGAGAGTTGGGGCTGAATTCTGACTGTACTACATACCAGGTATGTTCTTGTACATGTTAACTATCTCAGCCTAGGGTTGCTTTTCTTTAAGGAAATGATCACAATAGCCACAAAATATAGTAAGGATGTCGTAAATATTCAATGAGATTGGCAAGTAAAAGCATGCTCCCCTTTTTTTCCCAATAATCCTCATATATATATTTTTAACTTTTTATTTAGAAATAACTATAAATTCACAGAAAGTAGAAAAAAAAGTACAGCAAAGTCCTATGCACCCTTCACCCAGTTTTCCCCAGTCGTCACGTATTCCATCACTAGAGTACATGTCAAACCCCACAAACTGACATTGGTAAAATCCACAAAACTTGTTCTAGTTTTATCAGTTTTACATGCACTTATGAGTATGTGTATGTGTATGTGTATGTCTGTGTATGTTTGTGTGTAAATGTATGGATAACTTAGAAGGAATGGATGAATTCCTAGAAACATAATACCTACCGAGACTGAAACATGAAGAATAGAAAATCTGAGGAGTCCAATAATGAATAAGAAGATTAAAGTAGCAATAACAAACCTCCCAGCAAAGAATAGCCCAATACCAGATAGCTTCACATGTGAATTCTAACAAGCATCTGAAGAAGGATTAATGCCAATCCTTATCAAACTCTTCCACAAAAAGTGAAGAGGAGGGAACATTTCCAACATCTGTTTATAATGACAGCATTACTCTTTACCAAAGCCAGATAAGGACACTACAAGAAAAGAAAATTATAGGCCAATATACTTTATAAACATAGGTGCAAAAATACAAAATACTCAACAGGATACCAGGAAACCTTATTCAACAACATATTAAAAAGATCATTCACCGTGATCAAGTGAGATTCACTCAGGGGATGCAAGGTTAGGCCAACACACATAAATCAATAAACATGATACGTCACATTAATAGAATGAAGGATGAAAAGCATATGATCACTTAAGTAGATGCAAAAAAAAGCATTTTTAAAAATTCAGAATATTTTTATGAAAAAACTCACAGCAAATTAGGTATAGAGGGAATGTACCTCAACATAGTCAAGGTCACATATGACAAACCCATAGCTGACATCACACTGAATAGGGAAAAACTGAAAGCATTCTCCCTAAGAACTGGAACAAGACTAGGATGACAACTTGTACCACTCCTATTCAACATAGTACTGGAAGCCCTAGCCAGAGCAATCAAGCAAGAGAAAGAGATAAACAGTACTCAAATTTGAAAACAGAAAGGCAAATTATTTCTGTTTGCTGAATGAAATTGGATCCATTTCTCTCACCATGTACAAAAATCAACTCAAGATAAATCAAAGACTTACATGTAAAATATGAAACTATAAAAATACCAGAAGAAAACCTAGGAAATACTCTTCTAGACCTTGATCTAGCCAAAGAATTCATGACTAAGATCTCAAAAGCACAGGCAACAAAAGCAAAAATTGGCAGACAGGACTTATTTAAACTAAAAAGCTTCACACAGCAAAAGATGACATGATCTTATATCTAGAAAACCCTAAAGGCTCCACCAAAAAACTCTTGGATTTGATAAGCAAATTCAGTAAAGTTTCAGAATATGAAATCAACAAGCAAAAATCAGTAGCATTTGCATACACCAATAATGATCCAGCTGAATACCAAATCAAGAATGCAATCTCATTTACAATAGTTATAAAAATACTTAAGAATATATTTATCGAATGAGGTGAAAGATACCTGCAAGGAAAACTACAAAACACTGACAAAAGAAATTGTAGATAACACAAACAAATGGGAAACATCTCATTCTCACGGATCAGAAGAATTAATGCTGTTAAAATGACCATACTGCCCAAAGCAGTCTACAGACTCAGTGCAATTCCTACTGAAATACTAATGTCATTTTTAATGGAATTAGGGAAAAAAATCCTAAAATTGATAAGGAAGTGAAAAAGAGCCCAAGTAGCTAAAGCAATCCGAAAGGGGGGTGGGGAAGCTGGAGGCATTACGTTATCCATTCTCAAATTATATTAAAAGGCTATAGTAACCAAAACAACATGGTTTGGGGTTAAAAATAGACACATAGATCAGTGGAACAGAATAGAGAACCCAGAAGTGTAGCCACATACTTACAGCAAACTGATTTTTGACAAAGTTGATAAGAACATACACGGGAAAGGAAATCCTATTCAATAAATAAATGATGCTGGGTACATTGGATTGCCTTTGCAAAAGAATGAAACCAGATCCCTATCTCTCGCTATGTACAAAAATCAACTCAAGATGCATTAAAGGCTTAAATGTAAGACATGAAGCTATAAAAATAATAGAAGAGGCCGGGAGCGGTGGCTCATGCCTGTAATCCCAGCACTTTGGGAGGCTGAGGCGGGTGGATTGCTTGAGGTCAGGAGTTCAAGACCATCCTGACCAACATGGTGAAACCCTGACTCTACTAAAAATACAAAAATTAGCCAGGCATGGTCATGGGTGCTTGTAATCCCAGCTACTCCAGAGGCTAAGGCAGGAGAATCGCTTGAACCTGGGAGGCAGAGGTTGCAGTGAGCCGAGATCAAGCCATTGCACTCCAGCCTGGGTGACAGAGCGAGACTCCGTCTAAAAAAAAGAAAGAACGAACGAACGAAAGAAAGAAAGAAACCAGAAGAAAGCCTAGGGAAAACTCTTCTGGACATTGGTCTAGCCAAAAACTCATGACTATGCCCTCTAAAGCACAGGCAACAAAACAGAAAATAGGCAAATAAGATTTATCTAAACTAAAAAGTTTCTGCACTGTAAGAATTAAACAAAAAGGAAAGAAACATGAAAGATGGCTTGCCAGTTAAGACAGGTTTATTTTAGAGAAAACAAACCTAAGAGTGGCATTTGGCTGAGTTAGGTTGGAGGCACACTTTTTACAGACTAAGAGTTTTTAAGGATTCAGGGTGGGAGAGTTTTTTAGAGGCTTGGACTGCTTCTGTGTCTCTTTGTTGTGCTTATCTGGGAGGGAGAGTTGTGTGTCTATTCCCTTGCAGGCATAGCCCGAGTCTGCTTTTAACTTCCCTATCTTAGTGCACATGAAGGGAAAGGAAAGTGCTTATTAAGGCCCACTCTTTTACTGGGGCCCATTGTACGAGGGTGAAGTTTGGCAGTTACCCAAGAGACTTTCCCCCTGCTTCCCTCTGTGCCAGAGCTATCTTATCTGTGTTTTACTGTCTGCTGTTTCTGGCTGCTTGTAGTTAGAAGAGAAGTGATTTCCTTGAAATGCATGAGGCTAGAAAGGGAGCTGCAACTTCAAGTGGCAGTGTTTGTCCAAGATGATGGTGCTCCTGGTCTGTCATGCACAGCAAAAGACATAATCAATGGAGTGAACAGGCAACCTGCAGAATGGGAGAAAATATCTGCAAACTATCCATCCAACAGGGGATTAATATCCAGAATTTAAGAGGAACTCTACCAACAAAAACATTGCAAATAATTCCATTAAAAAGGGGAAAAGGACATGAACAGACATTTTTCAAAAGATGACATACAAATGGCCAATAAGCATTTGAAATAATGCTTATCATCACTAATCATTAAACAAATGCAAATTAAAACCACCATGAGAGATCATCTTATACCAGTAAGAATGGCTGCTATCAAAAAGACAGAAATAACAAATGTTGATGAAGATGGAGCTGAAAGGGAACACATAAACAGTTGTTGAGAATGTAAATTAGTACAACCGCTATGGAAAACAGTATGGAGATTTCTCAAAGAACTAAAACTAGAACTACCATTTGATCCAGCAATCCCATGACTGAGTGTCTACCTGAAGGAAAAGAAATCATTATACCAAAAATATACCTGCACACATATGTTTATTGCACCACTATTTATAGTAGCAAACATATGGAATCAACCTAAATGTCCATCAGTGGATGACTGGATAAAGAAAATGTGCTATATATAAACAATGGAATACTCTTCAGCCATAAAACATAATGAAACCATGTCTTTTGCAGAAACATGGATGGAACCGGAGGCCATTATCTTAAGTGAAACAACTCAGACATAGAAAGACAAATACTGCATGTTCTCAGTTACAGTGGGGCCAAATGATGCGTACACATGGAGGTAGAGTGTGGAATGACAGACAATGGAGAGTCTGAAGGGCAGGGGTGTAGGAGGGGGAAGGATGATGAGAAATTACTTGATGGGTAGAATGCACGTTATTTCAGTGATGGATACTCTAAATGTCCTGACTCGACCATTATGCAATATATCCATGTAACAAAATTATACATTTACACGAATAAAATATTTTAAAAATATCTGAATTGGAAAGGAAGAAGTTACATTGTTTCTATTTGCAGATGACATGATCTTATATGTAGAAAACCCTAAAGACTTCACTGAGAAACTGTGAGAACTAATAAACAAATTCAGTAAGGTTGCAGAGTATAAAATCAACATGCAAAACCCAGTAGGTTTTCTATACACTAATAGCAAACCATCTGAAAAAGAAATCAAGAAAACTATTTCATTTACAATAGTTACAATAAAATAAAATACTTAGGAACAAGTTTAACCAAGGAAGTGAGGATATCTACACTGAAAACTGTAAAACACAGATGAAAGAAATTGATGAAAACACAAATAAATGGAATGATATCCTGTGTTTATTCCAATATTGTCCAAATATTATTAAAGCAATCTACAGATCTCACACAATCCCTATAAATATACCAATGACATTCTTCACAGAAATATTTTTAAAAAGTTCTAAAATTTGTATAGAACCACAAAAAACCAAAGTGATCTTGGACACTAAGAATATAGCTAGAAGCACCACACTCCCTGACTTCAAAATAAACCACAACACTGCAGTAACCAAAATACCATCATTCTGACATAAAAACAGACACACAGACCAATGGAATGGAATAGAGAGACCAGAAATAAAGTCACTCATTTATAACCAATTGATTTTCAACAAAGATGCCAAGAATGGGGGAAGGACAGTTTCTTCAATAAATTATGTTAGGAAAACTGGGTATCCACATGCAGAAGAATGAAATTAGTCCCTTATTTCTTACAGTATGCAAAAATCAGTTCAAATGGGTTAATGGCTTGAATGTAAGATCAGAGGCTATGAAATTTTTGGAAGAAAGCATGGGGGAAAGATTCATGACATTGGTCTCGGCAATGACTTTTTGAATATGACCTCAAAAGCACAGGCGACGAAAGAAAAATTGGATGACTGAGATTACATCAAACTAAAAAGCTTCCACACAGCAAAGGAAACCACAAAAAGAGTCAAGAGATAACCTACAGAATGGGAGAAAATATTTATAAAGTATATATCTCATAAGGGGTTAACATCCAAAATACAAAAGGAGCTCAAACAGCTCACAAGCAAGAAAACAAAAACCTGATTAAAAATGGGCAAAAGACCTGACTAGACATTTCTCAAAAGAAGACATACAAATGGCTAACAGGTTTGTGAAAAAGTACTCAACATTACTAATCATTAGGGAAATACAAATCGAAACCACATTGAGATATCACCTTATTCCTGTTAGAATGGTTATCATCAAAAAGACAAAAGATGACAAGTATTGGCAAGGATGTGAAAAAAACTCCCTCGTACACTGTTGGTGGGAATATAAATTAGTTCAGCCATTATGGAAAACAATATAAGGGTTCCTCAAAAAATTAAAACTGGAATTACCGTATTATCCAGCAATCCACTTCTGGGTACCTTATATATCTACAGGAAATGAACTTAGTATGTTGAAGAAATAACTGCATGTCCAGATTTATTGCAGCACTATTCACAATTGCCAAGATATGCACACAGTGCAAGTGTCCACCAATGAGTAAGGGGATAAAGAAAATGCAGTATATACTCAGTGCAATACTATTTGGCCGTAAAAAGACGGAAGTTCTGTCATTTGTGACAACATGGATACATCTCAAGGAAATTATGCTAAGTGAAGTAAATCAGTCATAGAAAGACAGATAGCACATGATCTCACTCACATGATCGCACTCAAAAAAGTTGATATCATAGAAGTAGAGCAGAGAATGAAGATAATCAGAGGCTAGGGGTGGCTAGGGAGTCAGGGGCTTGAGGAGATACTGGTCAAAAGACATATAATTGTAGCTAGACAGGAAGAATCAGTTCAAGAGGTCTACTGTATAGCATAGTGACTATAGTTAATGATGATATATTGTACATACTGTATTCTTGAAAAATTCTAAGAATGGATATTAAGCGTTCTCACCACAAAAAAATGATAGGTATGAGAGGTAATGCATTTATTAGCTAGATTTAATCCTTCCACAATGTATATATACTTCAAAATATTATGTTGTATGTGGTAAATACAATATTATACGTCAATCTGAAAAATAACTAATTGTTTTTAATTTCACTGAGCTTGAGTTCTTTCTATATTAAGCACATCATGCAAGACACAGTAGTGGGGGTAGATAGATTCTTAAAAGTATTATACAGGTGTTACACAGTGTTAGGGAGCCTGGGTGAAGTACAGACAGCCTCTCCTGGGACTGTTTGTTACAGCTGTATGTAAATCTACAATTATCTCAAATTTCTTTTTTAAAAAGTGAAAACACACACCTGCATTATGTTAACAGACAGTTAGAGGCATTTAAAAAAAACAATGAGTTATGGAATAAAAATGGGACTATGTCTTCCGGAATCTAATAGATTAACTGGAGAGACATGACACAAAATATAGGAGAGCAAAGTATCAATTTAAGAAACTGACCCATTAGTAACACCAAGTATAAAAATTTAAGGATATGGAATATGACCCAAAATTTGAAACATTCAGGGAAACCCATTTCAATAGTGTAGAGGTCACCAAGGCCACATGCAGGTATTGCTATCCCTTTGCTTATTGCTTAATAATGACCCACAGACTAGGAATGCCACACTGAGCAGATGGGTTTTCCTCGCTATTGGTCACTAGAGGGAATGCATAACTGGAAGTGTGACTGACCAAATCCCATTTTGGTAGAGGGTACCTGAAGCGAGAGTAAGAAATGCAATTCCAAATGCAGGGAATCACATGAACAGCCCTCTGTGGAGGAAGAGGAAGAGAACGTGGTCTAGAAGATGCTACCGAGGTGTGAATCATGAGAGAAGGCAGACATGATAGATCTTATTACATCCGGACAAGAAAATTTTGTTTTCAACAAGTTTAAACCATTAAATGGGCAAACATTATTGTGTAATCTGATAATCACTTAGTTATTAAGTAAACAAAAACAAGGAAAATGTAGTACCAACAAGACAGCTGGGCAGTATATAAGAGGCTGTGGCCCAAGGACACTTCCAAACTTGAGAACCTCATTCTTCTAGAAATCCACCCAGAACCTCCACCCTCTGACACCATGGTCAGCTCCTGTTGTGGCTCTGTCAGCTCTGAGCAGAGCTGTGGCCTGGAGAACTGCTGCCGCCCCAGCTGCTGCCAGACCACCTGCTGCAGGACCACCTGCTGCCGCCCCAGCTGCTGCAAGCCCCAGTGCTGCCAGTCTGTGTGCTACCAGCCCACCTGCTGCCACCCTAGCTGCTGCATCTCCAGCTGCTGCCGCCCCTATTGCTGTGAATCCAGCTGCTGCCGCCCCTGCTGCTGCCAGACCACCTGCTGCAGGACCACCTGCTGCAGGACCACCTGCTGCTGCCCCAGCTGCTGTGTGTCCAGCTGCTGCAGACCCCAGTGCTGCCAGTCTGTGTGCTGCCAGCCCACTTGCTGCCGTCCCAGCTGCTGCATCTCCAGCTGCTGCCACCCCTCTTGCTGTGAATCCAGCTGCTGCCGCCCCTGCTGCTGCGTGCGTCCAGTCTGTGGCCGAGTCTCCTGCCACACCACTTGCTATCGCCCAACCTGTGTCATCTCCACCTGCCCCCGCCCCTTGTGCTGTGCCTCCTCTTGCTGCTAATGTCTCCTTGTGATATTTGTCATACTATGAATGTCTTCATTAGTCATTTAAAATGCACTGTAGCCAGCCAGTCACTGGAAAAATGAACACTTCCCTGCCAGTTTGTCTCATGTGGCATTCAGAGTGGACATTCAGCTCTTCTAGGAAATGACAGACAATCACATTCATTAAAATATGTTATGCCAGGCCCCAATGCAGTTATTTTTAGATGAGCAGTGTCTTCATTCGAAGGGGACACTAACTGTGATGATCTCATATAATATTGTTTTCATGTATTAATAAACAGCCACTTCCCTAATATTGAAATCTTCTGATTTGTTAGTGATCTCATTGTGCGTGTGTGTGTGTGTGTGTGTGTGTCTTTACCTGTCAGTTCACATCAAGGGCCATCTCTCTTCAAATGCAGGAGAGCATGTTTAAGAGCCTGGGCTCTTGATTCATGTTCCCTGCATTGGAATCACGACTCCCCTAGGTATTTGTTGCGTGGCATGGGGCAAGTTTTTTAACCTCCTCAGGCCTCAGTTTTCTTTCTCTGTGAATAGAGATAATGCATTACATTCTTTAAATGTTAAGAGACATAACCCATGTAATATACTCACCACAGGGCCTGGTACATAATGCAGTATAGGCTCTTAATGGATACAGTTTCTGGCCGAGCGTGGTGGCTCACATTTGCAATCCCAGCACTTTGGGAGGCTGAGTGGGTGGAACACTTGAGGCCAGGAATTCGAGACCAGTGTGGGCAACATAGTGAAATCCCTTCTCTACTGAAAGTACAAAAATTAGTTGGGCGTGTTGGTGCACACCTGTAGTCCCAGCTACTTGGGAGGCTGAAGCAGGTGAATCACTTGAACCCAGGAGGAGGAGGTTGCAGTGAGCCGAGATCATGTCACTGCACTCCAGCCTGGGTGACAGAGCAACTCTGTCTCAATAAATAAATAAATAAATAAATAAATAAATAAATAAATAAATACAATTTCTGCTGTTACTATGATTGAAACAATACCCTGGGCTAGAATAATATCTTAGCATAATTTTCTTTTTGACAGAACAGCAAGAAAATTTGTATCATTGTTGCGCTGTCTTCTACAACTCAAAATTAAGTTTTGGTATATGCCTCAAGTGTCCCTTAAAAACTCCAGCAAGTTGAACATCATGAAGTCATCTACATTTTGTCTGACTGTATTTCTACTTCCAGTATGTTCCATTATTTGTTGTGGAAATTTTGAGTGTTTTCCCTAGCTCAAGTACTTTTTTCTTGTTTCCTTACTTCCCCCTCCCTCCCCTTCTAATCCCTTTACCTTCCCTCCACCTCCCCTCCCCTTGCCTGCCTACCTGCCTTCCTTCCTTCCTTCCTTCTTTCCTTCCTTCCTTCCTTCCTTCCTTCCTTCCTTCCTTCCTTCCTTCCTCCCTCACTCCTTCCTTCCTTCCTTCCTTTTTTCCTCTCTTAACATAAAATGATCTTTCAGAACACAGTCTACCTTCTAAGTCAAGATTTCGGGAAATTTATGACATCTGTGGCAGTTTTCTCATAAAAGTTTTACATCTTTTAATTAATAGATGCTCAAAGTCTTAGTATTTCCAGACTGAAACTCCTTTATAATTTTAGCCCCTAATGTTACTGAGGTTTTTTCATTTTCTTGATAGTTTTACTCCTTTGTTTTGGGCTTTAATCACCTTGCTTTGTCTTAAGAGAACATGGGTGGGACTTTTCCTTGAGACTCAGTTTTCTCATCATCAAAACTCAAACAAGTGTTATTCTATGTAGATGAAAAAATGTGTCACAATATGTGCAAAATATCTTATTTATATAAATATAAGGGTTTATATTTCAGCTAATAATCCAAAGTATATTAAAACTGCTTTAAATCCAAAATTTCTATAAATCAGAATTTTATTTATTAGCTGTGTTATATTTCCAAAGAAATGTAACTAAGAGCTAATTATTATTTCTGAAATGTAAAAATAAAGAAGTTTTAAGTTGTCAAGCGACTGCATGAATAGAAGTTAACATTACGTGGGCTTCACTCCAGCCTAAGTTAGGCGTTATGGTCTTAGCATATCATAAAAATGCCTTGCAGACACTTTCAGCTTCAGCCTTTTCCATTCACTCTAAATTATTCTACAGAGTACAGACTTGTCATTTCATACATCAGAATTAACAAACCTTTTATCCTCTCATATGTTTTTCTTTGACAACTGCTCATTACAGGATGCAGGCTTTGGTTTTAACATTATGCTTTATTAGCTAGAGTGAAATCAAAGACTATAGGTTTTATATGGTCTTTTCAGTATTAAAGTATATGAGGCTTGTAATTTCCTGTGTCCACAAGAACTGGGCCACAGCAGGAATGAGATGACACAGTGTATCTGCGTAATAAAGAGACTATTTGCAAAGGTGTAGCTAGAGTTCAGGGAAAGCAACAAGGGAAAGCTCAGTACCCAGGGCTCACAATAACAAGGAGCAGGTACCCCGGGTCTGAAGGCCTATGCAATAATTTGGGTGAAATGTCCCAAGGGTGGCATGCGAAACTTCTTAGAATAAGTATGCACAGACACTCAAGTACAGTCATTGGCTTTGGAGAGAGTTATGGTGCTCTGAAGGGTCCAAAGATGATATGGAAGACATTGTGGTGAAACCCAAGGTAGACATAAATTTATGAATGGGAAAGTGTGACTGCAGTTATTATTCTGTGGTCACATCAGCTTTATCTAAATGCACAGTAGAGATGGATTTTAAGTGAATGAAACATTGACTTAGTTGATGTTTCATTCACTTCAAAGTCTCTCAGTACTATTTGCCCATGCTAAATATATAGCTTTGGAATTGCTCAAGCCTTTCTAGCTAGTAAAACTAAGCAAGATAGAACTCCAGAAAGGCAACAATAGATGCCTGTTTTGATTAAAGAAGTAACTGAAATAAGAGTTTTAATTCCCATGAACTCCCTTATAACAGTCCCATCTGGCCAGTGAGTAAGGAAGAGGTTAATCAACAAGCTTGGTGATTAAACAAGTTGGTTCCACCAATTGTTTCAGCTGCACCACCTAAGTCAGAATTTTACAGGAAACTCAACAAACCTAGTAAGACTCATACGCCACTGCAGACTCAGCTAGTGTATTCTTTTCGATGCCAGTTTCAGAGCCCAGACAGGTGCAATTCACATTTTCATGGCAAGGAACGCAGTATACATATACAATTTTGCAACACAGATATATGAGTTCACTAGCATATTGCCATAACCTATCAAGGCAGACTTGAACTTGATAACCATTAGAAGCATGTTAATACCATACATTGATGACTGTGATACTAGCACATGAAAAATCATTAGTGAATTGAAAATCAAGTCCAGAAATAGACTAACGTACACAAAAGAATTTATTATATGAAAAGGTGGCACTTTAACTCAGTAATGGAAAGATGTATTATTTAATAAATGATGTTGAGCCTTGGTCACATCTGATTATAAAACATTTAAACCTCATATTTTTATCTGTATAAATTCCTAGTAGGTAAAATATTTTAAAATATAAAACATGAAACCTTGAAGTTAACAGAAATTATGGGATAATGCTTATGTAAATTTATAACTGGAAAGGCCTTTTAAAATATGACACATACCCAGGAGCTGTCAAAGAAAAAAATTCATAAATTTTACTGCATCAAAAGCAACATGAGGATAGAGAAAATTCCTTTCATATCTGATTTTGCAGAGAGGTTGTGTGTATAGTGATTAAAAACATGGACCCAGTGCTGGGCTGGCTGAAATAAAATTACATTTCCCCTGCTTACTGGCTTGAATCCCACCTGTGCCTTAAGTTTCTCATCTGTGAAGGGAGGATTATAATAGAATTTACCATACTGGATTGTTGGGACTAGTAATTGAGCGAATATATGTAAAACAGTAGAACAATTGCAAAACATGTCGTTTGTTATTTTGTTATTCCAGCATCCAGCAAAATTCTCAGTATACAATATTTAGAGAAGAAAGAAAAAGAAAGAAAGAAAGAAAAAAGAAGGAAGGAAGGAAGGAAGGAAAGAAAGAAAGGAAAGAAAGAAAGGAAGGAAGGAAGGAAGGAAGGAAGGAAGGAAGGAAGGAAGGAAGGGAGGGAGGGACAGGAATTCCATAAAACATTGGGTTTTTATTTTGCTTAAGTTTCTGAAAAGAACAAGTGTAGTTAGTGCATAATTGTGCCAACGATTCCATTCTAGTCTTTTAATGTAAATATTTCTTCCTTATCTCTAAATGGCTTATTCTTTTTAAGTTCTTCTTTTTTAGGCACATCTTATCCTTTCTTATTTATTTATCCTTTAAAAACTTTAATTATTGGCTTTAAGTAGGTAGGGGGTATAAATTACATATATAGAAAATTATAGAATATGTAAACAATTAGTTCAATTGAAATATCTTTTATAACTTTTAGGAAGAACCCTTCTTATACCTCTATTTTCAATTTGTTCCAAGTCTCTACTGATTATTTCAAAGAAAGAATTTAGTTATTTCATAAATAAATTTATTATTTCATAATAAAGAGAATAATTTATCTTTGTTATGCTCACGGCCATCACCTGATGCTGAGAGTTCAAATTTTACTGTCTTACTTCAACTTTTTTCTTTTCTTTTCTTTTCTCTTGTTTTTGAGATGGAGTCTCACTCTGTTGCCCAGGCTGGGGTGCAGTGGCATGATCTCTGCTCACCACAAGCTCCGCCTCCCAGGTTCATGCCATTTTTCTGCTTCAACCTCCCAAGTAGCTGGGACTACAGGCGCTCACCAACATGCCCAGCTAATTTTTTTGTATTTTTAATAGAGACAGGATTTCACCATGTTACCCAGGATGGTCTTGATCTCCTGACCTTGTGATCCACCTGCCTCGGCCTCCCAAAGTGCTGGGATTACAGGTGTGAGCCACCACGTCCAGCCTCACTTCAATTTTTTAATGGCATCTCTTCCCAGAAATCCAGGAGTGTTTTGTCATTTCTAAAGGCAGATCAAAAATTAAAATACATTGTGCATAGCATATATTTTGAAAGCACTTTTGCCAAAATTATAACAGCAAGAAAATTATCACAGTGGAAGAGATCTGATTGAACCAACTCCTATCTTGCCTTTAACCTCCAAATTGCCCTGGGCTTGGGCCAAGCTAACCTGGGGGAGGAATTTAGTTTATAGTTTAAATGATAATATCCATTCCACAAAACTAAACCACCTTTGTAAAACTAATGAAAGTTCACCAGGTTAAGAGGATGAGAGGAGCCTGAGTTCTGCTAAGGTGTAGACATAAGCAATTACCAGCCACTTAGGAGGCTGATATGAATAATAACAAAGCTCTGGTCTCCTTTTTAGCTGGCTCTATGCACATTAAACTCTTTCTCTATTGCAATTCCCCTGTCTTGGTAAGTTTGCTCCATCTGGGCAGCAAGAAAAATGAACCCACTGGGCGGTTACAATATCACCTAACATTCCTTCCTGAAGGCTTTTCATAGCTCCCTACCATTTCTTCCAGGATTTGAGGGTACCCACAATTTCTCCCTCATGCTATCAATCCCAACTTCTCTCATTACTTCTCAAAACAGACCTTTCAGCATATCACTTTCACCATCACAAGCCAGGGTCATGCCCAATCTCAATTATGTGCTCCTTTTATATCCCCTTTCTCTCCACCTATTTGAATGGTTTGTATTCTCAAAGGTCAGTGTGACCCTTGAAAGCCTTGACAAAATCTTCATCCATTAAACATATGTTTCAGGTTCTGTTATATAAAGATGAATAGATCATAGTCTATGCCCTAATGGAGTTTGTATTTTAGAAGGTGCCAATAGACAAATGAATTTCTGAGAGAGAATCAGATGGTAGAGGCTGTGCATATATAAGGCACAACAGATGTGCAGTGGAGGAAGGACCTTGCTTTGTGTGAGAACAAGAAAGATATTGGAGAAAAATGGCATTTGGACAGTAAAAAACAAATAGAAGAATGCTAAATTAAGAAAATAAAAAATATTTTACCCCAAAATATATTTTTTGACATATTTTAAGATGGCTGCCACATGACCAGCAGACTAAAGTGGCCCTGCAAAGCTGTCTTTTGTGAAGGAAATTTGCATCTGTAGAGAATCTCCATTAATGCAGTCAGGCCTTCTCATTATAGGCCTTTCCTGGATCTAGAAGAGAATAACTGACTGTCTGACACCCTTAGAGTTCTGAAAAAAATCATTTACCATCTCTTTTCTCTGAGAGTTGCTACCTGTGAGATTTCATCCACATAACAAGACCCCCTTTGCTGGCCAAGCCTCTTTCTTTCTCCCTCCCATAACCTGTTGATATGGTTAGGCTTTGTGTCCCCACCCAAATCTCATCTTGAATTGTAGTTCTCATAATCCCCACGTGTCATGGGAAGGACACAGGGGGAGGCAATTTAATCATGGGGTCGGTTACCTTCATGTGATAGTGAGTTCTCATGAGATTTAAGGGTTTTATAAGGGGCTTATCTTCCTTCTCCTCTGCACTTCTCCTTGCTCCCACGATGTGAAGAAGGATGTGTTTGCCTCCCCTTCTGCCATGATTGTAAGTTTCCTGAGGCTTCCCCAGCCATGGTGAACTGTGAGTCAATTAAACCTCTTTCCTTTGTAAATTACCCAGTCTTGGGTATTTCTTCATAGTAGCATGAGAATGGACCAATACACCTGCCTTGCCACTAAAACCTGTTTCCTGTTTTTGGCCATGCTCTGAGCCCTCATTCTTTCTGGGACCTCAAGATGTTGTATAAGCTTCTGTACCTTATTGAGGGGTTGAGTTTTCATTCTGAAGGCTCTTGGGTATACTTGTTAGATAAATGTGTATGCCTTTTCTCCTACTAATCAATCCGCCTCAAGTCAGTGATTTTTCAGTGAGGAAAATCCTTCCTCCATTGCACTTCTGTGGTGCCTTATTTACACATGGGCTCTATCATCTCATTCTCCATTGGAAATTCATGTGTCTATCAGCTCCTTCTAGAATACAAACTCCACTAGGGCAGAGATCTCCAGGTTCCTCAGGCCCCACATAAGTTCACAAGAGACATCCCTTCATTCCCAGGAAGAGAAAATATTGTGAAGGTAATTTGTTCTTTCCTTGAATAATTGCTTTTCCCTGAATGTCCACGGCACTAAAGAAGACCCTTTATTTAGAACCATGATCATGTGAGGATTTTATTTAAAAACTCTTTATGGGCCGGGCACAGTGGCTCTCTCCTATAATCCCAGCACTTTGGGAGGCCAAGGTGGGTGGATCACCTGAGGTCAGGAGTTTGAAATCAGCCTGGACAACATGGTGAAACCCCATCTCTACTAAAAATACAAAATTAGACGGGCGTGGTGACACATGGCTGTAATCCCAGCTACTTGGGAGGCTGAGGCGGAAGAATTACTTGAACCTGGAAAGCAGAGGTTGCAGTGAGCTGAGATGGTGCCACTGCACTCCAGCCTGGGCAATAAGAGTGAAACTCCATCTCAAAAAATAAATACATAAATAAATAAAATAAAAACTTGTTATGAATGCAATTTCTGTGTAAATGTAACTGGACCCAGGTTCAGCTGCTTGCTGCTGGAAAGCCAACACATAAGAGGCAAGGGCTGGTGAAAGGAAAGTTAGTTCTAGTTGGAGAGCCAGTAAACCAGAGGATAACCTTGCTTTGTGTGAGGCCAAGAAAGATATTGGAGAAAAATGGCATTTGAACTAACTGGTAATGAATAACTAGAAGAATGCTAAGTGAAGGAAATAAAAACATTTCACCCCAAGATATATCTCACTGACATCCTTTAGCTAGTGAACTAGCATTCTAAAGTGCCATCTTAAATTTTAAAATTTGCCATAGGGTTTTGAAAGGGAAACTTGGCATGGGAGACATGCAGGGGTGGTGCAGGGTGCTGAGTCTGCATGTCTTGTTCCAATGGCTATCTTGGGTGTCCAGAGGTTTGGGAGGCATTATTTTGACTTCAGCCCAATGGTGGTGGATTAATTGTTCAAGATTCCCCCTAAGTGAGAGGATTCCTCAGGGCTCTGTGCCTGGTTTGTTTCAAGATTAGCCTCTGGAATTTCTTAAGCAAGAATATAATTAGATAAGATATTAGATAGTATTGCCAGAAGGGAGTGTGCAGAGGGAAGGAATGAAGAGGTGAGAGGGGAGGAAAGGAAGAGAAAGTGGGTGATTTTTAAAATTGAGGTCCACAGTTACATAAGTACCTGTAAGTTAAAGAATATATCTTTTATATTCCTCTCAATGCTTCTTAAAAAATCTTAGAAATAAGTGATACTAAAAAAAAACCCTGCTAGATGTTTTAGCTCAAAATGTATGAAAAAGATTTTAACAAAATGTCAATAAAGCATAACCATTACACATTTGATATTTCAAAAGGCAGATCAAAAACTATGATCCACATTACTCTACTTCAGCCTGTAGGACACTTTTGAAGACAGACGCAGCTCAAGCCCAGATGATGCTTTGTTCCTTAGAAACAGTGAGTCACTACTAACTGTTTCAAGGTGCACCAGAGTGATGAGAATTAACACAGCTTGCAATGACCTAGGAATTTAGTTAGCTCAATGGCCACCCAGAATACATACAATGAATCATAAGCTTCCTTATTTCTCACACTCAAAAACAGGAGCATATTTTCTTTTTTTCCTGTCAGCATTCCAGCTGATTGACACATGCATTTCTCCACTAGAGATCTTAGCCCAATCAGAAGCTCTCCCAAAACGATATCATGATGAGAAACAGACAAGTGACAGTGGCCCTCCCATGTCACATGATACCCAGAGACTGAAGTCATGTGACACTGAAACCAAGGAAAGGAAAACAAGAGGTGACTCATGTGGGAACACCAGGGTGAGAAAAGGGAAATAATCATTTTCTATATATTGGGATTTTTTACTAGAAAAACACAATATAATTTAGTAATTGCATTTGTGTCATATAAACAAAAACAAGGAAACAATCTTCTCATAATCACAAAGGCTCCTCAGCTGGGTATAAAAGGGGACATGCAGCAAGGAGACTCCCAAACTCACGAAACTCACTCTCTTGGAAACCCACCCAGAACCTTTACCCTCTGACACCATGGTCAGCTCCTGTTGTGGTTCCGTCTGCTCTGACCAGGGCTGTGGCCTGGAGACCTGCTGCCGCCCCAGCTGCTGTCAGACCACCTGCTGCAGGACCACCTGCTGCCGCCCCAGCTGCTGTGTGTCCAGCTGCTGCAGACCCCAGTGCTGCCAGTCTGTGTGCTGCCAGCCCACCTGCTGCCGTCCCAGCTGCTGTCCCAGCTGCTGTCAGACCACCTGCTGCAGGACCACCTGCTGCCGCCCTAGCTGCTGTGTATCCAGCTGCTGCAGACCCCAGTGCTGCCAGTCTGTGTGCTGCCAGCCCACTTGCTGCCGTCCCAGCTGCAGCATCTCCAGCTGCTGTCGCCCCAGCTGCTGTGTGTCCAGGTGCTGCAGGTCCCAGTGCTGCCAGTCTGTGTGCTGCCAGCCAACCTGCTGCCGTCCCAGCTGCTGCATCTCCAGCTGCTGCCGCCCCTCTTGCTGTGAATCCAGCTGCTGCCGCCCGTGCTGCTGCCGCCCCTGCTGCTGCCTGCGTCCAGTCTGTGGCCGAGTCTCCTGCCACACCACTTGCTATCGCCCAACCTGTGTCATTTCCACCTGCCCCCGTCCCTTGTGCTGTGCCTCCTCTTGCTGCTGAGCTCCTTGCCTGAAACTATCTCCTCCCCTTCAGCTCACTCCTCACAGAAGCAGACCTTGTGCATCTCATAAACAACTCAGAAGAGGCCATTCCCACCAACTGTGTTTCCATATCCTGGACATATATCTAGGATATATGTCCTGGCTATACATCTAGAATATATGTTCCCCATGTTGACCCAAGTGTGAAATTAGATATTATTTACAGAAAGAAATTAATAGAATTTACCAAATTTTATACCTTATATTTGTATTTATGGATACCAAGTTCTTCTGTCCCAAACATGGAAATTCTTGCAGGGTAACTCGGGGCAAGGTTGTCTCACTCTCAGATTTGAAAGTCTGATTGTTTCACCCTGTATTTCCTTTTACAGCAATGTTTCTGTATCTTATTTTTGCTGCTTCTGAATAAAACTCCACTTTTGTCGCATAGAAATACAATGTTCTTTTTGTGTTGCTTTGTAATGATTGTCCTTAGTTCCTGAGAAATTCCACCCAAAACACAACTGAACGAATCCTATTCTTGCTCTCACCTTCAAGAAAATTGCAACATGTAATGACCTAAAAAAAAGGCAATACATGGATGTTTCCAAAAGTATTGAAAAAAATAAAGATTTTAAGTTAAGTTTTTTTATGAATATGGAGAAGGGTTATATCCCACAGCTAAATTTTCTTAAATATTTTTGAAAGTGTATCTTTCCCTACAATCTCACTCCTCTCTTATTTGCTTTATTTTTCCGTTTCCCTCCTCCACCCATGGCCCCCGATCCTGTCATCTTGTTCTGCCCTTATCTCTTTTATCCCATTCTTGTAAAACCAGAGGCTACTCTTTAAGGTTTATCCATCTCTCGTGTAATTCAATTTATCACACTCTCAGCTGCTTTAATTTCATCTCCATCCATTAACAACAAAATAATTACCTTTAGGGAAAATCAATCTTCTGAGAAGTTGGGGAATTGCAGAAAATGTAAAATACTCAAATTTTAGTATTTTTCCTACCTTAATGACTTTTCTGTGGTGTGTATTTAATAGCATGGTCTTGGGGCACATGGTCTTGGTCAATAAATTCTACAAAAATGAATTTTCATAGAGAAATATGGGGACTTAGAAGAAACCAACTAACGGAATAGTTTGGTTCTTAGTTAAACCCAGAATATGGCCTATAAACTCCATCCTAGGGGGAAAATGGTGAAAATAAATTTTATGTCAATTCAAGCTAGTAAAAGCAGGAGAAACATTTAGAAAGTTCTGTACTAAATACATATTCTAGGAGTTAAAGGTCCAGTAAATAATGTAGTGGTATTGAATCATGAATCTTTAACTTCCATAGTTTCTACTACATGAACGAACAATAATTTAGACTGTGTAGGGGCATTATTCCTTCACACCACTTACAGCACACAACTCCTAATGGGTCAGAGAAAGTAGGTGAAAATTAAATGAACCTCCAGTTGGTCTCAGCATATGAAATGGGACTTTGAATGCCGTGGGACTGAATGTGGCTTCCTGGTCATAGGGAATAAGTGTCTGAGAATAAGACATCTATGCCCTGAGCTGTGGGACACTCCATCACTTGTAAGTTGAAAACAAAGCAACAGAAACCACAGGAGACTGGAAAGGAATCACCAGAGAAGTAAGACAACAACTAGCAGAGTGCAAGGTCCAAAATCCCGATGAAGGAAAGAGTGGTCACTTGAAAAAGTAAAGGACACTCACAGGTAGGAATTGAACAATGAGAACACTTGGACACAGGGCAGGGAACATCACACACAGGGTGGGGAACATCACACACCAGGGCCTGTTGGGGGGTGGGGGGCTGGGGGAGAGATAGTATTAGGAGAAATACCTAATGTAAATGATGAGTTGATGGGTGCAGCAAACCAACATGGCACATGTATACCTATGTAACAAGCTTGCACGTTGTGCACATGTACCCTAGAACATAAAGTATAATTAAAAAAATTAAAAAACAGAATTCCACTTCCAGTTGTGACAAAGTAACTGATAGAAGATTCAACCTCTCAGTAGGAATGACTCTGACAATTAGACAAAACTAAGAAAACAGTTGTTTATGAGCATTGGGAGTTGACTTATGCAGGCAGTATTTGAGAGACCATGGTCTCAGAAAAAAATTAAATTCCTTCAGCTGAAAGACAAGATCACCTCCAGCCTCTAGTTTTTCATATATAATTCCTGAATTTCTGGCATTCAATTAAAAAAATTACCAAGTATGCCAGAAAAAAATGACTAAATGAGCAAAATCAAGAAGAAAAAAGAAAATAGAAACAGAGCCAAGGATGATCTATATACAGGTACTAACACTGACTTTAGAATACTTACAATTAATATGTTTGAAATAATAGATTAAAAATGTAAATTTTATTAAAGAAGTAGAATCTATTTTTAAAAAGTTCAGTAAAAATTCTAGAACCAAAAAACTCAAAAACTGAAATTAAGAATTCAATAAATAAGCTTAACAGAAGATTAGACAGGAGAGAGGAACAGCAAAATGGAAGTAGAAAATATTCACATTGGAATGCAGAGAGAAGAAAAGTTTTAAAATGGAGAAAATAGCATAAGACACACTTGGAGCATAGTGAAAAGTCTAACATACATGTAAATTGGAGTCCCAGAAAGAGAGAAGAGAGAATGGAGAAGTTATAAACAAAGAGATACTGGATGGCAATTTGAGACAATTGATGACAGACCTCCAGTCACAGATTCTAGAACATCTCTGAACCCAAGCAGAGTGAATAAAAAGAAAAACAACATGTAGGCACATCAAGGAAAGTTGTTGAAAACCAAAGATAAAAAGAAAATCATAAACGTAACAAGAAATGGATACAGCCATTATAGAAAACAGTATGGAAGTTTCTTTGAAAATTACAATAGGTCTGCCATATAAAATCTAGCAATTCCACTTCTAGGTATATATCTGAAGGTAAAAAATCAGTATCCTGGAGTTATCTGCACCTCATGTTTACTGCAACATTATTCTCAATAGCCAGGATATGGATTCAGTATGTGTCCATTAAAGGATGAATGGAGATATATATATATATATACACACACATATATATACACACACACACACACACACATACACACACACATCATATATAATAATATTAATATATGTTAAAGCATACATATAAAGAAATATTATTCAGCTTTAAAAAAGGAAATTCTGCCATTTGTGACAAGATGGATGAGCCTGGAGGATACTATGTTAAGTGAAATAAGGCAAACACGGAAGGAAAAGTACTGCATGATGTCACTTATATGTGGAACCTTAAAAAAAGTGAAACTCACAAAAGCAGAGAGTAGAATGGTGGTTATTAGGGGCAGGAAGGTGAGGGAAATTAGAAGATATCTGTCAAAGGGTACAAGGTTCCAGTTATGTAGAATGAATAAATTCTAAAAATTTAATGTACAGCATGGTGACTACAGTTAATAATACTGTACTGTATGCTTGAAACTTGCTAAGAGAGTAGATGTTAAGTGTTTTCACACACACACACATGCACACACACACACACACAAAGGCAACTAACTATGTGAGGCAATGAATATGTTGATTATCTTGCCTTTAGTAATCATTTTACAATGTATATCAAAACATTGTATTGTACACCTTAAATTATATATATATAATTTTATAATAAAATAATAAAATAAGTAAAAGCAACAGGGGAAAAAACAACATACACTTTTACAAAAAGAACAGGAAGCCTAAAACTCAACTGAAATAATGGAAGTGAGAAGACGATGAAGAGACATCTTGTGAAGGGAAACACTGCCGATAGAGAATTATATGCCCAGAGAAACAAAAAAGATAATGAAATTAAGTTATTTTCAGGAAAACAGAAATGAGAGAATAGGTTAACAGAAAACTTTGCCAAAAGAAAAAGACTAGGCCAGGAGCTGTGGCTAACGTCTGTAATCCCAGCAGTTTGGGAGGCCGAGGTGGGTGGGTCACTTTGAGGTCAGGAGTTGGAGACCAGCCTGACCAACATGGAGAAACCCCATCTCTAGTAAAAATACAAAACTTAGCTGGGCATGGTGGCAGGCGCCTGTAATCCCAGCTACTCAGGAGACTGAGGTGGAAGGATTGCTTGAACCCAGGAGGCAGAGGTTGCAGTGAGCTGAGATTGCACTACTGCACTCCAGGCTGGGCGACAGAGCAAGACTCTGTTTCAAAAAATAAAAATAAAAACAAAAACAAAAAACAAAAGAAAGGCTTCAAGTAAAAGGAAAGTGATAGGAAGGATGGTCCCAACAAAGGGTAATTCTACATTGTTCTTTTCCAAATCAGTCATTTTCTATATTCCATTTCTTCATTATGATTTTCATTTTTAAATTTTTATTTAATATACTTTAAGTTCTGAGATACATGTGCAGAACGTGCAGGTTTGTTACATAGGTATACACGTGCCATGGTGGTTTGCTGCACTCATCAACCCATCGCCTAGGTGTTTTTTTTTTTTTTTTTTTGAGACAGAGTCTTGCTCTATCACCAGGCTGGAGTGCAGTGGCCCGATCTCAGCTCACCGCAACCTCCACTTCCTGGGTTCAAGCAGTTCTCCCGCTTCAGCCTCCCAAGTGGCTGGGACTATAGGTGCACACAGCCATGCCCAGATAATTTTTGTATTTTTGGTACAGACGGGGTTTCACCATGTTTGCCAGGATGATCTCGATCTCCTGACCTCGTGATCTGCCCATCTCAGCCTCCCAAAGTGCTGGGATTACAGGCATGAGCCACTGCACCCTGCCCATCATCTAGGTTTTAAGCCCCACATGCATTAGGTATTTGTCCTAATGCTCTCCCTCCCCTTGCCCCCAACCCCCCGATTTCCATTTTTTGTTTACCTTTTAAACCCATTTATATATAGTCTCCTTCAGAATTTTCAGTTATCTCAATTCCCAGGGGTTATATTCCCTTTTCCTGTGTCTACTATACTACTCATGATAAATTATTTTCTTACATATTTTGTAATATTTGCCTATGCATTTATCTTATGCAGAAATTGACCCCTGTGGGGGATCCCATGCAATCTGTGTGTGGTTTCTTAGAGGTTTATTTTTCCTTGTGCTTAATGCTTTTTTATTTTTATATTTTTTTCTTTTTGGGGTGTTCTTTCTGTGTGCTATTCCTTTTGCTTTTGTTTCTGATTATTTCAAGGACATGCACTATTTAGTATCAGCAGTTTCTCACCTTGAGGTTCCTCCACTATGCATACAGTGTGAATTAAGAAGCTTGGTGATATTGCATGGTTTAGTTGTTCATGACTTTATTACCACATAAAATTCCTGTAGGCAGACTAAGGTTTTCTTGTCTCCATCTTATGCACAAAAATGCTTTCAGAATGTAAACCTTAAGTTTACATTCTTCTCTTTTGACATCAAAGGGATCTTGGCATCATGAGAACAATCTGCCCAAACAGCGTTCTTAAGAATATAAACTTTATATAAGGGTCTTACTTCCTAGATCCTGCCTGGTGATAGTTTCAGGTCCCATTTCTTGTACCTGCCTGAGTTTTAACCACCAGCCTCCAGTTCTGAGGGCATCTAACTGGATGCCAAACCTTCCCACAGGCCACAGGACATCAGCTAGTGTTTGCCATTTGAGTTCCCTCTTAGTTTCTGACAAATGAGAATTTTTCTCTACTTTTCTCAAGTTCAACTACGATTGAATTTTTTAAAAAATCTTTGAAGAATTTATACTTACTCATACCAGGAAGTGGGTCTGTCAGTATCAACTCAGTCAGCTACATTGCCAGAAGTTCTTTATTTTCAGAGACCCAAGGAGATGAAAGATTTCCTGTGTTAGAAATATTTTTAAAGGGTTTTTATAGTAGATGCTCCTATGAAGTAAATTTTATTATATACTTCAGCATTTCCTCCAAAAGACCCAAACTCCTCACTCTTATTATACTAAGAATTGTTAAATTAAGTTTAGCCTAAAGCTGCCTCTTTACATATTTTAGGCTTGGCATAAACGTTTCTCCATGCATAGTAAACTGTAACCTAACTGGATATGTAAACAAACTGTAACCTACCTTTCCAACAAGTATCCAAGTCCACGGCAGCCCAGTTCTGGTCAATCACAGGGGCCAACTGTTTAAACCATGTTCAACTAAAGCAAACGTTGAGCTCTAACGAGCCCAGCTATTTCTGTCCCTCACTTTGGTTTTCTGTACATCACTTTCCTTTTCCTTTTTTTTTTCTTTTTTTCTTTTTTTTAGATTAGGGCTACTTTTAATAATTGAGGTATGTGATCATAACTCAATTCTTCATCTTAATCTTCAGATATTTAGTAGAACATCATATGGTCTCAGTTGCAACTACTCAAATCACTTTCCTTTTTCTATCCATAAATGTTATTTAACCAAATGGAAGCCAAGGAGTTGCTCCGAACTTGTGCTTGTCTGGGAGCTTCCCAATTCATGAATTATTCTTTGATGAATTAAAATCTGTTAAATTTAATTTGCCTAAATGTTTCTTTTAACACGCCAAAGAAAAAATACTTTTTCAATCCTAATTCGTTTTATTTTTAAACTTTTTTCATTTTTGAAAACATTTCAAACTTACAGAATAGTTATAAGAGTAAAGAATTCCTTATGCCATATAGTCTTCACCTAGATTCAACATTTGGCCACATTTGATTTCTCTCTCTCTCTAGAGAGATGACATGGATAGAGATAGACTTATGTCCTAAGACTAAGGACATTTTCATGTATAACCACAGTAAAGATATCAATTAAACTGAATGTTGATGCAATATTATTACCTAATATACATGCTATATCCAAATGTTGCCATTTTTCCAATATATCCTATAAAGCAATTTTTATCCATGTTCATACATTGCATTTAGCTATCATATCTCCTTACTTTATTTAGACCTGAAATACTTGCTCAGACTGTCTTTATATTAGATGGTGCTAATATTTTTGAAGATAGCAGACCAGTCGTTATGTGGAGTATTTCTTAGTCTGAGGTTATCTGATGTTTCCTCATGCTTATATTCAGGTTTTGCATTTTAACAGAAATATTGCATAAGTAATGTGTCCTTTCAGTGTGTGACTTCAGGAGACACATGCTAGTTTGACCATTATTAATGCTGCTAACTTTGATCCTGTGATGAAGGGTATGTTCTCAAGTTTCTTCACAGTAAAGTTAACATTTTCCCTTTGAAATTAATAAACAGTTATTGGGAAAATATTTTGAAGTGTGCAAATATCCTGCTCCCCATTAAACTTCCACCCAATAGTTATAGCATTCATTGATGATATTCACTTGATCAAGTTTTATTATAATGGCTGTAAATGGTGATTTGAAACTCCTTTATTCCTTCTACATTTACTCATTGACATTCTACTGTCATGGATAACTTTCTCATCTTCCTTTTTTTAACTTCTCCATTTAATTCATATCAATATGGACTCATCAATCCTTAATTTTATTTGATGGGTTGTAATCTATTACTGCCAATATTCATTTTGGTGCCCAAGTCCCATATTAGGCCAGTGAAAGTTTATTCAGAGTAGCTCCAAATGCCTTTTCATATTTTAAAACAATGAGTCATTGTTAACAGTTTCAAATTGAATAAAGGAAATGATACCTGGTGCATACTTTGAAGAAGTCTAGAGAGTCCACTATCTAATGAGCATTTATGACTCACAAATAGGATATGTCTTCCTCATTGCTCACCGGTAACTAACTCAGAAAGATGAGCTTGTTTCTTTTTATTTCCCTACTCTAATTCTGCTTCTCTTTGACATCAAAAGAGATCTTGGCATCATGAGAACAATTTGCCCAAACAGGATCATGGCGTGATGCACAGATCACAGGTACATACCGGACTGAATCCATGTGATGGGCCATCTTGAGAAGACACAGTAGACAAAGAAATAGGCAAGATAATTCTGTGAGAAAGTCCAGATTGGAAAATCTTAACACACTAGGAAAGGGAAATAATATTTTCCTACATCTTAAAATATTTAACCAGAAAAACGTAATGATCTAATTTCGTGTATAGTGTATAGGTGTGTTTTAAACTTCCCTCTACTCTCTAGATGTGAGAATTTGAGTCTCTGGAAAAAAGTGACAGCAGACTGATCAACAGGAGAAAAGGCATACAAATTTATTACATGCATGTGCAGAGCCTCACAAACTATAAGACTTGAAGAAGGGCCAATGATTGAAGTTTGTATAGCATCAGAATAGGGTCTTGGGGATTCTTAGGGGAGGTGTCCACAAGCTATGGGAAGGTGAGGGAAAGAAATGTATGGTGAACAAAGGCTGTCTTGCTATGTAGGTAAAGTCTTTCAGGCAAAGCCGCTCTGGGGTGATGTCAACATTTAGCCTCTTTTCCTGTTATATATCTTTCCTGGATGTCTTCAGGCAGATACGGGAACCTCAGAGAAAACCTCTGCTTATAGCTGCTGTTCCCCACAATTCCCCAATCAAGGTACCAAAGAATCATATTTTGGGGTTTTGTTTTCTGAGCCCCAACATCTCCATAAGAAAATAAAGTAGGAAATGATCCCGGACATGGTCACAGCTGCTTCAGCAGAGCACAAAAAAGGACAGGTGGCAAAGGGACTTTCAAATTTACTAAGCTCACTCTCTTACTAATATGTATATTTAGAATTGTTATATCTTCTTGCTGAATTGATCCCTTTATTATTATATAATGACCTCCTTTCTCTGTTTTTACTGTTGTTGATTTTAAGTTTGTTTTATCTGTTATAAGTATAGCTACCCCTTCTGGAAAAATAAGCTCATAATGGTCAAAATTGAGACATAATGTTATAAAAGCCTTGAATTTTAAAGAAAAACATAATAATTATTTAAAGAAAAGTAATCATTTGAACATCCAGGCAAAATGTCCATGTCAACCAGAAGGAAATAAAACGAGCTTGTTTTCACACATTTTGATGAAAATGTCAGAAGATAATAGAGTAATGCTCAAGGAAAGAAAATGTGAGGCAAAGATTTTAAATTCAGCCAAACTGAACTTCAGGTATAAAGGCCACAAACAAACTATTATAAACATGAAAAAACTCAGTGAATATTCTCCACCATGGGTGGATCCTGAAGAATTTATTAACAAGTGAACTTCATAAAATCAGATGACTAAAGATACTGGAAGGACATCTACATGAGGTCTGGATCGATATATATCCTTTGGAACTAAGAACAGAATGAACGATAAGCCTAAGAGAGGAAGTGTGATAACTAACAGCTATGTACTGACAATGTTGATACAGCACAACTACCAAAACAGGAAGGAAAAGGAGAGCAAATATATAAAGTAGAAGTTTGCTGATTGCCTTATAGATATTAACCAGGAATTCAAATCTCATGCTCAGGGAGTGAGGAATAAAGAGGTAACCAGATAATTTCAATATTTCTGTAAGCAGAGAATCAACTGACAGTAGCTAAAAAATAGAGCTCATGAGGTATATAAAGGTAACCGTTAGTACAAAATACAAACATTCCTAAATACCAAAAGGCATACTGAGAAAGAGAGAGAATTTAAAAGGTGAAAGATTAGAATTTTAAAAGTGAAAGACAGAGAGATAGAAAGATAAAGAGACAGGCAAGAGAAATATTTAACAAATATAGAAGATAACTTATTATATATCATTATTATATATAAGTATAATAAAAATGACATAATTAAATTTAAGCATATTGATTATATCCATACATATAATAGGCTCAACTGACTTTAAAAAAAGATTTTCAGATTGGCTTATGAAAAGGAAAGCTCAGCATTATGCTGTCTATAAAGAGACACAAGTGAATCAACAAGCATCAGAAGGTTAAAAGTGAAAAGGTAAAGACAGAGATACATATATGAAAATGCAAATGGAAGAAAGCAGGGGCTACAATTCTTCTATCCCACAAGTTAGACTTACACAAAAAGCATTACAGAAGACAAAGTAGGAAAAAGTATTATGCTAAAGGCTACAATCAACACATAAATATAGAGATAAAACTTCACATACAGAAGCTACAGTTAATATAAGAATAAAAATAAGACAAGCCAATAATCAAATACTCTAATCCACTATGGAATTAATGAGAGAAACTGTGGAGAAAAATTAATAAGAATATTATTTTATGTTTTTGTTTGCTTTGTCGAAGATCAGTTGGCTGTAAGTATTTGAGTTTATTTCTGGGTTCTCTATTCTGTTCCATTGATCCATGTGCCTATTTTTATGCCAGTACCACACTGTTTTGGTGACTATGGCCTTAGAATGTAGTTTGAAATCAGATAGTGTGATGCCTCCAGATTTGTTCTTTTTGCTTAGTCTTGCTTTGGTTATGTGGGCTCTTTTTTGGTCCCATATGAATTTTAGAATTGTTTTTTCCAACTCTGTGAAGAATGATGGTGGTATTTTGATGGGGATGGCATTGAATTTGTAGACTGCTTTTGGCAGTATGATCATTTTCACAATATTGATTCTACTCATCCATGAGCATTGGATGTGTTTCCATTTGTTTCTATCGTCTATGATTTCTTTCAACAGTGTTTTGTAGTTTTCCTTGTAAAGGTCTTTTGTCTCCTTTGTTAAGTATATTCCTAAGTATTTTTTTTTTTTTTTGCAGCTATTGTTAAAGGGGTTGAGTTCTTGATTTGATTCTCCGTTTGGTCGCTGTTGGTGTATAGAAGAGCTGGTGATTTGTGTACATTAATCTTATATCTGGAAATTTTGCTGAATTCTTTCATCAGTTCTAGGAGCTTTCTGGAGGAATCCTTAGAGTTTTCAAGGTAAACAACCATACTGTCAGCAAACAGGGACAGTTTGACTTCCTCTTTACTGATTTGGATGCCCTTTATTTCTTTCTCTTGTCTGACTGCTCTGGCTAGGGCTTCCAGTACTATGTTGAAGAAGAGTGGGAGAGTGGGCACCCTTGTCTTGTTCCTGTTCTCAGAGGTAATGCTTTCAACATTTCCCCATTCAGTATTATGTTGGCCGTGGGTTTGTCATAGATGGCTTTTATTACATTAAGATATGTCCCCTGTACGCTGATTTTGCTGAGGGTTTTAATAATAAAAGGATGCTGGATTTTGTCAAATGTTTTTTCTGCATCTATTGAGATGATTATGTGATTGTTGTTTTTAATTTTGTTTATGTGGTGTATCACAGTTATTGACTTGCATATGTTAAACCATCCCTGCATCCCTGGTATGAAACCCACTTGATTATGGTGGATTATCTTTTTGATATGTTGTTGGATTCAGTTAGCTAGTATTTTGTTAAGGATTTTAGCATCTATATTCATCAAGGATATTGGTCTGTAGTTTTCTTTTTTGGTTATGTCATTTTCTGGTTTTGGTATTAGGGTGATGCTGGCTTCATAGAATGAATTAGGGAGGATTCCTTAATTGTCTATCTTGTGGAATAGTGTCAAAAGGATTGTTACCAATTCTTCTTTGAATGTCTAGTAGAATTCTGCTGTGAATCTGCCTAGTCCTGGACTTTTTTTTGTTGGTAATTTTTTAATTACCATTCAATCTCACTGGTTGTTATTGGTCTGTTCAGGGTATCTAATTCTTCTCGATTTAAGTTAAGAGGGTTGTATTTTTCCCTGAATTTATCCATCTCTTCTAGGTTTTCTAGTTTATGTGCATAAAGGTGTTCATAGTAGCCTTGAATGATCTTTTGTATTTGTGTGGTGTCAGTTGTAATAGCTCCCATTTCATTTCTTAGTGAGGTTATTTAGATTTTTTCTCCCTTTTCTTGGTTAATCTTGCTAATGGAACATCATTCAAAGCTGACCAAAGTATTTTTTTTAACTCCTGTCAATATGAACCTGTGGGTTCCAGTTCATATCCCCATTGGTGCTCAAATAACAAACTTCAAGTTGGTCTCTGGCTACTTTTGACGTGAATCTAGTAGATTTTTTTTAATATATATATAATAAGATATTCCAGGTTCATTTGTATATTTCCTTACCCACACTTATATTCAGCCATTTCTCCAAGGAACCCCTGTTCCTTGTAGTGAATATGGCATTTGGGACGAAAGATTGAAATGTAAAAATGATGAGTATTACTAAATTGATTATTTTCTCTCAACTTTTTCAGTGTCCACAACTAGAAAATATTTGCTTAAAAGATAAAGTACATCAGCGTTTCTACTGATAATTACAGGATTTTTACTTAACCTCATATCTTTTTCCTAAATCTCTTTTATTCCTTGCCAAAAATAACAGTTCCTTGATGTAATTACTCATTTTCTTTATTACCTAATGCTTGCACAACAATCTTGGAATAATATTGCCAATACTAATAACAACAGTGTAGTTATTGCAAACAAACTTAACAGGTTTTTGAAAAAAACATTTTGGCCTTGGGATAGTTACTTTCTCTGAAGTTATGCCTGGATATACAGTTAGATTCCATTGTTGTGGTGGTGGTTTTAGTGATTTTGAGAGATTTTAAAAATTTAATATTTTTATAAGTATGTAAAATATTTACATGGGTGCAAAGTCCAAGCTACAGAAAAAGATACATTCAAAAATAATCTAGTGTCTGTTTCTATCTTCTCTATTCTATTCCCTCCATCCTCTATGGGTCAATTTTTAAAAAACAAACATGGGCTGGGTGCGGTGGCTCACGCCTGTAATCTCAGCACTTTTGCGAGGCTGAGGCAGGGAATCATGAGGTCAGGTGTTCAAGACCAGCCTGGCCAAGATGGTGAAACCCCATGTCTATTAAAAATACAAAAATTAACTGGGTGTGGTGGTGGGCGCCTGTAATCCCAGTTACTCAGGAGGCTGAGGCAGAGAATTGCTTGAACACAGGAGGTGGAAGTTGCAGTGAGCCAAGATCGCTCCACTGCACTCCAGCCTGGGTGACAACGTGAGACTCCGTCTCAAACAACAACAACAACAACAACAACAACAAAACCAAATGTGGTTGATTCTTCCATTATTTTTTTCTTTTTTTTTCAGCTACATTAAATTACAATTGACATATAATAAATAAACTGCATGTACTTAAAATGCACAATTTGATGTTTTGACAGAAGTCCCTCTTTCCTGTTTTCTCATCTCCTCTCTCTCTATTCTTCTGTCGTTTTTTAAAGTGTAAGCAAATATACTTTCAATATTTATATCCTGGATTTTTAAAACATTGTTGCAGAACAATTGTACACATTTTCCTCCACTGCTTTATCGTCTCCTAACAATATCTACTGGAGATTAATTTATAGTAGCCTATAGAGACACTCCTTATTCCTTTTGACAGCTGCATAGTACTCCATCATGGGAAGGCACCACAGTTTATACACCAGTACCCTATTGAAGGACACCTGGGTTGTATCCAGTGTTGTTGTAGTTTTTAGTTTTTTTCCCAAATAGAACTCTTATGAATCGTCTTGTGCAATATCTTTCATATATTTACCTGAGTATCTTTGAGATATTTTATGGAATTGGGATAGCTGAGTCAAAGAATAATGCTGCTAGTTATTGCCAAACCTTCACAAGACAAATACGAGCATGCCTATTTTCACATCATCTCACTTCCAGAGAATGCTATCAGATTTTGAATTTTTGATAATCTAACAGGTGAGAAGTATCGTACCATATTATTTCATTTCTCTTACTATGCATGAGATTGAGTATATTTATATGGTGGTAAAATATTTGCATTTTATTTTCCCATTAGGCTGTTGGTCTGTTTTCTATCTATTTCCAGAAGCCTTTTTTTCTTCTTCTTCTGTCACCCAGGCTGGAGTGCAGTGGTGCAATCTTGGCTCACTGCAACCTCCGCCTCCTGGGCTCAGGCAATCCTCCCACCTTAGCTTCCTGAGTAGCTGGGACCACAGACCACAGATGCATGCCACCTCGCCATTTTTTTTTTTTTTTTTGCTTTTTTTTGTTTTTTTGGTAGAGATGGGGTTTTGCCAAGTTAACCAAGTTGGTCTCAAATTCCTAACCTCAAACAATCCGCCTGCCTTGGCATCCCAAAGTGCTGGGATTACAGGTGTGAGCCACCGTGTCCAGTCTCAGAAGTCTTTTATATACTATTAACCCTTTGTCCGTGATATTAATTGCTAGTTCTTTTTTTATTATTTAGTCATTTGTGTTTTTACTTTGTTTATGATGGTTTCTTACCATACATTTTTTTTTTTTAAATTTTACTTTAAGTTTTGGGATACATGTGCAGAACATGCAGGTCTGTTACATAGTTATACATATGCCATGATGGTTTGCTGCACCTATCAATCCGTCATCTGGGTTTTAAGCCCGACATGCATCAGGTATTTGTCCTAATGCTCTCCCTCCCCTTGTCCCTCACCCCCGACAGGCTCCAGTGTGTGATGTTCCCCTCCCTGTGTCCATGTGATCTCATTGTTCAACTCCCACTTAGGAGTGAGAACATACCTTGCATCTTTTTAATTATAAATAATTGTTTTTAAATATCAGGAGGGATTTAATTGCAAAATGTTCATGCGCAAAATGTTCCTTGAACACTCTAGGAGAGACGCCCTTTCCCTGTTACAGACTGTGTGACTTCAATCTATCTGGGCCTCAAGTACCTTGGATGTAAAGAATTTAGAAAAATTGTGTCTACATAGCAGAATCCTTGTGAAGTATAAACAAGATAACAATTATAGAGGACTCAGAAAATTCCTGACACATAGTAAGCACTCAAAAAATTATAACTATTAGTATTGTTTCATCTTTCATTGGAAGTGTACAGATTAAATACATAATTGTTATTTTGTTCACTAATCACACCATTCTCTAAATAGTTGCTAAATTCTTTCCTATACATGTTTCTTATTTGTCTTGTTTAAGCTTCTGTAGGACAGAAATTAAACTTGATCCTTTGTTTCTTTTCTCCATGTATCAAGCAAAATATCTCCAACATACATTGTGAGAAAAAGCAGCTTTCGAGTATGAGAAAATCTACTTTCAATAACACTTCAGTTAAACACATTCAGTGGGTATCTTGACTTACCAACAAAATAGAACAAAAATGTTCCTTATGATCCCCATCTCTGAAGAACATGCCAACAATAATTTATAAAGGGACCTATCATGCCAATGTATTTTTACTTGTAAAGCAATGAATCATTGCATTATATCTGTTTCAAGCTAAATAGAGTCAATAACATGAAACAGGAATTTCAGTGGGATCTTTTATATCTCACTGACCAGCCACAAAATTCAAAGGAATCACAGTGTTCCTTATTATACACAAGTTACCTCCTATCACCCCCCAAAGATGAATCTTTCATCACATTTTCCTACCAGCATTCTATGTAATTTATTTTTAACCTCTTTGAGAGCAGAGGAGATTTAGTCATCATAAAATCTATTTTCAACTTATTATCCAGGAGTCAAATAAATAAAGAATTAACTTATGAAATCCAATCAAACAATGTCATGTAATGGGTCTACACATCAGAAGACACATCAGATGAAGGAAGGAGAATGAGAGCTGATTCACTTGGCTTAACCAAATTGGATAGCTCAGAATACAACAGGAAAAGGAAATGTTGCCTTTTCTATTTATAGAAATATTTACCAGATAAGGACAACTATCTAATTTACTAAAAAACAACTGATTCTCTATTAGTAATGTGCAAACCACAAGATTATTCACATTGTCATAGTGGTTCTCAGCAGGGTATAAAAAGCAAAAGAGAGAACAAGGAGAGATCAAACTCAGAACACTCACTCTCCTGGAAACCCACCGAGAACCTCCACCCTCTGACACCATGGTCAACTCCTGTTGTGGCTCTGTGTGCTCTGACCAGGGCTGTGGCCTGGAGAACTGCTGCCGCCCCAGCTGCTGCCAGACCACCTGCTGCAGGACCACCTGCTGCCGCCCCAGCTGCTGTGTGTCCAGCTGCTGCAGGCCCCAGTGCTGCCAGTCTGTGTGCTGTCAGCCCACCTGCTGCCGCCCCAGCTGCTGTCAGACCACCTGCTGTAGGACCACCTGCTGCCGCCCCAGCTGCTGTGTGTCCAGCTGCTGCAGACCCCAGTGCTGCCAGTCTGTGTGCTGCCAGCCCACCTGCTGCCGCCCCAGCTGCTGTCAGACCACCTGCTGCAGGACCACTTGCTGCCGCCCCAGCTGCTGTGTGTCCAGCTGCTGCAGACCCCAGTGCTGCCAGTCTGTGTGCTGCCAGCCCACCTGCTGCCGCCCCAGCTGCTGCATCTCCAGCAGCTGCTGCCCCTCTTGCTGTGAATCCAGCTGCTGCCGCCCCTGCTGCTGCCTGCGTCCAGTCTGTGGCCGAGTCTCCTGCCACACCACTTGCTATCGCCCAACCTGTGTCATCTCCACCTGCCCCCGCCCCTTGTGCTGTGCCTCCTCTTGCTGCTAAATCTCTGCTGTGAACACACCACTTCCTTATTACGTCCTTTCCTACAGATGAAGGCTCTCATTGCAAACATGCGGACTGTTCAAGAGAATTGATCTGGGTCCCATAAGCAAACCTCATCCTTAGAAATTCTGTATTTGCATTCTACCTTTTGTCCAAACTCCCTTCCTTCCAAAGGAATTCATTGACAATCTCCTAATAAATTGACAAATTGTCCTCCAACATCCTCCCACCTCTTTGACTTCAGGACATTTATTCATCATGCCTAAGGAATTTGAAGATTGCCTCCATCATTTGTAGGGCCACAGATCTTAAAGCCTCCAACCTTGAAGTCCAGTGAAGTCTCTCTCTTAAAGTCTTTTGCAAACATTTTTGTACCTTGTTATTTCCATGTACCAAAATAAACCTCTATTCTATTGGCACTGAAAATTGAATATGATTCTTATTCTCTTTTTAAAAAGGGTTTTATATTTAGGTCCTGGGTGATTACATTTAACTACACCTGTAGGGCTCACAGCACAGATTAGTCAACCTTCTAACAGAGGTCAACTGACATCGATCACTGCCTAGTTTTTTTCTAGAAAAGTCTTTTCAGGCTTAGGCAAATCAATTAGTCATTTTGTATTCTTTAGACAAAAAGAGTGAAGCTGAAGTCATGAAATATCCATGAATATAACAACAGGGGAAACGTTTTGAAAGATTGATCACAACTCATCATCTTTTAAAAAATAATTTCAACTTTTATTTTAGAATCAAAGAGTACATATTCGTATTTGTTACATGTTGTGTGATGCTGAGGTTTGGGCTACAAATGATTCTGTCACCAGGTACTGAGCAGTGGGTCATTTTTAGCCCTTCCTCTCTCCCTCTCTCCCCCCTTTTTGGAGTCCCCAATTGTTCTCATCTTTGTGTCCATGTGTATCCAATGTTTAGCTCCCATTTGTAAGTGACAACATGCAATATTTGGTTTTCTGTTCCTGGAAAAATTTGCTTAAGATAATGTCCTCCAGCCACATCCATGTTGCTGCAAAGGACAAAATTTCATTCTTTTTTATGGCTGTGTAGTATTCCATGGTGTGAAAATGTCACATGTTCTTTATCCAATGCACTGTTGATGGGCACCTAGACTGATTCCATGTCTTTACTATTGTGCACAGAGCTGTGATCTTTTAAAACACTGTATTTCAATTTCTTTTTTTTTCCAGTAAAAGCAGCTATTAGGTGGTTTAGCAAAGTCCATGTATTTTCTACTGAGTCATGTGTAATGAATCCTCAACACAAACACAGTGGATCTCCTTCATTCTGACTGGCAGAGTTTCAATGGGGAGTTCATGCTGCCATGTAGAGAGGGCCACCTTCACGGCCAGGCAGGTGATGGAAATGAAGGAAGCAGGCCTAGTGAAAACTCACAGGTATGCTGGAGACTGATTTTTTTTCTTTTCGTCCAAAGTCATGCCCTTTTTTTAGGATGAAACTATAAAGACCCACATTTCTCCCCAACTAGGGATGCCTCTAATGGGTCATCTCATCTCCAGAACTCCCTATAGGTTCATCTGAGACTTCCACGGAGATTGCCCTGCAGTTTGATTTATCCCAGTGTCAAACTTGATCTTTCTCTCACTTTCCCTTCCTTTCCCTTCCCTTCCCTTCCCTTCCCTTCCCTTCCCTTCCCTTCCCTTCCCTTCCCTTTCCCTCCCCTTCCCCTTCCCTTTCCCTTTCCCCTCCCCTCCCTTTCCCCTCCCCTGCCCTCCCCAGTGTTAATCCCAAGAGCATGCTTCAATAAACCTCCTGCATATTGCTCTCCATCTCAGTGACTGCTTCCTGGGGAACCCAGCCTGTCCCCCAAAACAATTTGAAATTCATGATAGCTAATTTGAGAGCTCAAATGACTGACTGAAATGTACTTTTAATATTTTAGTTCCTGAAAGAAATAAGAATGTAAACATAATAGCAGAAAATATATTTAACAGAATATGTAGAAAAATTATGAATTTTATATAAATCACATTTATTATTTTCTAAGGATGTTTAGATCATTTATACACAAATATATGCTCTTTAAACATTTAGACAATACAAAAGAATGTGACAATGTGAACAAAAGTAAGTTTCCCATCATGATCTTTGCCAATCCCATTCAATACCTAATGTTGCAAATTGAGATACATCCTCATTAAATGCATGCATAAAACATGTATGTATTTATTTGAAAACTTGGCTTTCGTTGCACATCTCTTGTTCTGACATTTATTCAAACATTATTTTATGTCCTTCCGGAAATGTTAACATTTTCCTTCACAAAGGCTTGGCAGATTTATTTACATATTTTTCTATTTACTCTTGAGAACTGTGAGTACATGCTTCTTTTTTTTTTTATTATACTTTAAGTTCTAGGGTACATGTGCACAACGTGCAGGTTTGTTACATATGTATACATGTGCCATGTTGGTGTGCTGCACCCATTAACTCGTCATTTACATTAGGTATTTCTCCTAATGCTATCCCTCCTCCCTCCCCCCACCCCACGACAGGCCCCAGTGTGTGATTTTTCTCCATTAAATTTTAGAGAGAATTATTGCTAGTGTATAAAAAGTCTATGGATTAGTATAAGTTCATATTTTATCTGATCTCGCGATTCACACTAATACCCAGCTGACTCTACAGGATTTTACAGGTGTGCAATCATGGTGGCCAAGTGCCTCCAGCCTCAGGCTTGTCCCTGGGGTTCGTCCCCAGCTGCCCACAGTGGGGGCCTTACCATTAACACAAACACTGTTGGGATTTTCTACCTTTCCTGTCTTACTTTCACCGTTTCCTCACTTGTGCTTCCTGGGATCATCCCCCAAATAAATTATGTGCACTCAGGTCTTTTTCTCAAGGTTTGCATTGGGTAGAATTTAAGCTAAGACAACAGATTATCAGCAAACATTTTTGGCTGACTGATACGAAACAGGAAATAATAGTTATTTCAATCAACAAGAGTAAAACGAGGAAGTCAGGAGGTGAAGGAGAACCAGTGCTACCATCTGGCGTTTACTTCCTTCCTGTCTTTTTACTGTGTGAATATAGGCATGCACGTTCAACACTGTATTCTTGGTTATCTATAAACAAGTCTCATTCTATAAATTGAATCTTGACTTCCGCAGTTTCCACGTATGTTATTTATCGGGTGACATGTTACCTATCACACAAATGAGTTTAGTCTTCCTGAAATGAAATTATGATTTCTTTGTTTGGGATGTTTTCCTCCCTTTTATCCAGAAGTCAAAAGATATATACATTTTTTAAAGGACCTTACATGCCTCTATGTCATCAAAAAAACCTTCATTCACTCAACAAACATTTACCACCAGTGTTCTCTGTGCTGAGTATCATGGTAACGAGAATAAATGCCATAGCGCAAGCCTTCAGGGTATTTGCATTGCACGTGGTGGAAAGACAGAAGTAAATGACTATGATACAGGAGAATGTATAAATTATGAGCACAAGGCAGGAAATCATGATACATGAATGGGGTAGCTTAGCAGGAAAGATATTATTGAGGAGGAAATATTTTAACTGGGTCTTGACACATGAGTAGGAGTTTGCAGAGTGGACAAAAAAAGATGAAACATTCCAAGAAGATGAAGCAGTTTCAGCAAGCTTAGCAAATTGTATTCTTTACGGCTTTCTTGGCTACACTAAGACATATTAGGCTTACTTTCTCTTTAACCTTGGACAAGTTGTTTGTTTGTTTGTTTTAAGTTTTTAATGCTTCTTTTGAGTATTCCCCTAAAAGACTAATAAGAATATAAACTAGTTCATAAGGTTCTATTAAAGCGTGAAAATGAAACAAATGTAAGATATTTGGTACAATGCCTGCTACATAGTCAATACTTCACAAGTAATATACATACCATGAGGGTGTATGGAACTTATCCACATATTATACATTTCTTATTTTAGTTGTTTAATGAAAATAATTGTAATTCTTTTCATTTCTGCCAAACTGTTTCCTATCCATGTGTCTTATGCAAGTACCTGCAAGAAAAAGTTGAGGGTTTATCTGTTCTACACCCAGAGTACCCAATAGAACATCTTGGATGCATGTTATTGAAGGCTTAATAATTCTAAATATTCTTTATATATAACAAATGCTTTTGTAAATGAAAAATCCATCATGCAATTTTGATGATCAAAGATTAATCAGGCTGGGTGTTGGGGGCTCATGCCTGCAATCCCAACACTTTGGGAAGCCAAGGCAGGTGGATCACGGGGTCAAGAGATCGAGACCATCTTGGCCAACATGGTGAAACCCTGTCTCTACTAAAAATACAAAAGTAAGCTGGGTGTGATGGCGCAAACCACCTTACTCGGGAGGCTGAGGCAAAAGAATCGTTTGAACCCAGGAGGTGGAGGTTGCAGTGAGCAGAGATCATGCCACTGTACTCCAGCCTGGCGACAGATTGAGAATCTGTCAAAAAAAAAAAAAAAGATAAATCAAAACTTCCTACTCATAATGCATATACTGTAAGACATACAGCAAAATGTGTTTTTACCCTTTAAAGGCAGTGAGTCATGGGTAAGTACTTTCGCTGGAGGCTGTGGAATAAGATCTGACAGAGTTTAGAACTTCTTGGGATCTGACCATCTGCCCGACCATCCGAGATGCACACATGGGATCAGAGTCATCCTCATTACAGATGGGACATCCTTCCCCAAATGAGTGCTTCCTTCTAATTCCTTCCCAACATTTCACCTGACCAGGACATTCTTTGACAACAAAAGATACATTCACATTATAAAAATCATCCCCCATGATTTGCAGACAGCAATCTGCAGGTAGGAGGGAGAGTCACATTTAAAAACAAAATGTCAGAGAGTCCTGTGACCAGTGCTTTGTAAAAGACACTGCATAGACCAGGGACAAAGGTGACTCCCCACTAATGAAGAAATATGACATGCATTTCCAATGGAAACACAGGAGCACAGCAGGAAAAGGAAATGGGTTATTTTCTCTGTTTTGGAGTATTTAACTGGAAACACAATGATGTAATTACATGATTAATTTTTCCAGTAGGTAAATAATAACAAGGAAATAATGATGTGGTGGCAATGGGCCTTCAGGAGGGTATAAAGGGACTACAGGCCCAGGAGACTTCCAAACACAAGAACTTCACTCTCCTAGAAACCCAACTAGATCCTTCACCCTCTGACACCATGGTAAACTCCTGTTGTGGCTCCGTGTGCTCTCACCAAGGCTGTGGCCGAGACCTCTGCCAGGAGACCTGCTGCCGCCCCAGCTGCTGTGAGACCACCTGCTGCAGGACCACCTACTGTCGCCCCAGCTGCTGTGTGTCCAGCTGCTGCAGGCCCCAGTGCTGCCAGTCTGTGTGCTGCCAGCCCACCTGCTGCCGCCCCAGATGCTGCATCTCCAGCTGCTGTCGCCCCAGCTGCTGTGTGTCCAGCTGCTGCAAGCCCCAGTGCTGCCAGTCTATGTGCTGCCAGCCCACTTGCTGCCGCCCCAGATGCTGCATCTCCAGCTGCTGTCGCCCCAGCTGCTGTGTGTCCAGCTGCTGCAGACCCCAGTGCTGCCAGTCTGTGTGCTGCCAGCCCACCTGCTGCCACCCCAGCTGCAGCATCTCCAGCTGCTGCCGCCCCTCTTGCTGTGAATCCAGCTGCTGCCGCCCCTGCTGCTGCCTGCGTCCAGTCTGTGGCCGAGTCTCCTGCCACACCACTTGCTATCGCCCAACCTGTGTCATCTCCAGCTGCCCCCGCCCCTTGTGCTGTGCCTCCTCTTGCTGCTGAGCCCACTGCCCTGGCTCATCTCTCCCTTCACTGCAGGCCCACAGTTGTAGACCATTCTTCTGTGCTGACTATTAGGACACATGGAGTGGGATTGATGTCATTCAGCAGGGTGGACTTCATGTTTCCAATGAGCCCATCACCATCCCACTGACTCTGTGAGAACATTCTGGTTCATTTTAAACTCCCTCCCTTGCTTTCTTTCTCTTCCAGTCATGGCACCAAATATGAAATAATTTGTAATCCACTAGCTAAGAAATTATTCCAATCCTCTAAATTCCTCATTTTTTAAATCGTTTTGAGCCTACAGAATATCCTTCCCAGTGAGGTACACATTATCTCCATTTCAAACATATTATTTGTCTGTCAGCCTTTCAGTCATTCTTTTCTCTTGGAAAGGTAGGAGGCTGCCCCTCCCATGCTCTCCTGCTTTCTCCCTGTTCTCTCTTTGTCTCTGTTTGTTCAAGTTTGCCAGAATTTTTCTATTTTATTGGTTCTTTATCTTTATTGTGTTCACAAAATATATTGTATTAAACTTTTCATTTAGAAATCTTTTATTGTTTTTTGCATTTTTTTGTGATAATTTTCACTGAGTTTACTGATTCATGGGGGTGAGGTGGGAATGCAGTAGAAGGGGATTCTCAAAGCATGATTCCAAAGTAAGACTTCAGGGATGAACTCATAGTGCCAAACTGCTCCAATGTCACGCATAAACTAAAATAAAATAGAAGCTTTTGATTGTTTCAATTTGATATATGGAATGCTTTGGGATAGGTAAAGCCCCAGTATTGTTGTTTGTAAGTTCATCCATGATTTTAGAACTTATGATATCATGGTAATACTCCTCACTCTTCTGTGTCAAATTTAAAAGGCACATCTCATCCTACTGCATTCCATCTTGATTCAAATCAGTTAAGGCAGACTCCAAATGTTATATAAGGGAATTTTGTTATTTTGTTGTCGGTGGACCAGTTCAGGTTCTTGAATTTGCTGTGCAAAAGAATTTGAGAGCAAATCCAAAGTAAGAGTAAGCGAAGAAATTTGTTGCAAAGCAAAAGTACTCTTTGAGAGGCAGAGTGGGGTGCTCAGTGGGAGAGACAGCAGCTAGTGCTGTAAGAGGAATTCCTTTTATGGGAGCTATACGTACATAATCATAAAATACTGGTGAGGTCAAGTATGCAAAGGCAGACCTGCGGTTGGCACATGTGCTCAGGATCCACGTGGTCTAACACCCATCGCATGTATCATTAGCATATGAAATCTCCGCCTTGGGGTGTTTTTCTTGTTGTGGTTGTTTTTACTATTAAAATGAGGAAATGGTTACTATAAGCTGAACCTTGATCCTAGCTGTGCATGCAGGACCCCAGAGAAGTCCCTGCCCACCCTCCCAAACACCCCACCCCAGGAAGGAATTTGTAGTTAGGAGTTTCTTGGGCTTTTGGTGCAAATTGGCTAGAGATTGGGGAAGCTGCATCAGGAATAAAGGGCTTTTGCTCTCTTTCCCAGGTTGTACTAGGTATCAGGAACTTGTAACCCTCTGGTGGGTCTGCTTCGATTCTGTAGGACCCCTTATCTTGTGAAAGAGTTAGGCACTGATGCACAAAGGTTCAAGTGAAAAGAGCTTGCTGTGAAAGGATCCTGCTGGGCTTCACACAGGGGACAAGTCAGTATGGCCTTGTGAACCCCCAAAATCGGAGACAGGTCTCAGTTTATTTAGAAAGTTTATTTTGCCAAGGTTGGGGATGTACACCTGTGACACAGCCTCAGGAGGTTCTGAAGACATGTGCCCAAAGTGGTCAGAGCACAGCTTGGTTTTATACATTTTAGGGAGACATGAGACATCAATCAACATATGTAAGATGAACAGTGGTTCCGTCCGGAAAAGGCGGGACAAGTCTAAGCGGGGAGGGGCTTCCAGGTCATAGGTAGATAAGAGACAAATGGTTGCTTTCTTTAGAGTTTCTGATTAGCCTTTCCAAAGGAGGCAATCAGATATGCATTTAACTCAGTGAGCAGAGGGGTGACTGTGAATAGAATGGGAGGCAGGTTTGCCCTAAGCAGTTCCCAGCTTGACTTTCCCCTTTACCTTAGTGATTTCAGGGCCCCAAGGTTTATTTTCCTTTCAAATTTCCCCCCTTTTCTTAAAAATCTTTTTGAGAAAGCCTTTTTGAAGAAAGTCAGTCTTTGGTCTCAAGTTTCATCTGATATCTCATGGCTAGGATTGTTTATTCCTAGAAAGATAATTCCTGAGTTATTAGGAAAGTTCATTTTTAGCAGGTTGTGAAGTTTCATGTCCTATGAAGAGAAAATAGGGGGAGGAAGGGAGAAAAACAAAAATAAACAAAAGAACAATCCTGGAAAATCAATATGGGCCACATTACTCTGAAGTCCATACATCAGTAGGCAGGTATGAAAGTGGCTTATGTATGTAAACAGGTTGCTGGTATTTTCTTCTGAAGTTTAAATTCTCTAGCTCCAGTTCGCAGGGCTTTACAAAAGCACAGATGAGTTTTCAGTGACTCCAAATTAGGAAAAATGGGGGAAAGAAGAAGAAAAAAAAACTGAAAACAATCTTTTGAAGACCTGTAGCCAAGAAAAATTAGAATTCAGTGGAAACTGTAGAAAATAATAAAAATGGGAAAACATTAGGCAAGACTAGAATCTAACAACAGGTGTATTATCATTTTTTGAAACATAATTCTTCTCTCTCCCATTTCCCATTTTTACTAAAGACAAATCATGGCAGGGCTGATTTTCTTTATTATACTTGACCTGATTATTTGTATACAGCGCAGCCATAGTAATACTTTTTTTTTGCATAAGCTTTTAAATTGCCTTTGATGGAACTGAAGCAGGATGTTTCCCTGACCCCTTTGTGGGACTTGTGACGGGTGCCTCGTTTATTCAGCCTGCCACTCTCAACTCCTTGCAGGAGCGAGCATGCAAGCAAATGAGGCAGGAACTGGAGTGCACGTGTGCTGGAATCGGCACTGCAGCACGGTAGGATCAAACTTCACTCACTGGGACCTGCTGCAGTCCCCTGCTTGTGGGAGGAAGCATGCAGGTGAATCAGTGCAGGAGCCAAAGTGAGTGCTTTTGGCCACCGGCAGGAGCAAACTCTGTGTGGGCCCCACAGCAGCATCTAGGTGGGGGTGCCTGCGACCCCCATAGCCCCAGAGGGCATGTTACAGTGTTCTTTTAACTCTGCCTTCCATGGATGGCTTAAGTGTCAACAGCTCAGTGAGGCCTCTGCCTTTTTGTGTGAGGCAGCTGCCCTCCACCAGCAAGGGCAGAGGGCCAGTGTGACAGTCTTTTGTATCTGCTCTCCTGGCTCCCAAGCTCTTGTCTTGTGTCCAGGAAAAGTGAGGTCACATGAACCAATCAAAGGATGGTAAATGTGGGGGATTTTGTTGCTGATGAAAGTGGCTCTTAGCAGAAAGCGGAGCTGAAAAAGGATGGGGTGGGTAGGTAATCTTCCTCAAAGTTAGGCTGTATCCAGCTGGATTCTTCTCCAAGATTACACCATCAAGCTGTCCCTCTGAATCAAGCTGCTTCTCTCTGACGTCCAGCTGTAGTTCCCAATGTCCAGCTGCTTCTTGCCTCTGCCAGCTGAGTCTGGCATCTTCACAGGCATAGGATGGACAGGATGGAGCCATGAGTGGTTTAGAAAAAGGCAACTTTCAAGCAGGAAAACAGGGATATAAGTTCTCACTTTGGGCCGTGGTTTAAGGCTTTTCAGCTTGAAGGTGGGGTTTTGTCAGAGACCTACCCTTTTCTGCCTAGAATTTCTCAGCCCCCTGTCCCTATCAGAACTTTGTTCCATAGAAGGAATTTCGGATAAGACTTTTGGAAAGCTTAGCCTAGCCATGGATTTGTACCATCAAATACCTATGAGTTGCATGAATTCCTCTGCTCTTGAGGTTCCAAGATAAACTTGGGGCTCCTGGAACTGTTAGAAAGTGACATGCTTTACTTACCACAGGTCAGGAACCCTGTACAGGGACTGTGTAGATAAGGTATGAGGCCAGTTCTCCCAAGGGGCTTTTATTGGCTCCATAAGTCAAATTTGATTCCTTAAAGGAGAGCACACCATTCCAGTCAAAGCCTTGGTAAAATGACCAATTTCTCCAATTGTGTCTTGTTACACATGAAAACAGATTATTATTGCACTTATGCAAATAACTGTATTGCCATAAGTTAAGAATACTCACAGATAGTTTCCAATTCTGGGGAAAATCAGGTAGAGAGAAACAAATATGCTCCAAATATTTTTCACAGGAGTATACTAACTTGTTAAAAGCTGACAACAGCTCAAATAAAAGTTTCCTTGACTAAAAAAAGGAAAACAAGGAGCAGCAACATTTTAAGCAAAAAGTCAAAAAGATTACGTTGCTCTTCTATTAGTTCAGTTCATGCAGTTAATTCCTGTTCTGCTTGCTATTCATGAACATTTCAGGTCTCCATGAGTTCTGAAAGCTTTTCCTCCATTCTGATGTCACAGTCTCCAAAGTTATTAGAAACTTGCCTTCAAGAACACGTGTTAGAGTTTTATAGCTGATTATAAAACCATCTTCTAAAAAGGACTAAAACAAAACAATTGTCCATGGGTGACAAAAAGTTTTAGGTCAGCCATAATCAAAGACACAATTGACAAGAAAATTTGTTACCACTGTGGCACACGATAATTTTATATAACAATTATAATTATTAGTGATATTGTACACCATGTCATATCAGAATTATAGGAGTTTCCCATAATTTTGGTGCACATACCAATAACATTTTTATACAAATACAGCCCAAAGAAAACCAAACACCATTTTATATTTGACAATGCTTCCTGTATAATTTTTATACCAAATAAGTCATTTATTTCATTTTTGGACTTTAGGGAAACTAATATCTTAGAGGATTAATTAGGTCAGAAAAATACACAACTTGTAATTTGATTCTGGAAACTTTGCCAAATATCAAAAGTTTAAAATACTTGATAGGTCATCATAAAATAAGTCAATTTTTCAAACATTAAGCCCAAATAAAACAGCATAAAGCCAATTAAATTTGTTTTTTGAAATTTTATTATCAATCTTTAAAATTTTAATCTTGACCATAAGATACAGCTTCCATAAGCCTTTTTTAACCTTTATAACCTTTATTAAGGGGTCGGTTAACACTTCAAGAAAACCTTTTTAATCTGACGCAGGGGCCCGTATGCTGGTATTGCATCAGTGTGCCTTTGACATCAATTATTAACTTGCAGAGAAACTGAACTTATTTTGTCTCTCAAAATCAGCCCTTACAATCTCACATGCCTACCTCTTCTGTGGTAGTTCCTGAGCCTTGAGGAGTTGAATAGCTTTTACTTCTGGCCTTATGTCTCAGGAATGCAGTTTATTTTGATTGGCATCTTCTACCAGGCCTGAAGATGAGGTTTTAATTGCTGTCAGTGCTTAAGATTTAGCAGACCTTGGTGTCCTTTTTAGACCCAGGAGTCAAAGGCCTGTAACTTAATGTCACAGGTACTTTCAAAGCACCTACAGAAATATACATGGATGTAATAACCTTAATTTTAAAAAATTATCTCAGATACTTTTTCCTGAGCAAATCAAAAATTAATAATAACAGCATAGCATTGTTTCAATAAGCCATAAAATCTGTTAGGTCAATTACCCAAAGGCAAAAGAAAAGACCTTCTACACTGCACAGAATATTACTTTGGAAGAAAACATTTTCTTTAGACTTTTAGAAAACATTGTTAGCATCAGACCATAACAAATAGAATTTAAGGAAAATAACTTATATGAGCTGCAAACGAGTTGAAGGGGAGAGAAAACAGCGAGTAAACAGTTGAACTTTGGGTTAAAAAAATTAAAATCTCTTATAATTTAATAAGAGTAAATCAATCCCTTAAGAAAATTTCATCGCTCTAACTATTTTGTTTATCATTGCTTTTTTTTTTTTACATGAAGCCCAATCTTCAGGAAGACTATTATAATTTCCTTTTAATTACAGACAACTTGACCATATAAAAGTTTGTTGGTTTTTTTTTTAATCCTCTTATTATGACTTTTACAGACTGTTCATGATATGCTTGGACTTTCTGGTTTGTTTTGAACATCCATCTTTCTTAAACAATCATTTTATTTTAGGTCTAAATTTACCATACAAGATCTTTTCTCATATGAAATTATTTCTCTTTAAGCTTCCTTACCAAAAAGAACCCTCTTTATCCTCTTTATTTTTATACCTTTCTTTACATCTCTCTGATTTCCTGGTTCCTTTTAACTTGTCTTATACATAATCTTTAAATAAGCATTGAATTAGATGACAATTGTTCACCTTTTTAAAAAGGAATTGTTTACCTAGATTATTTATGAAAACTGCAATAGTCATCATTTAAAGTTATGGAACTGCCATTGCAAAATTATAACTGAGACAGTGAAAAAGATCTGACCTAATTGACTCCATCTTGCTTCTAACCTCCAAACTGTTCTTGTTCAATCCTGGGCACAGGCTGAACAGACGTTGAGAGGAACATAGTTTATAGTTTACCTTTGAAACAAAGATTATAACAGTTCATTCTCAAACTAAATCTTACTGCCTGTGGACTAGACCACCAAAACCACAAAATTAGAAGTTACAGTAATCTCACTAAATTCAAGATGTGACTATTTTTATTAAACCAATATCAATGTCTTATTTATTAAAGATTATACAAGCAAAGATCATTCTATTACAGTTTTGTAACTCCATGGCAAATTTTGACACCTTATGGTATTTGACAGGGATAAGCATGAAATTGCTTGATTAATAAATGCAAACAAAAATGCATGCTGGCAATTTTTAAGACATGTCTAATATTACTTTACCAATAATTTTAAAGCTAGCTTATTTATTAAAGATTTTACTTGTTACATAAACTTCAGAAAGCATTCAACTAGTCTTTTCTTTTTTCCTGATAAAGTATTAGATTCAAGTGCTTTTTATCTTAAGCCAATTAATTAGAACTCTTTTATATATTTTCAGTAGCGAGAAATTGTGTACACATCACATAAATATATAGACATAGTAGGCATGCTGATAGAAGTACATCGTATAGATACTTAAGGAGCTTTTTTCCCCTATCTTAGGCTTTCAAATTCTTAATAACCTGTTTTACTCCCCTAGGGAGTTGTCAGCTAAATAGCCTTAAGTTTGCATGTTAAAGGAAACAACTCAGGCAAAAATCAAATAGCAAAATTATATCATAAGGTACAGAGAGAAAAAGTCTGGTGGTGCTAGAGGGAAGTCAAAATGGATTTAATTGCCAATTAAACATAAAATTATAAAAATTATAAAGGCCTTTTAAATAGATACACACACACACACACACACACACACAAACACACACACAGAAATCCTATAGCTTTTACTTCAGAACTTTAGCCATGAGACAAATACAAATTCACCAGGTTGCAAACAAAAAGCCTGTTGTATCCAAACAGTGGTTTTGATCTTAATAGAAAAATAACAGCAGATTTAAAGCAGGCAGAAAAGAAAATAGAGAAAAAAGAGAACTTAGGAACTCTGTAGTTTGTAGGTTGACCTTAAGGCTCTTCTTTTCTTTCTTTTTCTTTTCTTTCTTTCTTTCTTTCTTTCTTTCTTTCTTTCTTTCTTTCTTTCTTTCTTGCTTGCTTGCTTTCTTGCTTGCTTGCTTTCTTTCCTTCTTTTCTTTCTCTTCTAAAAAAAAATGAAATACACATGCAGGAGAACGTGCAGGTTTGTTACATAGGTATATGTGTGCCTTGGTGGTTTGCTGCACCTATTGACCCATCCTCTAAATTCCCTCCTCTCATTCCCCACCCCCCAACAGCCCCTGATATGTGTTGCTCTCCTCTCTGTGTCCATGTGTTCTCAAAGTTCAACTCCCATATATGAGTGAGAACATGTTGTATTTGGTATTCTGTTTCTGTGTTAGTTTGCTGAGGATGATGGTTTCCAGCTTCATCCATGTCCCTACAAAGGACATGATCTCACTCCGTTTTATGGCTGCATCGTATTCCATGGTGTATATGTACCACATTTTCTTTATCAAGTCTATAATTGATGGGCGTTTGGGTTAGTTCCATGTCTTTGCTCTTGTAAATAGTGCTGCAATAAACATACATGTGCCTGTGTCTTTATAGTAGAATGATTTGTATTCCTTTGGGTATATAACAAGTAATGGGATTGCTGGATCAAATGGTATTTCTGATTCTAGATCCTTGAGGAATCACCATACTGTCTTCCACAATGGTTGAACTAATTTACATGGGCCCTTTCTTTCTTAATGTAAATATGCACAAAGACCATATTACTTCCATTTTACTTAAACTCTGGCAAGTACAGGTGCCATAAAACCTATGGAGTGCTTGAAAGGGAATCATTCTCTTTGCTTTCTCCTCATTCTTAGATTATTTGTTTCCCAGTTTTCTTCTTAAAAAGAGGAACTGAGCTGAGGCCTAGAGGTTTTCTGTGGTGGATCAATATGTGCCATTTGTGGGCAGGACTCCACAGTGGGTCACCACTGAAAACAACAGTTCAGTTCCTCATGCAAATGCACACAGACAAGCTGAATTGAGCTTAATTTGGGGAGAAAAAGCAACAGAGAAGATCCTTTAGAATGCATTTGTGAACTAGAATTAGGATCTTTAAACGACAAATTCCTAGAAGGAAAACAAAACAACAGCCAAGACCACTTTTTGTAAACCTTGCTCAGCCACCCCTTAACTTTGTAGCTCTCATCTACCACTATACACAACAAGGTCAAAGCCAAAGAGGTCAGGTCATGCAATACAGGAAAATAGAGGTTTAGAGTTAAGAAGAATCTACCCATGACTCTTGAAACTCCACAAAGAAAACAAAACACCCCAAAAGGGGTGAGTGGCAACCTTTGTTCTGAATTCTTTAAGGGGGTTCAAGTCATTAGAAGCCTTCTCTAGACTTTTTGGTACTGCATATGGCAAAGGGGGAGGAGGTATATGGTGCAAGAAAAGTAAACGAAAGAACATTCGTGTTTTAAGACAGGAAGCAAACACAGAAACCAAGTGCATGGGTTTTTGGTTCTTTTTGTTTGTTTTCTTCTTTTGCAGCTGCAATGAATTTTAGCCAAATTAGAGAGGTTTTGTTACCCGTAATTTTGAATTCTCACTTGGATTTGACCAAGTCAGGTAGAGTTGGTCAAGTCTGATGGGAGAAAGACCAAAACAAACAACAAAATCTCCAACCATAGGATTACCAAGCACTCTAATGATAAGGAGAAATTAAGAGCAGCTAGCTGGTTGTTAAACTTTAGCCCAGACAAAGCCCCAGTTCAGCTACTTACCTAGGGATGGGTCTCAGGCTGAAGGCTGCTTTCTACCACCCTAGAAGCGGGAAAAAAACTCAAACTGGTCTTCCCTGCTGGGAGTGAGCTCAAACTCTACATGCCTTTCATCATCATGGAAGCAGGAAATCTTGCCTTCCTTGTAAAGGAAGTAAAAGTAAATCTTGCCTTCCTTATAAGGAAGGCAAGTAAGCAAGTAAAACTCCAAAAACAAAAATAGGTGGGGCAGTTGTACAGCAAAATGAACTTTAGTTCTTCACCAAATTTGGGGAGATCAGGGATTCTTTGGGGAGGGTGCTCCCAGACCTCAGCAAATTGTCCTATTGATTTGAGCCATAAAGTTAGCTCATGCTATTACCAGGCACCAACAGGATATTCGTCAAAGGTCAAGGGCATCTCCACTCAGAATCCTTTCACAGTTACCAAAATGTTAACCCAGAAAATCTGAGACAGGTCTCAGTTAATTGAGAAAGTTTATTTTGCTAAGGTTGAGGATGCTCCGGTGACACAGCCTCAGGAAGTCCTGATGACATGTGTGTAAGGTGGTCAGATAACACTTTTGTTTTATACATTTTAGGGAGACATGAGATATCAATCAACATATGTAAGATGAACACGGATTTGGTCCAGAAAAGGCAAGACAACTCGAAGCAAAGGCGGGACAACTCGAAGCTGGGAGGGGGCTTCCAGATCATAGGTATATAAGAGACAAATGGTTGCCTTCTTTTGAGTTTCTGATTAGCCTTTCCCAAGGAGGCAATCAGTGCATTTATCTCAGTGAGCAGAGGGGTGACTTTGAATAGAATGAGAGGCAAGTTTGTCCTAAGCAGTTCCGAGTTTGCCTTTTCCCTTTAGCTTAGTGATTTGGGGGCCCCAATATTTATTTTACTTTCACAGCCTCCTAACCTTATTTATCCTGCCTCATGTTTAAGAAGGCATCATAACTCTATGACTGAGATCTGGACAACATTTTTCTTAAGGCATCTGAAAAAATATGAAGCTTATTTTTCATATTTGAACATATCTGAACAAATCATCTTAAACTTGATTGGCTCAATAGCTTAAGGCCATTTCAGAGCTGATAATAGTCAAATAAAAGTAAAAACATCAAGAGCAGGTGCTCCTACTAGAATGCCAAGTTATAGTCACTTACCATATTCTTTCAGATTCAAATGAAGGCACCTCTCTTGGAAATTCTAATTAGGATATGCACCCCAGCTGCGACCTACTCAAGACTGAACTAATTCCAATAAAATAATTCTTAAAAAGAAAAGCGAGCCTTGAAATTTTCATCCTTTCTGGGTTTATATATATTAAAATGTTAAGTGTGGAGTTGTTTAAATTATAATGTAAACCCGTAGAGACCACAGTCAGCAATATACCATGCTATCCAGATGAACTACAGCTCAATATGCTTTTTTGTCTCAGCAGAACTCACTGGGAAATAAAGCCCACTTTTTGATTATAAATTCCAAAATGTTGTTATTGAGTAAAATGAATTCAGTACATGAAATTCTTTATAGAAGATTTCCCTTCTTTCATTGGTGTCTAATTTTCAGAAATTTGGTTTTATCTTTTTTGTCAAAACAGGGACGATAGTATTATGAGATATAATGTGTTAAAGATAAAATGTGTTTCAAGAGCTAAGGTATGAATTAAAACTGTCTTAATTTAGGATATTAAGACACATGTGCACACACACACACACACATACACACACATATACACACAGCACTTCTATTCCAATACCGTAAATTATCTATATTCGATATAGCATGTATTTTCAAAGTGATTTCAACACGGGTTGCTTTTCCTGCGTCTTTGTGTAAAATATAATTGTCAGGGAATCAGTAAAATAATTATGAAAGCAATAGAGAATGATACCAATGAATTCTTATGTACAGAAATTTTATTAAAAAGCAGAGATGCAACAAAGCATAAGAAATTCACACTAGGAGAAACACAGAATATAACTGGGCGGCTGGATCTGAGGGTGCAACCTCAGTGACAAAACTGGTCCTGCAGATAATGTCTGCCTCACTGAGAAGAAGATCTGTACCTCAAAGTGATAAAGAAAATGAGGAAATTAGAGGATTGGAATAATTTCTAGCTAGTGGATTACAAATTAATTCACATTTGGTGCCACCACCGGAAGAAAAAGAAAGCAAGGGAGGGAGTTTAAAATGAATCAGAATGTTCTCAAAGAGTCAGTGAAATGGTGATGGGCTCATTGGAAACATGAGTTCCATTCTATTGAATGACATCAACCCCACTTCCTGTATCCTAATGGTCAGCACAGTAGAAGGGTCTACATCTGTGGGCCAGTGGTGAAGGGGGAGATAAGCCAGGGCAGTGGGCTCAGCAGCAAGAGGAGGCACAGCACAAGGGGCGGGGGCAGCTGGAGATGACACAGGTTGGGCGATAGCAAGTGGTGTGGCAGGAGACTCGGCCACAGACTGGACGCACGCAGCAGCAGGGGCGGCAGCAGCTGGATTCACAGCAAGAGGGGCGGCAGCAGCTGGAGATGCTGCAGCTGGGGCGGCAGCAGTTGGGCTGGCAGCACACAGACTGGCAGCACTGGGGCTTGCAGCAGCTGGACACACAGCAGCTGGGGCGACAGCAGCTGGAGATGCAGCACCTAGGGTGGCAGCAGGTCGTCTCACAGCAGCTGGGGCGACAGCAAGTGGGTTGGCAGCACGCAGGCTGGCAGCACTGGGGCCTGCAGCAGCTGGACACACAACAGCTGGGGCGGTAGCAGGTGGTCCTGCAACAGGTGGTCTGACAGCAGCTGGGGCGGGAACAAGTGGGTTGGCAGCACACAGACTGGCAGCACTGGGGCCTGCAGCAGCTGGATACACAACAGCTGGGGCGGCAGCAGGTGGTCCTGCAGCAGGTGGTCTCACAGCAGCTGGGGCGGCAGCAGGTCTCCTGACAGAGGTCTTGGCCGCAGCCCTGGTCAGAGCACACGGAGCCACAACAGGAGCTGACCATGGTGTCAGAACGGGGAGGATCTGGGTGGGCTTCCAAGAGAGTGAAGTTCTTGGGTTTGGAAGTCTTCTGGGTCCATAGCCACCTTTATACCCTGCTGAAGGCCCATTGCCACCACGTCATTATTTCCTTATTATTTACCTCGTGGAAAACTTAATCATGTAATTACATAATTGTGTGCTTCTACTTAAATACTCCAAAAGAGAGAAAATAACCCATTTCCTTTTCCTGCTGTGCTCCTGTGTTTCTATTGGAAACACTTGTCATATTTCTTCCTTAGTGGGGGTCACCTTTGTCCCTGGTCTCTGCAGTGTCTTTTACAAAGCACTGGTCACATGACTCTGACACTTTATTTCTAAATGTGATTCTCCCCCCTACCTGTAGATTGCTCTCTGCAAATCATGGGGGACAATTTTTATAATGTGAATGTGTCTTTTGTTGTCAAATAATGTCCTGGTCAGATGAAATGTTGGAAAGGAATTAGAAGGAAGGACTCATTCGGGAGAAGGATGTCCCATCTATAATGAAGATGACTCTGATTCCGTGTATGCTTCTTGAATAGTTGGGGAGATGGTCAGATCTCAAGGAAGTTATAAACTCTGTGTCAGATCTCATTCCACCACTCCAAGTGAAAGTACTTAGCCATGACTCATTGCCTTTAATGAGTAAAAACACATTTTTCTGTATGTCTTACAGTATAGGCATTTGGAGTAGGAAGTTTTGATTTACCTTTGATCATCAAAACTGCATGATGGATTTTCATTGACAAAAGCATTTGTTATATGTAAACAATATTTAGAATTATTAAGCCTTCAATAATATGCATCCAAGACATTCTATTGGGTACTCTGGGTATAGAACAGATAAACCCTCCTCATTTTCCTGCAGGTACTTGTATAAGACACATGCATAAGAAACAGAATTTGGCAAAAATGAAAAGAATTACAATTATGTTCATTAAACAACTAAAATAAAAATGTATAGTATGTGGATAATTTCCACACACCCTCAGTGTATATATATATTACTTGTGAAGTATTGACTATGTACCAGACATTGTGCTAAATATCTTTTTCATTTTCACTCTTTAATACAACCTTAAAAAGTAGGTACATTCTTATTACTCTTTTAGCAGAATACTCAAAAGAAGCATTAAAAAGCTAAAACAAACAAACAAAATACTTGTCCAAGATTAAAGAGAAAGTAAGCCTAATATGTCTTAGTGTAGCCAAGAAAGCGATAAAGAATACAATTTGCTAAGCTTGCTGAGACTGCTTCATCTTCTTGGAATGTTTCATCTTTTTTTGTCCACTCTGCAAACTCCTACTCATGTGTCAAAACCCAGTTAAAATATTTCCTTCTCAATAATATATTTCCTAATAAGCTACCCCATTCATCTATTATTATTTCCTGTCTTGTGCTCATAATTTGATACATTCTACTGTATCATAGACATTTACTTCTTTCATTCCCCCATATACAGTGCAAATACCCTGAATGCATGGGCTATGATGTTTCTTTTTGTTACCATGATACTCAGGACAGAGAACACTGGTGATAAATGTTTCTTGAGTGAATGAAGGCTTTTTGATGACATAGAAGCATGTAAGGTCCTTTAAAAGTGTATATATCTTTTGACTTCTGGATAAAAGAGAGGAAAACATTCCAAACAAGGGGATCAGAGTTTCATTTCAGGAAAACTACACTTATTTCTATGGTAAGTAACATGTCCCCTGATAAATAACATATGTGGAAAGTTGTGGAAGTTAGGATTCTGTTTATAGAATGAGACTTGGTTATAGATAACCAGGAATACCGTGTCTTCCCACTGTGGAAGGAAAAAGAGAGGGTGAGACAGAGAAAGAGGGAGTCAAACTCATCCTTTTATAAGGAACCCTCTTTTGTGATAACAGCATTAATCCACTCATGAGGGTGGTGTCACCATGACCCAAACATCTCCTGTTAGGCCCAACCTCCCAACACTGCGGCATTGAGGATCAAGTTTCCAACACATGAACTTTGAGGGACACATTCAAACCATTGCATTCCACCCTTGGTCCCCCAAATCCATGTCCTTCTCGTACACAAAATATATTCATTTTATTCCAATAGTCCCAAAGTATTAACTTGTTCCAGCACCAACTTAAAAGTCAAAATGTAAATCTAAGAGTCTCATGTGACTCTGATATGAATAAGACTCAACACAGGACTTATCCTGAGGCAAATTCTCCTCCATATGTGAACCTATTAAAGAAGTTATCTAGTTCCAAAATCCAATGGTGGGAGAGGCATAGGATAGACAGGCCCATTCCAAAAGGCAGCAACAGGAAAGAAAAAAGGGTAACTGGCCCCAGGTGAGTCCAACAGGGAAGACAGCATTAAATCTTAAGACTGGAGAATAAACTTCGACTCCATGTGCTGTCTCCTGGATGTGCCCGACATGGGGAAGGGCTGCCTGGGGCCTTGGTGTTAGGCCCCAAATGCCCTCAGATAGCCCTGCCCCATGGCTTTGCTGGGCTCAGCCCATACAGCAGCTATCTGATTGGAGTCTCTGCTGCAGCTCTCTCAGGCTAGTATTGCAGGCTGATAGTTCTACAGTTCTAGGGTCTCAGTGGCTGCTCTGACCCCCCGTTTTCCTGAGCATGGCCCTAGGAGGACCTCTCTGCTGTGGCTACACCCCTAAGGCAGGCTGTCAGAAACATCCTTTCAAACCTAGGTGGACCACCATTGCCCCACAACTCCTGCAGTCTGTGTATCTACAGTCAGTACTACATGAACACCACCAAGGCTCACAGTTTGTGGCCTCTGCAGCAGCAGCGCAAGTCTCATCTAAACCCACTTGAGCCACAACTGGAGCAGCAAAGGGGCACTGTGCTAGAATGTGGAGAGTACCAAACCCTTTCTGACCTTAAGATTCTCTCATTTGGAGCCTGTGATGGGAGGGACAGCTTCAAAGATCTTTGAAATGCCTTCAGAGCCATTCTCCCACTGATTTGATGAACAGCACCTAGCTTCCTTCTATTCATATCAATCCTTGTAACAAAGCATTACTTGGCCACAATCTTGCATGCTTTTTCATTCTTTATATGGTCAGTCTCCACATTTTCCACATCTTTATGTTCTGTTTCCCTTTTAATTATGAATTCCACCTTTAAATCATTTCTTTCCTCTTGCATTTTACTATGTGCAGTTCAAAGATGCCATGCAGCCCCAGTGCTTCCAGTCTGTGTGCTGCCAGCCCACCCAACTGCTGTCACCCCAGCTGTTGTCAGACCACCTGCTGCAGAACCACCTCCTGCTCCCACAGCTGCTCTGTGTCCAGCTGCTGCAGACCCCAGTGCTGCCATTCCGTGTGCTGCCAGCCCACCTGCTGCCGCCCCAGCTGCTGTCAGACCACCTGCTGCAGGACGACCTGCTGCCACCCCAGCTGCTGTGTGTCCAGCTGCTGCAGACCCCAGTGCTGCCATTCCGTGTGCTTCCAGCCCACCTGCTGCCACCCCAGCTGCTGCATCTCCAGCAGCTGCTGCCCCTCTTGCTGTGAATCGAGCTGCTGCTGCCCCTGCTGCTGCCTGCGTCCAGTCTGTGGTCGAGTCTCCTGCCACGTCACTTGCTATCACCCAACCTGTGTCATCTCCACCTGCCCCCACCCCTTGTGCTGTGCCTCCCCTCCCCTTCCCCTCCCCTTCCCTTCCCCACCCGTTCCCCTCCCTTTCTTCCTTTCCCTTGCCCTCCCCTCCCCTCCCCGCCCTTCCCCTCCCCTCCTCTCCCCAGTGTTAATCCCCTCCCCTTCCCCTTCCCCTTCTCTCCCTTCACTTTCCCCTCCCCTCCCCTCCCCTCCCCTCCCCTCCCCTCATTTCCCCAGTGTTAATCCCAAGAGCATGCTTCAATAAACCTCCTGCATATTGCTCTCCATCTCAGTGTCTGCTTCCTGGGGAACCCAGCCTGTCCCCCAAAACAATTTGAAATTCATGATAGCTAATTTGAGAGCTCAAATGACTGACTGAAATGTACTTTTAATATTTTAGTTCCTGAAAGAAATAAGAATGTAAACATAATAGCAGAAAACATACTTAACAGAATCTGTAGAAAAAATTATGAATTTTATATAAATCAAATTTATTATTTTCTAAGGATTTTTATATCATTTATACACAAATATATGCTCTTTAAACATTTAGACAATACAAAAGAATGCAACCAAAGGTAAGTTTCCCATCACGGTCTTTGCCAATCCCATTCAATACCTAATGTTACAAATTGAGATACATCCTCATTAAATGCATGCATAACACATGTATGTATTTATTTGAAAACTTGGCTTTCGTTGCACATCTCTTGTTCTGACATTTATTCAAACGTTATTTTATGTCCTTCAGGAAATATTAACACTTTCCTTCACATAGGCTTGGCAGATTTATTTACATATTTTTCTATTTACTCTTGAGAATTGTGAGCACATTGTTCTTTTTTAAAATTATTCTTAAAGTCCTAGGGTACATGTGCACAATGTGCAGGTTTGTTACATATGTATACATGTGCCATGTTGGTGTGCTGCACCCATTAACTCGTCATTTACATTAGGTGTTTCTCCTAATGCTATCCCTCCCTCCTCCCCCCACCCCACGACAGGCCCCAGTGTGATTTTTCTCCATTAAATTTTAGAGACAATTATTGCTAGTGTATAAAAAGTCTATAGATTAGTATAAGTTCATATTTTATCTGATCTCATGATTCATACTAATACCCAGCTGACTCTCCAGGATTTTGTAGGTGTGCAATCATGGTGGCCAAGTGCCTCCAGCCTCAGGCCTGTCCCCGGGGTTCATCCCCAGATGCCCACAGTGGGGGTCCTACCATTAACACAAACACTGTTGGGATTTTCTACCTTTTCTGTCTTACTTTCGCCATTTCCTCACTTGTGCTTCCTGGGATCATCCCCCAAATAAATTATGTGCACCCAGGTATTTTTCTCAAGGTTTGCATTGGGTAGAATTTAAGTTAAGACAACAGATGATCAACAAACATTTTTGGCTGACTGATACGAAACTGGAAATAATAGTTATTTCAATCGACAAGAGTAAAACGAGGGAGTCAGGAGGTGAAGGAGAACCAGTGCTACCATCTGGCGTTTACTTCCTTCCTGTCTTTTTACTGTGTGAATATAGGCATGCACGTTCAACACTGTATTCCTGGTTATCTATAAACAAGTCTCATTCTATAAATTGAATCTTAACTTCCACAACTTTCCACATATGTTATTTATCAGATGACATGTTACCTACCACGTAAATTAGTTTAGTCTTCCTGAAATGAAATTATGATCTCTTTGTTTGGAATGTTTTCCTCTCTTTTATCCAGAAGTCAAAAGATATATACATTTTTAAAGGACCTTACATGCCTCTATGTCATCAAAAGCCTTCCTTCACTCAACAAACATTTACCACCAGTGTTCTCTGTGCTGAGTATCATGGTAACAAGAATAAATGCCATAGCCCATGCCTTCAGGGTATTTGCATTGCACGTGGTGGAATGACAGAAGTAAATGACTATGATACAGGAGAATGTAACAAATTATGAGCACAAGGCAGGAAATCATGATACATGAATGGGGTAGCTTAGCAGGAAAGATATTATTGAGGAGGAAATATTTTAACTGGGTCTTGACACATGAGTAGGAGTTTGCAGAGTGGACAAAAAAAGATGAAACATTCCAAGAAGATGAAGCAGTTTCAGCAAGCTTAGCAAATTGTATTCTTTAGGGCTTTCTTGGCTACACTAAGACATATTAGGCTTACTTTCTCTTTAACCTTGGACAAGTTGTTTGTTTGTTTTAAGTTTTTAATGCTTCTTTTGAGTATTCCCCTAAAAGACTAATAAGAATATAAACTAGTTCATAAGGTTGTATTAAAGTGTGAAAATGAAACAAATGTAAGATATTTGGTACAATGCCTGCTACATAGTCAATACTTCACAAGTAATATACATACCATGAGGGTGTATGGAACTTATCCACATATTATACATTTTTTATTTTAGTTGTTTAATGAAAATAATTGTAATTCTTTTCATTTCTGCCAAACTGTTTCCTATCCATGTGTCTTATGCAAGTACCTGCAAGAAAAAGATGAGGGTTTATCTGTTCTACACCCAGAGTACCCAATAGAACATCTTGGATGCATGTTATTGAAGGCTTAATAATTCTAAATATTCTTCATATATAACAAATGCTTTTGTAAATGAAAAATGCATCACGCAATTTTGATGATCAAAGATTAATCAGGCTGGGTGTTGGGGGCTCACGCCTGCAATCCCAACACTTTGGGAAGCAAAGGCGGGTGGATCATGAGGTCAAGAGATCAATACCATCTTGGCCAACATGGTGAAACCCTGTCTCTACTAAAAATACAAAAGTAAGCTGGGTGTGGTGGCACACACCTGTAGTCCCAGCTACTCGGAAGGCTGAGGAAAAGGAACTGCTTGAACCCAGGAGGTGGAAGTTGCAGTGAGCCGAGATCATGCCACTGTACTCCAGCCTGGTGACAGAGGGAGACTCCGTCAGAAAAAAAAAAAAAAAAAAAGATAAATCAAAACTTCCTACTCTTAATGCCTATACTGTAAGAAATACAGCAAAATGTGTTTTTACCCTTTAAAGGCAGTGAGTCATGGGTAAGTACTTTTGCTGGAGGCTGTGGAATAAGATCTGACAAAGAGTTTAGAACTTGTTGGGATCTGACCATCTGCCCGACCATCCGAGATGCACACACGGGATCAGAGTCATCCTCATTACAGATGGGAGATCCTTCCACAAATGAGTCCTTCCTTCTAATTCCTTCCCAACATTTCACCTGACCAGGACGTTCTTTGACAATGAAAGATACATTCACATTATAAAAATCGTCCCCCATTATTTGCAGACAGCAATCTACAGGTAGGAGGGAGAGTCATATTTAAAAACAAAATGTCAGAGAGTCCTGTGACCAGTGCTTTGTAAAAGACACTGCATAGACCAGGGACAAAGGTGACCCCCACCAAGGAAGAAATATGACAAGCATTTCCAATGGAAACACAGGAGCACAGCAGGAAAAGGAAATGAGTTATTTTCTCTGTTTTGGAGTATTTAACTAGAAACACACAATGATGTAATTACATGATTAATTTTTTCAGTAGGTAAATAATAACAAGGAAATAATGACGTGGTGACAACGGGCCTTCAGGCGGGTATAAAGGGGCTATGGACCCAGGAAACTTCCAAACTCAAGAACTTTACTCTCTTGGAAACCCAAATAGATCCTTCACCCTCTGACACCATGGTCAACTCCTGTTGTGGCTCCGTGTGCTCTGACCAAGGCTGTGGCCAAGACCTCTGCCAGGAGACCTGCTGCTGCCCCAGCTGCTGTCAGACCACCTGCTGCAGGACCACCTGCTACCGCCCCAGCTACAGTGTGTCCTGCTGCTGCAGACCCCAGTGCTGCCAGTCTGTGTGCTGCCAGCCCACCTGCTGTCGCCCCAGCTGCTGTGTGTCCAGCTGCTGCAAGCCCCAGTGCTGCCAGTCTGTGTGCTGCCAGCCCACCTGCTGCCACCCTAGCTGCTGCATCTCCAGCTGCTGCCGCCCCAGCTGCTGTGTGTCCAGCTGCTGCAAGCCCCAGTGCTGCCAGTCTGTGTGCTGCCAGCCCAACTGCTGCCGCCCCAGCTGCAGCATCTCCAGCTGCTGCCGCCCCTCTTGCTGTGAATCCAGCTGCTGCCGCCCCTGCTGCTGCCTGCGTCCAGTCTGTGGCCGAGTCTCCTGCCACACCACTTGCTATCGCCCAGCCTGTGTCATCTCCACCTGCCCCCGCCCCGTGTGCTGCGCCTCCTCTTGCTGCTGAGCCCACTGCCCTGGCTCATCTCTCCCTTCACCGCTGGTCCACAAATGTAGACCATTCTTCTGTGCTGAATATTAGGACACATGGAGTGGGATTTATGTCATTCAGCAGGGTGGACCTCATGTATCCAATGAGCCCATCACCATCCCGCTGACTCTGTGAGAACATTCTGGTTCATTTTAAACTCCCTCCCTTGCTTTCTTTTTCTTCCAGTCATGGCACCAAATACGAATTAATTTGTAATCCACTAGCTAAGAAATTATTCCAATCCTCTAAATTCCTCATTTTTTAAAATCATTTTGAGCCTACAGAATATCCTTCCCAATTAGGTACACATTATCTCCCTTTCAAACATACTATTTGTCTGTCAGCCTTTCAGTCATTCTTTTCTTTTGGAAAGGTAGGAGGCTGCCCCTCCCGTGCTCTCCCGCTTTCTCCCTGCTCTCTCTTTCTCTCACTGTTCAAGTTTGTCAGAATTTTTCTATTTTATTAGTTCTTTATCTTTATTGTGTTCACAAAATATATTGTATTAAACTTTTCATTTAGAAATCTTTTATTGTTTTTTGCATTTTTTGTGATAATTTTCACTGAGTTTACTGATTCATGGGGGTGAGGTGGGAATGCAGTAGAAGGGGATTCTCAAAGCATGATTCCAAAGTAAGACTTCAGGGATGAAATCATAGTGCCAAACTGCTCCAATGTCACACATAAACTAAAATAAAATAGAAGCTTTTGATTGTTTCAATTTGATATACGGAATGGTTTGGGATACGTAAAACCCCTAGTAATGTCACAGATAAACTAAAATAAAATAGAAGCTTTTCATTGTTTCAATTTGATATACGGAATGCTTTGGGATAGGTAAAGCCCCCAGTATTGTTGTTTGTAAGTTCATCCATTATTTTAGAAATTATGATATCATGGTAATACTCCTCACTCTTCTGTGTGAAATTTAAAAAGTACATCTCATCCTACTGCATTCCATCTTGATTCAAATCAGTTAAGGCAGACTCCAAATGTTATATAAGGGAATTTTGTTATTTTGTTGTTGGTGGACCAGTTCAGATTCTTGAATTTGCTGCGCGAAAGAATTTGAGAGCAAATCCAAAGTAAGAGTAAGCGAAGAAGTTTGTTGCAAAGCAAAAGTACCCTTTGAGAGGCAGAGTGGGCTGCTCAATGGGAGAGACAGCAGCTAGTGCTGTAAAAGGAATTCCTCTCATGAGAGCTATACGTACATAATCAAAAAGTACCGGTGAGGTCAAGTATGCAAAGGCAGACCTGCGGTTGGCACATGTGCTCAGGATCAACATGGTGTAACACCCATTGCATGTATCATTAGCATATGAAATCTCCGCCTAGGGGTGTTTTTCTTGTTGTGGCTGTTTTTACTATTAAAATGAGGAAAAGGTTACTATAAGCTGAACCTTGAGCCTAGCTGTGCATGCAGGACCCCAGAGAAGTCCCTGCCCACCCTCCCACACACCCCACCCCTGGAAGGAATTTGTAGTTAGGAGTTTCTTGGGCTTTTGGTGCAAATTGGCTAGAGATTGGGGAAGCTACATCAGGAATAAAGGGCTTTTGCTCTCTTTCCCAGGTTGTACTAGGTATCAGGAATTTGTAACCCTCTGGTGGGTCTGCTGGTATTCCGTAGGACCCCTTATCTTGCGAAAGAGTTAGGTGCTGATGCACAAAGGTTCAAGTGAAAAGAACCTGCTGTGAAAGGCTCCTGCTGGGCTTCACACAGGGGACAATTCAGTATAGCCTTCTGAACCCGCAAAATCGGAGACAGGTCTCAGTTTATTTAGAAAGTTTATTTTGCCAAGGTTGGGGATGTACACCTGTGACACAGCCTCAGGAGGTTCTGAAGACAGGTGCCCAAAGTGGTCAGAGCACAGCTTGGTTTTATACATTTTAGGGAGACATGAGACATCAATCAACATATGTAAGATGAACAGTGGTTCCGTCCGGAAAAGGCCGGGACAACTCTAAGTGGGGAGGGGCTTCCAGGTCATAGGTAGATAAGAGAAAAATGGTTGCTTTCTTCAGAGTTTCTGATTAGCCTTTCCAAAGGAGGCAATCAGATATGCATTTATCTCTGTGAGCAGAGGGGTGACTGTGAATAGAACGGGAGGCAGGTTTGCCCTAAGCAGTTCCCAGCTTGACTTTCCCCTTTACCTTAGTGATTTCAGGGCCCCAAGGTTTATTTTCCTTTCACATTTCCGCCCATTTCTTCTTAAAAATCTTTTTGAGAAAGCATTTTAGAAGAAAGTCAGTCTTTGGTCTCAAGTTTCATCTGATATCTCATGGCTAGGATTGTTTATTCCTAGAAAGATAATTCCTGAGTTATTAGGAAAGTTCATTTTTAGCAGGTTGTGAAGTTTCATGTCCTATGAAGAGAAAATAGGGAAAGGAAGGGAGAAAAACAAAAATAAACAAAAGAACAATCCTGGAAAATCAATATGGGCCACATTACTCGGAAGTCCATATATCAGTAGGCAGGTATGAAAGAGGCTCACGTATGTGAAAAGGTTGCTAATATTTTCTTCTGAAGTTTAAATCTTATAGCTGCAGTTCACAGGGCTTTATAAAAGCACAGATGAGTTTTCGGTGACTCCAAATTAGGAAAAATGGTGGAAAGAAGAAGAAGAAAAAAACTGAAGACAATCTTTTGAAGACCTGTAGCCAAGAAAAATTAGAATTCAGTCCAAACTGTAAAAATTAATAAAAATGGAAAAACATTAGGCAAGACTAGAATCTAACAACAGGTGTACTATCATTTTTTGAAACAATTCTTCTCTCTCCCATTTACCATTTTTACTAAAGACAAATCATGGCAGAGCTGATTTGCTTTATTATACTTGACCTGATTATTGTATACAGCACAGTCATAGTAATAGTAATAATTTTTTTGCATAAGCTTTTAAATTCTCTTTGATGGAAGCGAAGCAGGATGTTTCCCTGACCCTTCTGTGGGACTTGTGACAGGGCCTCATTTATTCAGCCTGCCACTCTCACCTCCTTGCAGGAGAGAGCATGCAAGCAAATGAGGCAGGAACTGGAGTGCATGAGTGCTGGAATCAGCACTTCAGTGCTGCAGGATCAAACTTCACTCACTTGGACCTGCTGCAGTCCCCTGCTCATGGAAGGAAGCATGCAGGTGAATGGGTGCAGGAGCCAGAGTGAGTGCTTTTGGGTGCTGGCAGGAGCAAACTCTGTGCGGGCCCCACAGCAGCATCTAGGTGGAGGTGCCTGCAACTCCCATAGCCCCAGAAGTCATGTTACAGTGCTCTTTTAACTCTGCCTTCCATGGATGGCTTAAGTGTCAACAGCTCAGTGAGCCCTCTGCCTTTTTGCATGAGGCAGCTGCCCTCCAACAGCAAGAGCAGAAGGCCAGTGTGACAGCCTTTTGTATCTGCTCTCCTGGCTCCCAAGCTCTTGTCGGGTGTCCAGGAAAGGTGAGGTCACATGAACCAATCAAAGGATGGTAAATGTGGGGGATTTTGTTGCTGATGAAAGTGGCTCTTAGCAGGAAGGGAGCTGAAAAAGGATGGGGTGGGTAGGTAATCTTCCTCAAAGTTAGGCTGTATCCAGCCGGATTCTTCTCCAAGGTTACACCATCAAGCTGTCCCTCTGCAGTCAAGCTGCTTCTCTCTGATGTCCGGCTGTAGTCCCCAACATCCAGCTGCTTCTTGCCTCTGCCAGCTCAGTCTGAGATCTTCACAGGCACAGGATGGGACAGGATGGGGCCATGAGTGGTTTAGAAAAAGGCAACTTTCAAGCAGGAAAACAGGGATATAAGTTGTCACTTTGGGCCATGGTTTAAGGCTTTTCAGCTTGAAGGTGGGGTTTTGTCAGAGACCTATCCTTTTCTGCCTAGAATTTCTCTGTCCCCTGGCCCTATCAGAACTTTGTTCCATAGAAGGAATTTCGGATAAGACTTTTGGAAAGCTTAGCCTAGCCATGGATTTGTACCATCAAATACCTATGAGTTGGGTGAATTCCTCTCCTCTTGAGGTTCCAAGATAAACTTGGGGCTCCTGGAACTGTTAGAAAGTGACATGCTTTACTTACCACAGGTCAGGAACCCTGTACAGGGACTGTGTAGATAAGGTATGAGGCCAGTTCTCCCAAGGGGCTTTTATTGGCTCCATAAGTCAAGTTTGATTCCTCAAAGAAGAGCACACCATTCAAGTAAAAGCCTTGGTAAAATGACCAATTTATCGTGTCCTGTTACAAATGAAAACAGATTCTTATTGCACTTACGCAAATAACTGTATTGCCATAAGTTAAGAATACTCACAGATAGTTTCCAATTCTAGGGAAAATCAGGTAGAGAGAAACAAATATGCTCCAAATATTTTTCACAGGAGTATACTAACTTGTTAAAAGCTGACAACAGCTCAAAAGAAAAGTTTCCTTGACTGAAAAAAACAAAATAAAGGGTCAGCAATGTTTTAAGCAAAAAGTCAAAAAGATTACTTCAGTCTTCTGTTAGTTCAGTTCATGCAGTTAATTCCTGTTCTGCTTGCTATTCATGAACATTTCAGGTCTCCATGAGTCCTGAAAGCTTTTCCTTCATTGTGATGTCACAATCTCCAGAGTTATTAGAAACCTGCATTCAAGAATACCTGTTAGAGTTTTATAGCTGATTATAAAACCATCTTCTAAAGAGGACTAAAACAAGACAAAAATTGTCCATGGGTGACAAAAAGTTTTAGGTCAGCCATAGGCGAAGATACAATTGACAAGAAAATTTGTTACCACCATGGCACACAATAATTTAATATAACAATCATAATTATTACTGATAATGTACACCAGGTCATATCAGAATTATAGGAGTTTCCCATAATTTTGGTGCACATACCAATAACAATTTTATACAAATACAGCCCAAATAAAACCAAACACCATTTTATATTTGACAATGCTTCCTGTATAATTTTTATACCAAATAAGTCAAATTATTTCATTTTTGGACTTGAGGGAAACTAATATCTTAAAGGATTAATTAGGTCAGAAAAATACACAACTTGTAATTTGATTTTGGAAAGTTTGTCAAATATCAAAGGTTTAAAACACTTGATATGACAGGTCATCATAAAATAAGTCAATTTTTCAAACAATAAGCCCAAATAAAACAGCATAAAGCCAATTAAATTTGTTTTTCAAAATTTTTTAAACAATCTATAACATTTTAATCTTGACCATAAGATACAACTTTCATAAGCCTTTTATAACCTTTATAACCTTTATTAAGGGGTCAGTTAACACTTCAAGAAAACCTTGTTAATCTGACACAGGGGCCCATATGCTGGTATTGCATCAGTGTGCCTTTGACATCAATTATTAACTTGTATAGAGACTGAACTTATTTTATCTCTCAAAATCAGCCCTTATAATCTCACATGCCTACCTCTTCTGTGATTGTTCCTGAGTCTTGAAGAGTTGAATAGCTTTGATTTATGGCCTTATGTCTCAGAAATGCAGCTTATTTTGATAGGCATCTTCTACCAGGCCTGAAGATGAGGTTTTAATTGCTGTCAGTGTTTAAGATTTAGCAGATCTTGGTCTCCTTTTTAGATCCAGGAGTTAAAGGCCGGTAACTCAATGTCACAGGTACTTTCAAAGTGCACACAGAAATATACATGGATGTAATAACGTTAATTTTTTAAAAAAATTGTCTCAGTTTCTTTTTCCTAAGCAAACCAAAAATTAATAATAATGGCATAGGAATTGTTTCAATAAGCCATAAAATCTGTTAGGTCAATTACCAAAAGGCAAAAGAAAAGACCTTCTACACTGCACAGAGTATTACTTTGGAAGAAAACATTTCCTTTAGACTTTTAGAAAACATTGTTAGCATCAGGCCACAACAAACAGAACTTAAGGAAAATAACTTATATGAGCTGAAAACAAGTTGAAGGGGAGAGAAAACAGCAAGTAAATAGTTGAACTTTGGGTTAAAAAATTAAAATCTCTTATAATTTATTAAGAGTAAATCAATCCCTTAAGAAAATTTCATCGCTGTAACTAATTATTTAGTCTATAAGTGTTTTTTTTAGCATGAAGCCCAATCTTCAGGAAGACCATTATAATTTCCCTTTAATTATAGACAACTCAATCATATAAAAGTTTTTTGGTATTTTTTTAAAATAAATCCTCTTATGACTTATAGAGACTGTTCATGATATGCTTGGACTATCTAGTTTGTTTTGAACATCCATCTTTCTTAAACAATCAGTCATTTTATTTTAGGTCTAAATTTACCATACAAGATTCTTTCTCATATGAAATTATTTCTCTTTAAGCTTTCTTACCAGCACAGGCTGAACAGACTTTGAGAGGAAAATAGTTTATAGTTTACCTTTGAAACAAAGATTATAATATTTCATTCCCAAAGTAAATATTACTGCCTGTGGACTAGACCACTAAAAGCCACAAGATTAGAAGTTATGGTAATCTGACTAAATTCAAGATGTGGCTATTTTTATTAAACCAGTATCAATGTCTTATTTATTAAAGATTACACAAGCAAAGATCATTCTATCACAGTTTTGTAACCCCATGCCAAATTTTGACACCTTATAGTATTTGACAGGGATAAACATGAAATTGCTTGATTAATAAATGCAAACAAAATGCATGCTGGCAATTCTTAAGACATGTCTAATATTACTTTACCAATCATTTTAAAAGTAGCTTATTTATTAAAGATTTTACTTAAGTTACATAAACTTGAGAAAGCATTCAACTAGTCTTTTCTTTTTTCCTAATAAGTATTTGATTTAAGTGCTTTTTTTCTTAAGCCAATTAATTAGAGCCCTTTTATATATTTTCAGTAGTGAGACATTGTGTACACAACACATAAATACATAGACCTAGTAGGCATGTTGATAGAAGTACATCTTATAGATTCATAAGAAGATTTTTCCACTATCTTAGACTTTCAAATTCTCAATAACCTGTTTTAATCCCCTAGGAAGTTGTCAGCTAAATGGCTTTAAGTTTGCATATTAAAGGAAACAACTCAGGCAAAAATCAAAGAGCAAAATTTATGTCTTAAGGTACAGAGAGAAAAAGTCTGGTGGTGCTAGAGGGAAATTAAAATGGACTTCATTGCCAAATAAACATAAAATTATAAAAATTATAAAGGCCTTTTAAATACACACACACACACACACACACACACACACACACACACATCCTATAGCTTTTACTTCAGAACTTTAGCCATGAGACAAATACAAATTCACCAGCTTGCAAGCAAAAAAACTGTTGTATCCAAACAGTGGTTTTGATCTTAATAGAAAAATAACAGCAGATTTAAAGCAGGCAGAAAAGAAAATAGAGAAAAAAGAGAACTTAGGAACTCTGTAGTTTGTAGGTCCACCTTAAGGCTCTTCTTTTCTTTCTTTCTTTCTTTCTTTCTTTCTTTCTTTCTTTCTTTCTTTCTTTCTTTCTTGCTTGCTTGCTTTCTTTCTTTCTCTTTCTTGCTTTCTTGCTTTCTTTCCTTCTTTTCTTTCTCTTCTAAAAAAAAATGAAATATACATGCAGGAGAACGTGCAGGTTTGTTACATAGGTATATGTGTGCCTTGGTGGTTTGCTGCACCTATTGACCCATCCTCTAAGTTCCCTCCTCTCATTCCCCACCCCCCAACAGCCCCTGATATGTGTTGCTCTCCTCTCTGTGTCCATGTGTTCTCAAAGTTCAACTCCCATATGTGAGTGAGAACATGTTGTATTTGGTATTCTGTTTCTGTGTTAGTTTGCTGAGGATGATGGTTTCCAGCTTCATCCATGTCCCTACAAAGGACATGAACTCACTCCGTTTTATGGCTGCATCGTATTCCATGGTGTATATGTACCACATTTTCTTTATCAAGTCTATAATTGATGGGCGTTTGGGTTAGTTCCATGTCTTTGCTCTTGTAAATAGTGCTGCAATAAACATACATGTGCCTGTGTCTTTACAGTAGAATGATTTGTATTCCTTTGGGTATATAACAAGTAATGGGATTGCTGGATCAAATGGTATTTCTGATTTTAGATCCTTGAGGAATCACCATACTGTCTTCCACAATGGTTGAACTAATTTACATGGGCCCTTTCTTTCTTAATGTAAATATGCACAAAGACCATATTACTTCCATTTTACTTAAACTCTGGCAAGTACAGGTGCCATAAAACCTATGGAGTGCTTGAAAGGGAATCATTCTCTTTGCTTTCTCCTCATTCTTAGATTATTTGTTTCCCAGTTTTCTTCTTAAAAAGAGGAACTGAGCTGAGGCCTAGAGGTTTTCTGTGGTGGATCAATATGTGCCATTTGTGGGCAGGACTCCACAGTGGGTCACCACTGAAAACAACAGTTCAGTTCCTCATGCAAATGCACACAGACAAGCCGAATCGAGCTTAATTTGTGGAGAAAAAGCAACAGAGAGGACCCTTTAGAATGCATCTCTGAACTAGAATTAGGATTTTTAAACAACAACTTCCTGGAAGGAAAACGAAACAACAGCCAAGACCACTTTTTGTAAACTGTGCTCAGACACCCCTTAACTCTGTAGCTGTCATCTACCATTATACCCAGCAAGGTCAAAGCCAAAGAGGTCAGGTCATGCAATACAGGAAAATAGAGGTTTAGAGTTAAGAAGTATCTACCCATGACTCTTGAAACTCCACAAAGAAAACAAAACACCCCAAAAGGGGTGAGTGGCGACCTTTGTTCTGATTCTTTAAGGGAGTTCAAGTCATTAGAAGCCTTCTCTAGATTTTTTGGTACTGCAAATGGCAAAGGGGGAGGAGGTATATGGTGGAAGAAAAGTAAATGAAAGAAAATTTGTTTTCTAAGGCAGGAAGCAAACACAGAAACCAAGTGCATGGGTTTTTGGTTCTTTTTGTTTGTTTTCTTCTTTTGCAGCTGTAATGAATTTTAGCCAAATTAAAGAGGCTTTGTTACCCATAATTTTGAATTCTCACTTGGATTTGACCAAGTCAGGTAGAGTTGGTCAAGTCTGATGGGAGAAAGACCAAAACAAACAACAAAATGTCCAACAATACGATTACCAAGCATTCTAATGATAAGGAGAAATTAAGACCAGCTGGTTGTTAAACTTTAGCCAAGACAAAGCCCCAGTTCAGCTACTTACGTAGGGATGGGTCTCAGGCTGAAGGCTGCTTTCTACCATCCTAGAAGCAGGAAAAAAACTCAAACTGGTGTTCCCTGCTGGGAGTGAGCTCAAACTCTACATGCGTTTCATCATCATGGAAGCAGGAAATCTTGCCTTCCTTGTAAAGGAAGTAAAATAAATCTTGCCTTCCTTGTAAAGGAAGGCAAGTAAGCCAGTAAAACTCAACTCCAAAAAAAAAAAAAAAAAATAGATGGGGAAGTTGTACAGCAAAATACACTTTAGATCTTCACCAAATTTTGGGAGATCATGGATTCTTTGGGGAGGGTGCTTCCAGAACTCAGTAAATTGTCCTCTTGGTTTGAGCCATAAGGTTGGCTCATGCTATTACCAGGTACCAACTGGATATTTGTCAAAGGTCAGGTGCATCTCCACTCAGAATCCCTTCAGAATTACAAAAATGTGAACCCTGAATATCTGAGACAGGCTTCAGTTAATTTAGAAAGTTTATTTTGCCAAGGTTGAGGATGCTTCAGTGACACAGCTTCAGGCTGCTCCAGTGACACAGCTTCAGGAAGTCCTGACAACATGTGTGTAAGGTGGTCAGATAACACTTTTGTTTTATACATTTTAGAGAGATATGAGACATCAATCAACATATGTAAGATAAACACAGATTTGGTTCAGAAAAGGCAGGAGAACTCGAAGCAAAGGCGGGACAACTCAAAGCTGGGAGGGGGCTTCCAGATCATAGGTATATAAGAGACAAATGGTTGCATTCTTTTGAGTTTCTGATTAGTCTTTCCCAAGGAGTCAATCAGATATGCATTTATCTCAGTGAGCAGAGGGGTGACTTTGAATAGAATGAGAGGCAGATTTTCCCTAAGCAGTTCTGAGTTTGCCTTTTCCCTTTAGCTTAGTGATTTGGGGGCCCCAATATTTATTTTACTTTCACAGCCTTCTAACCTTATTTATCCTGCCTCATGTTTAAGAAGGCATCATAACTCTATGATTAAGATCTGGGCAACAATTTTCTTAAGGCATCTGAAAAAATGTGAAGCTTATCAATGATATCTGAACAAATCATCTTAAACTTGATTGGCTCAATAGCTTAGGGCACTTCAGAGCTGATAATTGTCAAGTAAAAGTAAAAACATCAAGAGCAGGTGCTCCTACTAGAATGCCAAGTTATAATCACTTACCATATTCTTTCAGATTCAAATGAAGGCACTACTCTTGAAGATTCTAATTAGGATATGCACCCCAGCTGCGACCTACTCAAGGCTATGAACTAATTTCAAAAAAAAATTCTTTTTTTTCTCAATTTATTTATTTATTTATTTATTTTTATTATACTTTAAGTTTTAGGGTACATGTGCACAACATGCAGGTTAGTTACATATATACATGTGCCATGTTGGTGTGCTGCACCCATCAACTTGTCATTTAACATTAGGTATATCTCCTAATGGTATCCTTCCCCCCTCCCCCCACCCCCACAACAGGCCCCTGTGTGTGATGTTTCCCTTCCTGTGTCCATGTGTTCTCATTGTTCAATTCCCACCTATGAGTGAGAACATGCAGTGTTTGGTTTTTTGTCCTTGCGATAGTTTGCTGAGAATGATGGTTTCCAGCTTCATCCATGTCCCTACAAGGGACATGAACTCATCATTTTATATGGCTGCATAGTATTCCATGGTGTATATGTGCCACATTTTCTTAATCCAGTCTATGTTGGACATTTGGCTTGGTTCCAAGTCTTTGCTATTGTGAATAATGCCACAATAAACATACATGTGCATGTGTCTTTACAGCAGCATGTTTTATAATCCTTTGGGTATATACCCAGTAATGGATTGCTGGGTCAAATGGTATTTCTAGTTCAAGATCCCTGAGGAATCGCCACACTGTCTTCCACAATGGTTGAACTAGTTTACAGTCCCACCAACAGTGTAAAAGTGTTCCTATTTCTCCACATCCTCTCCAGCACCTGTTGTTTCCTGACTTTTTAATGATCGCCATTCTAACTAGTGTGAGATGGTATCTCATTGTGGTTTTGATTTGCATTTCTCTGATGGCCAGTGATGATGAGCATTTTTTTATATGTCTTTTGGCTGCATAAATGTCTTCTTTTGAGAAGTGTCTGTTCATATCCTTTGCCCACTTTTTGATGGGGCTGTTTGTTTTTTGGTCTTTGACAAACCTGACAAAAACAAGAAATGGGGAAAGGATCCCCTATTTAATAAATGGTGCTGTGAAAACTGGCTAGTCATATGTAGAAAGCTGAAACTGGATCCCTTCCTTACACTTTATACAAAAATTAATTCAGGATGGATTAAAGACTTACATATTAGACCTAAAACCATAAAAACCCTAGAAGAAAACCTAGGCAATACCATTCAGGACATAGGCATGGGCATGGACTTCATGTCTAAAACACCAAAAGCAATGGCAACAAAAGCCAAAATTGACAAATGGGATCTAATTAAACTAAAGAGCTTCTGCACAGCAAAAGAAACTACCTTCAGGGTGAACAGGCAACCTACAGAATGGGAGAAAATTTTTGCAATCTACTCATCTGACAAAGGGCTAATATCGAGAATCTACAATGAACTCAAACAAATCTACAAGAAAATAATTCTTAAAAAGAAAAGTGAGCCTTGAAATTTTCAGCCTTTCTGGGTTTATATATAGTAAAATGTTAAGTGTGGAGATGTTTAAATTATAACGTAAACCCATAGAGACCACTGTCAGAAATATACCATGCTATCCAGATAAAATACAGCTCAACATGCTTTTTTTTTCTCAGCAGAACTCACTGGGAAATAAAGCCCGCTTTTTGGTTATAAATTCCAAAATGTTGTTTATTGAGTGAAATGACTCGAGTACATTAAATTCTTTATAGAAGATTTCCCTTATTTCATTGGTGTCTACTTTTCTGAAATTTGGTTTTATGTTTTTTGTCAAAATAGGGACAATAGTATTGTGAGATATAATGTGTTCATGATAAAATGTGTTTCAAGAGCTAAGGCATGAATTAAATGTCTTAATTTAGAATATTAAGACACATGTGCACATACACACACATATACACACAGCACTTTTATTCCAATACCTTAAATTATCTATATTTGATATAGAATGTATCTTCAAAATGATTTCAAGACGGGTTGCTCCTCCTGTGTCTTTGTGTAAAATATAATTGCCAGGGAATCAGTAAAATAATTATGAAAGCAATAGAGAATGATACCAATGAATTCTTAAGTGCAGAAAAGTTTATTAGAAAGCAGAGATACAACAAAGCATAAGAAATTCACCCTAGGAGAAACACAGAATACAATTGGGTGGCTGGATCTGAGGGTGCAACATCAGTGACAAAACTGGTCCTGCAGATAATATCTACCTCACTGAGAAGGAGAATCTGTACCTTAAAGTGATAAAGAAAATAAGGAAATCAGAAGATTGGAATAATTTCTTAGCTAGTGTATTACAAATTAATTCACATTTGGTGCCACCACCAGAAGAAAAAGAAAGCAAAGGAGGGAGTTTAAAATGAACCAGAATGTTCTCACAGAGTCAGTGAAATGGTGGTGGGCTCTTTGGAAGCATAAGGTCCATCCTATTGAATGACATCAACCCCACTTCATGTATCCTAATGGTCAGCACAGTAGAAGGGTCTACATCTGTGGGCCAGTGGTGAAGGGGGACGTGAGCCAGGGCAGTGGGCTCAGCAGCAAGAGGAGGCACAGCACAAGGGGCGGGGACAGGTGGAGATGACACAGGTTGGGCGATAGCAAGTGGTGTGGCAGGAGACTCGGCCACAGACTGGACGCAGGCAGCAGCAGGGGCGGCAGCAGCTGGGGCGGCAGCAGGTGGGCTGGCAGCACACAGACTGGCAGCACTGGGGCTTGCAGCAGCTGGACATACAGCAGCTGGGGCGGCAGCAGCTGGAGATGCAGCACCTAGGGTGGCAGCAGGTCGTCTCACAGCAGGTGGGGCGACAGCAGGTGGGTTGGCAGCACACAGACTGGCAGCACTGGGGCCTGCAGCAGCTGGACACACAACAGCTGGGGCGGTAGCAGGTGGTCCTGCAACAGGTGGTCTGACAGCAGCTGGGGCGGCAGCAGGTCTCCTGACAGAGGTCTTGGCTGCAGCCCTGGTCAGAGCACACGGAGCCACAACAGGAGCTGACCATGGTGTCAGAACGGGGAGGATCTGGGTGGGTTTCCAAGAGAGTGAAGTTCTTGGGTTTGGAAGTCTTCTGGGTCCATAGCCTCCTTTATACCCTGCTGAAGGCCCATTGCCACCACGTCATTATTTCCTTATTATTTACCTCGTGGAAAACTTAATCATGTAATTACATAATTGTGTGTTTCTACTTAAATACTCCAAAAGAGAGAAAATAACCCATTTCCTTTTCCTGCTGTGCTCCTGTGTTTCTATTGGAAACACTTGTCATATTTCTTCCTTAGTGGGGGTCACCTTTGTCCCTGGTCTCTGCAGTGTCTTTTACAAAGCACTGGTCACATGACTCTGACACTTTATTTCTAAATGTGATTCTCCCTCCTACCTGTAGATTGCTCTCTGCAAATCATGGGGGACAACTTTTATAATGTTAATGTGTCTTTTGTTGTCAAATAATGTCCTGGTCAGATGAAATGTTGGAAAGGAATTAGAAGGAAGGACTCATTCGGGAGAAGGATGTCCCATCTATAATGAAGATGACTCTGATTCCGTGTATGCTTCTTGAATGGTTGGGGAGATGGTCAGATCTTAAGGAAGTTATAAACTCTGTGTCAGATCTCATTCCACCACTCCAAGTGAAAGTACTTAGCCATGACTCATTGCCTTTAATGAGTAAAAACACATTTTTCTGTATGTCTTACAGTATAGGCATTTGGAGTAGGAAGTTTTGATTTACCTTTGATCATCAAAACTGCATGATGGATTATTCATTGACAAAAGCATTTGTTATATGTAAACAATATTTAGAATTATTAAGCCTTCAATAATATGCATCCAAGACATTCTATTGGGTACTCTGGGTATAGAACAGATAAACCCTCCTCTTTTTCCTGCAGGTACTTGTATAAGACACATGCATAAGAAACAGAATTTGGCAAAAATGAAAAGAATTACAATTATGTTCATTAAACAACTAAAATAAAAATGTATAGTATGTGGATAAGTTCCATACATCCTCAGGGTATGTATATTACTTGTGAAGTATTGACTATGTACCAGACATTGTGCTAAATATCTTTTTCATTTTCACTCTTTATTACAACCTTATAAAGTAGTGTACATTCTTATTGCTCTTTTAGCAGAATACTCAAAAGAAGCATTAAAAAGCTAAAACAAACAAACAAAATGCTTGTCCAAGATTAAAGAGAAAGTAAGCCTAATATGTCTTAGTGTAGCCAAGAAAGTGGTAAAGAACAAAATTTGCTAAGCTTGCTGAAACTGCTTCATCTTCTTGGAATGTGTCGTCTTTTTTTGTCCACTCTGCAAACTCCTACTCATTTGTCAAAACCCAGTTAAATATTTCCTCCTCAGTAATATCTTTCCTGATAAACTACCCCATTCATTTATCATTATTTCCTGCCTTGTGCTCATAATGTGATACATTCTACTGTATCATAGACGTTTACTTCTTTCATTCCCCCATATGCAATGCAAATAGCCTGAAGGCATGGGCTATGACGTTTCTTTTTGTTACCATGATACTCAGCACAGAGAACACCGGAAATAAATGTTTGTTGAATGAATGAAGGCTTTTTGATGACATAGAAGCATGTAAGGTCCTTTAAAAATGTATATATCGTTTGACTTCTGGATAAAAGAGAGGAAAACATTCCAAACAAGGAGATCAGAGTTTCATTTCAGGAAAACTACAATTATTTATGTGGTAAGCAACATGTCCCCTGATAAATAGCATATGTGGAACCTTGTGGAATTAGGATTCCGTTTATAGAATGAGACTTGGTTATAGATAACCAGGAATACCATGTTATCCCATTGTGGAAGGGAGAGAGGGTGAGACAGAGAAAGAAGGAGTCAAACTCATCCTTTTATAAGGAACCCACTCTTGTGATAACAACATTAATCCACTCATGAGGGTGGTGTCACCATGACCCAAACATCTCCTGTTAGGCCCCACCTCCCAACACTGCTGCATTGAGGATCAAGTTTCCAACACATGAACTTTGAGGGACACATTCAAACCATTGCATTCCACCCTTGGCCCCCCACATCCATGTCCTTCTCATACGCAAAATATATTCCTTTTATCCCAATAGTCCCAAAGTCATGTTCCATCACCAACTTAAAAGTCAAAATGTAAATCTAAGAGTCTCATGTGACTCTGATATGAATAAGACTCAACACAGGACTTATCCTGAGGCAAATTCTCCTCCATATGTGAACCTATTAAAGAAGTTATCTAGTTCCAAAATCCAATGGTGGGAGAGGCATAGGATAGACAGGCCCATTCCAAAAGGGAGCAACAGGAAAGAAAAAGGGTAACTGGCCCCAGGTGAGTCCAACAGGGAAGACAGCATTAAATCTTAAGACTGGAGAATAAACTTCGACTCCATGTGCTGTCTCCTGGATGTGCCCGACATGGGGAAGGGCTGCCTGGGGCCTTGGTGTTAGGCCCCAAATGCCCTCAGATAGCCCTGCCCCATGGCTTTGCTGGGCTCAGCCCATACAGCAGCTATCTGATTGGAGTCTCTGCTGCAGCTCTCTCAGGCTAGTATTGCAGGCTGATAGTTCTACAGTTCTAGGGTCTCAGTGGCTGCTCTGACCCCCCGTTTTCCTGAGCATGGCCCTAGGAGGACCTCTCTGCTGTGGCTACACCCCTAAGGCAGGCTGTCAGAAACATCCTTTCAAACCTAGGTGGACAACCATTGCCCCACAACTCCTGCAGTCTGTGTATCTACAGTCAGTACTACATCAACACCACCAAGGCTCACAGTTTGTACCCTCTGCAGCAGCAGCACAAGTCTCATCTAAGCCCACTTGAGCCACAACTGGAGCAGCAAAGGGGCACTGTGCTAGAATGTGGAGAGTACCAAGCCCTTTCTGACCTCAAGTTTCTCTCATTTGGAGCCTGTGATGGGAGGGATAGCTTCAACAATCTCTGAAATGCCTTCAGAGCCATTCTCCCATTGATCTGATGAACAGCACCTAGCTTCCTTCTATTCTTATCAATCCTTGTATCAAAGCATCACTTGGCCACACCCTTGCATGCTTTTTCATTCTTTTTTTTAAATTTTATTATTATTATACTTTAAGTTTTAGGGTACATGTGCACAACGTGCAGGTTTGTTACATATGTATACATGTGCCATGTTGGTGTGCTGCACCCATTAACTTGTCATTTACATTAGGTATATCTCCTAATGCTAGCCCTCCCCCCTCCCCCCACCCCACAACAGTCCCTGGTGTGTGATGTTCCCCTTCCTGTGACCATGTGTTCTCATTGTTGGTCAGGTTGCACATTTTCTACATCTATATTCTGTGTTTCCCTTTTAATTGCGAATTCCACCTTTAAATCGTTTCTTTCCTCTTGCATTTTACTATACGCAGTTCAAAGACACCAATCAGCTCCTTCAACATTTTTCTTGGAAATTTCTTCCCCCGATATACTTGTTCTTCTTTCTTTAACTCTGCCTTCCATAAAGCCTTTAGACATGAACATAATTCAATCAAGTCCTTTGCCACTTTGTAACAAGGATGGCCTTTACTCCAGTTTCCAATTCTTGTTCCTCATTTCCATCTGAGATCTCATCAGAATAGCCTCTATTGTCCATATTTCTCTCAGCATTCTGGCCACGACCACCTAAATAACCTATAAGAAGATTCATACTTTCCCTACAGCTATTATTTTCTTCTGAGCCCTGACCAGAATCACCCTTAATGCTCTCTTCATAGCATTACAGTATTCCTTCCCTATCTGTGGATTTACTTTCCACGGTTTCAGTTACTTATGGTCAACCACGGTTCTAATGTATTAATGGAAGATCCCAGAAATAAACAATTTGTAAGTTTTAAATTGCATGCCATTCTGAGTTGTATGATGAAATATCACCAATCCTGCTCTGTCTTGCCTGGGACAAATGTCCTCCCTGTGTCCATACTGTATACATGACCACCCTTTAATCCCCGAGTAATTATCTCAGTTACCAGACTGACTGTTGCAGTACTGTAGGATATGCAGTGCTTGCTTTCAAATAACCCTCATTTTACTTAATGATGGCCCCAAAGTGCAGGCTACACTAATTTGGTTGACTTGGACTTTAGAAAATAATGTCACTTAATGCTATTCCACCATAAAATCATAATAAAATCATGTATTTTGCAGCAACATGGATGGAACTGGAGATCATTATCTTAAATGAAACAAATCAGACACAGAAAGACAAATATCGCATATTCTCACACATGGGGGCTACATAATGTGTGCGCATGGACATAGAGAGTAGAATGATAGACCATGGACACTCAGAAAGCTTAGAGAGTGAGAGTGGGGTTGACAATGAGAAATTACTTAATGGGTACAGTTTATGTTACTCATGTGATGATGGCCTAAAAGCTCTGACTTGCTAATTATGCAATCTATGCATGTAACAAAGTCACACTTGTACCTCAAAACTTAAAAAATGAAATAAAATAATAATGTCATTTAGTTTCTTCCCAATACATTTAAACATAATTAAGCATCATAGCTAAAGAGTGCTTCTAAGTGATGAGGTTCAAGGCTCAAGTACAGAATAATATGATTCACTTGCAATTAGCACAAAGTACATTCACGCTAGGTTAAATATATCTTCTGTAATTACATTTACCTTCCCAATTTGTCCATGAATTTTGTGGAAGATGCCAATTTTCCCTCGGTACAGGCCAGGGAAAATTAGCCTGCACATGTCCCAAATTAATAAGATTTTGTTGTATGATGATCAATTATAGCAAGAAATTTAGGAAGCGTAGGAGATATTCAGGACATTGTCCTAATTCTTTTCTATGATGTAACCTGATCATCAGAATTTCAGGTAATATGTTAGTCAAGTAATGAATTATTGCCCCAACACACAATACTCCTAGGAATACATAATGCCAATAGAATAGAATAGAGCAAAAGTGAATCACTAATGCCACAGTCTTCAATGTTCAGAATATTCACAGGGTCATGTAGGGATTGGCTTAGGGCCTTGAAGAGCCCTGTGTGACTCACAGGTGGGATCACAATAGCAGGTCCATGTGCGCAGATGAGCTTTATATTGGTCAGAAATGTTCTTTTGGAAGGTCTTTGTTGGGTTTGATATAATCGGAAATTAGGAGTCCTATACAGCTATAGATCATCATTCACTTATCTATTCAACAATGGTGAGAACTCTCTCATTCTGTTCTACAGACTATGCAGGAACCTCCATTCTACTTGTTCTTTAAGACTTAGGTGCTATTACCTCCACAAGCAAACCTTTCCTGATGCTCTCTGCCCAAGCCACCTCTCCCTTAAGTTGCCCTCTTCTAAGATCCTGGCAGCATGTTTCTCATGTGTTTCATATTGTTGAATTTATTGTTAGCTTTTTGAAAGCTCTTTGGAGATATAATTGACAAGTAAAAATTGCATATATTCAAGGTGTACAAAATAATGTTTTGATATACATATACATTGTGAAATAGATGACCACAATCAAACTAATTAACATATCAATCACCTCACATAGTTATTCTTTTTGTGGTGAAAATACTTATGTTCTAGCAAATTTCAAGTGTACAATACAGTATTGTTAACTATAGTCACATTGCCATACATTCAATTTCCAGAACTTACTGATTTTGGATAGCTGAAACTTTATACTCTTTGACCAACGTCTACCCGTTTCTTCCTCATTCCACCCCATGCAACCACCATATAAGTCAGATCATGCAGTATCGGTCTTTGTGTGTCTAGCTTATTTCACTTAGCTTAATGTCCTCTGGGTTCATCCATGTTGTTATAAATGACAGGATTTTCTTCCTTTTAAAGGCTGAATTGCATTTTGAATAATGACATTTATATACATTTTCTTTATCCACTCATCTGTGGATGGGCATATAGATATTTCTGTATCTTAGTAGCTGTGAATAATGCTGCAATGTACATACAAGTGCAGATATCTTCAAGATAGTGATTTTATTTACTTTGGATATGTATCCAGAAGTGGAATTGCTGGTTCACAGGTGAGTTCTATTTTTAATTTTTTGAGGAGCCTCCATACTGTTTTCCATAATGGCTGCATCAAGTTACATTCCCACCAACAATGTATAAGAGTTCCCTTTACACCACATCCTTGCCAACACTTATCTTTTGACTTTTTGATAACAGCCATCCTAACAGGCATGAGGTAATATCTTATTGTGGTTTTCATTATCACTTCCCTGATGATTAGTGACGTTGAGCACCTTTTCAAAGACTACATTTGACAGTAATTTAGAATTCTCAGGTCAATTGGGAAGTTGGAACACAAAGGGAGAGGAAGAATGGTGGCTGTTGGATAGAGAGGGATGTAAGAGCTAAATTCTCATCACACATAACAGTGGGCCAATAGATAATATCTAAACTTTAAAAGTCAAGAAATAGTACTGTAACCACACCATTTAGAAAGATCTTTTTTCCTAGAGTTCTCCCTCCAAAATCTTCATCTTACTGTTCTCCTCTGCACTGATTGCTTTCTAGGCTTGCTGTACGGTTGCCATTTTTGGATTTATCTTGAATGCAATTCTGATTTTCCGACTTGAAATTCCTGTTTTCTGAATCTGTGTTCTCCTCTTTGTCAACTTCTTCTTCATGTTGGTGGTGCACATCCTCCAGACGTTACTTTAGAAAGGGTTCACGGACAATAAGGATTTTTTTGGGCTTTTCATATCTGAAAATGTTACTATTCCTTTGTTTCTGTTTGGTAGTTTGGCCAGGCATGGAATTCTAGGCTAAAAAACATCCCACTGAGAAATTTTAAGGCATTTCCCATTGTCTTCTGGCTTCCGGTGTTGATGTTGAAAAGTGTGATGCCATTTCGCCTCCTGAACCTTGGTATGGGAACCACATATTATTTTCCTCATTGGACGCTTTCAGTACCATTTTCATATCCCTAATATTCTGAGATTTCACAGTGATGTATCTTGATGTAAGCCTTACATTCACTGTTCTCAGCGCTGGTGGTCTTTTAATCTGGAGCTCCCTTCTGAAAGAAATTTTCTTATACTATTTCTTTGATAGTTTTCTCCCTTGTATTTCCTTCCTTCCTTCTTCTTTCCTTCCCTCCCTCCCTTCCTCTTTCTCTATTTCCCTTTCTTCCTGTCTTCCTTCCTTTCTTTTTCTTCCTTGTCTTTCTTTCTTTTCCTTCCTTCCTCTTTCTCTTTCTTTCTCTCCTTTCCTTCCTCCCTCTCTTCTTTCCTTCCTTCCTCCCTCCTTCCTTCCCTTCTTCCTTCCTTCCCTTCTTCCTTCCTTCCCTTCTTCCTTCCTTCTCTTCCTTCCTTCCCTTCTTCCTTCCTTCCCTTCTTCCTTTCTTCCTTTCTTTCTTTCTTTCTTTCTTTTTCTTTCTTTCTTTCTTTTCTTTCTCTTTCTCTCTCTCTCTTTCTCTCTCTCTTTCTTTCTTTCTCCCTTCCCTTCCTGTCTTCTTTTTTCCTTTTGAGACAAGACTTCTTTATGTTGCCCAGGCTGGCTTCAAATCCCTGGGCCCAAGGGACCCTCTCACCTCAGCCTCCCAAGTAACTGGGACTATAGGCACAGGCAACCATTACACCTGACTCCTTATGTTTTCTCATTTGTCTTTCTAAAATTTTTCTTCATTGAGTGGTAGATCTCCTGAATTGATCCTCTGTGTTATTATAGTTTCTTTAATGTCCATTTCTTTCACTTCTTTTTATAAATTTTTTTACATATCTTCAAGACAGGAGAACAAATTATTTGACTCCTTGTTCTACTTTACCTTCCAAACATTTTACTGAACGTTTTTCTAATTTTTTCTATCACATTTTAATTCTCAAGCTTTCACTCAACTTCTCTGACTGCTCCTGTTTCTTAGAATCTTGTTTTTATTTCAAACAGAATTTCTTCTCTTAGCTCTCTTGAGTATTTTATTTACAATAGTTCTTGTTTTACAATTTTTTAGTTCTATTCTGCTCCCTGTAGTTTCTATTCCTGTCAAATTTGTTTTTCCCCCTTTTTCTTTTTTTCTTTTTAAATTAGTGTGAATTGTCAGGCTGGAGACATTTCCCAAGTGTCTGAAGCATATTGGTTAACATGGCACTAAAAAGCCAATTGAAAGTTCTGTGTGGACAGCAGGGCTTGTTAATTGATCTCTTCACCTCTCCTCCCCTTCATCCACAAAAAAGAAGTCAAGATTTATATGTTTAGTTTCTTTAGAGGAGAATCTTCCAATATCCTGCTTGGAAAGCTTATGGCCATCAGTCCTGGATGCTGAGCACAGTACTCAGATTTTCACTGCATGAGTCTGTTTTCTGTTCTATTCTTGACTTTTGTTCACTTTAGTATTCCCAAATCTGGAGTCTCTGTCACTAAATTTTCTGGAAGATAACCCTTGTTTCTCCTGGTTGGAAGTGGGGGAGGCCTAATGACCAACTTTGTAGGGTGGGGTAGGGATCCAGGGGTCGAAGCATCCTGCTGCCTACCCTGCCTTCAGGGGTATTACCTGGTGACTCCGGGTTCTGAGCCTTTCTGAGGATTCAAGGAAAACCAACTTTACACTCTGTGGTACTCTCTCTGTATGCATTCACATTGTAGCTCCTTTTGTTATCTTTAGTTGACCACCATTGCTCTTGCCCCAAATTTGCTACACTTTCTTATCTGCTATTGTCTCCTGTCCTGAGAAAGTAAGATGAGGGTTTCTGTTTTTTAACACCTTTTAAAAGTTGGTGTATCATAATGGATTCAAAGAGGATAAGAGGACATAAAAGTTAATTTTCTGACATTTTAAGGACCTGCTATTACTAAACTGTTAAAATTAGACTTAGTATCTCATATATACACTCCCCCTTAAGTGTTCCTGAAGTAAACTAGTGCCCATGCTCCAGATGTTGGTGAGATTCTTTCTCTGTGTTTCCAAAGCATGTTAAATAATCCTGAAGGTTAATTTTATTTTCCAATATTTTATTCACGCCTAAACTGCATTGAAGGGCAAAAAAAATTGTGGCATGCCTGTGGTCCCAGCTACTTGGGAGGCTGAGGTGGCAGGATGGCTTGAGTCCAGGAGTTGGAGCTTGCAGTGAGCTGAAATGGTGCCACCACACTCCAGCTTAGGTGACAGAATCAGACCCTGTTATTTTGATCCACACAAGCTATTGGTCATGTGTGAAGGCAATGGAAAGATTTCCTCATAGATTCAAGGACTCGGGATATATAACTTCCCTTTAAAATTCCTTTAAGAAATATTCCCATTGACTGAAATACAAGTCAAAATAAAGAATTCCATTACAGTATAGATGTCATGCATAAAATAATGGTTCTGAGAGATGAAGCTGATAAAATTTAAAAAGATTCAAATATATTCTAAAAGTGGTAGGGGATAAAAATAGCAAAGAATACACAAGTGGTAGGCAAATTAAAAAATGGGGTAACAATACCTATATTTTCTGGTAATAAAGTGGGTGTGGTGGCTTGCACCTGTAATCCCAGCACTTTGGGAGACCGAGGTGGGTGGATTGCTTGAGCTCAGGAGTTCAAGACCAACCTGGGCAACATAGTGAGACCCTGTCTCCACAAAAAATACAAAAATTAGCTAGACATGGTGGTGCATGCCTGCGGTCCTAGCTACTTGGGAGGCTGAAGTAGCTAGGGGAGGTTGGCTTGAGCCGTGGAGTTGAATTTTGCAGTGAGCTGACATGGTGCCACTGCACACCAACTTAGGTGACAGAGCCAGATCCTGTCTTTTAAAAAAAGGAAAAAATTCAAAAATGAAGATAACATATTTATAAATGTTTATGTGCCATAGAAGAGATCATAGAAATGAATAAAACAAATACAGTTTTGCAATATGCAGATATGACAGAATAGGCATCATTACTAGTTTGAGGCTCTGATAGATTTCTCAGGCCTAGGTACTTAAGCAATACTGAAACGAGAAACAGCTTGTATAGACCATTTATGGTCCTGGAATAAATTGAAGAGGGATGCCTGAGCCCAAAGATACGATTCTCACGTCGCATTACCATATCAATTTCTGAATATGTTGTTTTGAGTTTTGTGCTTACTTTACTTTTTTATTTTCCTCTTCAGCTAAAAGTTTTGCCTAGAGCTCTTGAGCCTACTGATATCATTTTGATTGATATCATTTTGAAATGGAAGGAAATGGCTTGAAAAGACACAGGAAATACAATATGAACTGAACTCCCAATGCAAAAGGGAATCTCAAAGTTATAAAGGAAACACAGGTAGCTGGGTGACTTGATCCAGGTCATGTGGAGTGAGCCCTAACCTTTGCATGTCTCATAGGTAGACCTGCATGCAAACTCTGCAATTGGAGCTTTAATGGAGCATGAGTGGATGAATATCATTAATGGGTCAGTGAAGCATCTCAAAAATAGAACTCAACTGCAATTCCAATTTGGTTTCCATCACTTTCTTTCCCATAATGACGTGTTTCATCACTCATGCTCGCTGATTTTCCCACTGACTCTATGGCTTCAGCCTAAAATTATGCCTCTTATTTTTCCATAGAACTCACCATGAATTAATCTTGACATATCCCTCCTCCTTAAAAGGACTATAATTTTTTAAATGTCTTTTTAATAAGACTACCCTTCATAAAGATATAAATATTCGGCTGTGATCTGATTCTCCTTCACATAATCTTACGTGTTTGAGACCTGTGCATGTTAACCTGAATTTTCAGAATTGACACATTTTATTTCTATGAATCAATCCTTACGTATGTATTACTTTTCTCCAATAGAATAGAGTCCTTTTTCTCACTAATATTACCAACATACTCTCCCTGACATATGCATTTAAATTAAATTCATGATTAATTGAATTAATTGAGTGGAGAGGGAAAGGAAAGAAAAATAACTTTCAGACCACGTGTGGTGGCTCACGCCTGTAATACCAGCACTTTAGGAGGCCGAGGCAGGTGGATCACCTCAGTTCAGGAGTTCAAGACCAGCCTGATGAACATGAAGAAACCCCGTCTCTACTAAAAATACAAAATTAGCCGGGCATGGTGGTTCATGCCTGTAATCCCAGCTACTTGGGAGGCTGAGGCAAGAGAATCACTTGAACCCGAGAGGCAGAGGTTGCCATGAGCTGAGATCATGCCACTGCACTCCAGCCTGGGAAACAAGAGCGAAACCCCATCTCAAAAAAAAAAAAAAAAAAAAATCCATGATTATGTTGTGAGTTACCTAAGGGAAAAGAAGTGGGTCTCATTCATTTTATGCAATTCCCAGAGCCCAATAGCTTGCTAATTTGTTCTTAATTTAATTACAGTAAAAATTGAGTTCTTGTTTTGTCTCAATAAACTTGATGGCAGGTAAAGTGAGCAATCTGTTTTGGATTAAAAAATGAATTATTTGGCATTTTCTCTAATACAGGCTTTGGCTGATACATATAATATCAATTTTTTTGTTATTGCCCATACAATAGGAACTCAAACCATTTTACAAATAAATAATCAACAGTAAGAAATACTGAAAGGTCACAAATGTTTTTGATACCAAGAGAGTGTTTATTGAGATATAGTTACTCTACCAGACGTAATTCATTGCAAAGTCCAGACCACACTCGGCAATTGTAAGCTTAGAAGCCTGTTCCAATGAAATAGTGTGAGATATCTGGTCATCTGACTGCACACCAAGCATAGAAGTTGGAGGTTTTGTACGATATGCATTTAAATTTTTGCTTTTAAAATAGTTGCTTGGTGGAATGAACAATGAGCTATATAAATGTAGTGGTGGATCAGGGCAAGGCCAGGTCCAGTGGAGAAGGGGAATGAGAATGACTGGTACACTGACAACAAGGTGGTTGAACCAGGGCTGGTGGTCAGGAATGAAGTTCAACAGCAAGAGGATTCATAGGAGACTGGACCACAGCAGGTGGTCTGGTAGCAGACTGGACAGCAGCAGCTGGACACACAGCAGCCAGGGTGGCAGCAGCTAGAAGTGCAGCAGAAGGGTGGCAGCAGGAGGGCTGGTAGTACTGGGGATTATAACAGCTGGGCCTGGAGCAGGTGGACACACTGCAGCTTGAGTGGCAGCAGCTAGAAATGCAGCAGCTGGGGCAGCACAGGGACTGGCAGCACTGGGGCCTGCAACAGCTGGACACAGAGCAGCTGGGATGGTAGCAGATGGTTCTGCAGTAGGTGGTCTGGCAGCAACTGCAGCAGCAGCAGGTCTGGCAGAGGCCTTGGCCACAGCTCTATTCAGAGCAGACAGAGCTACAACAGAAGCTGACCATGGTGTCAGATGAGAATCGCAGATGACGAGCAGAAGGAGGCACTTCTTCCTGTACAGTGTGTCTCCATGTGGTTCAAGGAAGTAGCCACACTCACCAAGCAACAAGATAAATGGTCTTTGACCCACACAAGATTCACCGGAAATACTGATATCCTTTCAAGTCACTAAGTCTTTGGTCTTTCCCGCCTTGTAAAAAAGCTTGGCTCTTTATGCCATACTTCACAGAGCCCTACTCCTGATTCATCTTCTTGAGAATACAAAGTCGCAGTTATATTTGAATTTAGGCCACAGTCTTATGGATGGAATTGCACCCAGCAAGGAGTTGATGAGAAGGTCATGGCCTTGGACTCTTCTTGGCATCTTCCTAGAACATCTCAGGCAGTTTTGTTTTTAATAAATATAGATTTCTAGGCAATGCTCTTGGATATGCTGTGTCACTTGATTATTATCCTGAGTAGCTGGGATTACAGGCACCTGCCACCATGGCCAGCTAATTTTTGTATCTTTAGTAGAGACAGGATTTAACCATGTTGGCCAGGCTGGTGTTGAACTCCTGACCTCAAATGATCAGCCCACCTCGGCCTCCCAAAGTGCTGGGATTACAGGCATGAGCCACCACTCCCATCCCAAAATAGAATTTCTAATGAAATAGACATAATCTAATTTGATCTTCTAGAAGTCTTTTCCAAGCCTCACACAAAGATTATTAAAATAATTGATTCTCTACTTTGGTAGATTAGATTATTCCTTATTAATGTTTACTCTCCCCCCTCCTCCCACCCAACTCCAGAAGTATCCTCTCCCACCCTCTGACTTGGACTTTGCCATGTGAGTTGCTTTGACCAATGAGAAGGCATGACCCGAAGACTCAAAATGTGAGATTGTTCCCTTGGGCCTTTGTTCTCAGAGGAGGATGGCCCCTAAAATACCGGACACTCCATTAAAATGGAATTCCAGACAAACAACAAATAATTTTTAAATGTAAGTATACCCATGCATAATCAGATATAATTGTAATAAAATTATTTGTTGTTTTTCTGAAATTGACATGTAACTGGGGAACCTGTATTTTTATTTGCTAAATATGACAACTCTCATTCAAAAGAAAGTCCCAAACCAACCTGTGGGCAGAAGCTAAGGCCAACCTTAATCAACCAAACCCCAACTAACCTACAAATATATGACCAATAAATAAATACTTGTTACAATAAGCTATGAGAGTTTGTGGTTGCTTGCTATGCAGCAATAGCTGTCTAATTCAACCATGGTAGCAATGTGAAGCCAGCTTAATACACCAATCAATACACAAGGATGAACAGATGGCTTTCTACAAAGAAAATAAAAATAGAACAGTGGCCAAGTATTTGTGACAGGGTTGGTTTTATGGTAAATTTTGATAAATTTTCTGGAGGGGATAGTTAGTTAAATTTTTAGCTTTATCAATATAATGAGGATTAATGGATAGTGCAAAGTGAGCCTATTCAAATTAATTCAAAGGAGAATCTCATTTTCATAAGCCTATTTGTGAAAACACAGCTTTCGATTTAGACATGCTTGGATTTGAATCTAGACTGTTATCTAAGAGCCTACAGTTCAATGCTGTTCTGGTCAGGCTATGGCAGAAGCTCAAGCTGGAAGAGTGCTTCACAAAGGAGCCTCAGGCTCAGCCCGCTGCCCTCCCACAGAGGAATGGCAGGTGCCAGCCCCTTTATACTAGGATGAAGGCCAAGGTCCCAGAATCCCAAGGGCCTTTGCCCCTATCTGATGGCTTCCGCTACGCCTTGACTTGTGCAGACACCTGCATGGGGCTACTGTAGGTGTATCCCAGCAAGTATGTTACCCAGAAAACCACCATAAAAAGACTGGAGTTATATGTGGCCTGTGGCGTCCCCACTGATATCAACAGTGCCCAGGGCTCTCACTTTACCATATACAAAGTGCAGGAATCGGTGGAGGCCCTGGATATCCATTGGCATTTCTACCTGCCATACAACCCTATAGCAGCGGGGCTGATTGAATGGATGAAACAACCATTGAAGAAACAACTCTGGCAGGAGACGCCCTCTCTGGCTCTGTGGACACACTGCTTACCAGCACCCATCTGCGCCCTGAATGAAACTATCCAAATTAGATGTATCACTTTGCAAAATCACATGCCCTGGACGCTTAGTGTGGATCTTCTGCATTAATTAAAACTGAATGTTGTGTATATATATCCCTGATTACTCTCACAATGTAACTCAGGCCGTGCAGGCCCAAGATATCCCTGAATTAACAGGTGTGCTCTCATCTCCCCAGTGCACACACTCTTCTGGCTCAAGGACCTGATACCACCATCACGATCCAGGTTGACAGTGTAAGGGATGGTACCCCCCTCCTTTGCCTCAACCTGGGACTCAACCTGGGGCTATGCCCTTGCCATAGGACCTACCCACTGGAGAGCACATCATTACATGTGCCCGGAAATCACAAACCAGCCCCAGTTGGTACAGTTTTTTCACTCCATGGGGCAAGGGCGTAGAAAATGATATACAGATCACACCTATTTTACATCCTATTCCTCCTTGTACTTCTAAAATAATCAATCCTAGTCCCCACTTGTGCAAGGGAGTGATCATCCTGTCATTATGGGACATTACAATATCCACACTGTCTTACTGTGGCTGCAACGTGTTGCAGAAGTGGGCAATCCATGTGGTATTGCAAACCAGGCACAGGTTGCTGCTGGGGGTGGTGATCTCTCAGAACGACACAACTTCCTGTCTTGTTAGATGGCCTGACTTGCCCTTTCTTCTTTTTTTTTTTTTTTTTGGAGATGGAGTTTTGCTCTTGTTGCCCAGGCTAGAGTGCAGTGGCATGATCTCAGCTCACTGCAATCTCTGCCTCCTGGGTTCAAGAGATTCTCCTGCCTCAGCCTCCCAAGTAGCTGGGATTACAGGCATGCACCACCACGCCTGCCTGATTTTTTTGTATTTTTAGTAGAGACAGGGTTTCACCATGTTGGTCAGCTGGTCTCTAACTCCAGACCTCAGGTGTTCCACACGCCTTGGCCTCCAAAAGTGTTGGGATTACAGACGTGAGCCACTGTGCCCGGCCAACTTGCCCATTCTTCTACCCACTAGGTATCTCACCTGTCACCCATAGGTGGTGTACCTCTTCACCAACTGGGTGCAAATGGCGACCTTTCCCCAAAACAAAACAGACTGTTGCATCTGCAGGGAGCTGCCCTTCTCCTCCAGCATCAGCCTGCCATGGTGCATCCAAGCAGCTAACCTCAGTATCTGGAGCCATTTCTATACTTGGTATAATGACCCTCACCCATTTCCCTTTAGCAATAACCACACTTCATGTGATAAGTTTCCCACCATCAGAGATGAGACAACATATTTTCCACCTAGTATAGGAGCAGGTTAATGTCACCCCCACTGTGGGGTATTCTGTAGATGATGGGCCAGGGTGGACAACAGCAGTATAGATACAGCTTGTGGGCTGTGCACCCACATGTATTAAAAGGCATGATAATAGCATGCCACAAGCTAAAACCAGTAGTATGGGATGGCTACCCCCACAGTGTAATGTAATCTATTTCTTCAGGTAATAGACATGGAATATGACAGCAATGAAACCAATCTCTTCAGGTAACCAGTGATACTTGACTGCGACGACAGAGTGACTCTCCACCTGGGGGCCTACCACACCCCTTAGGATGGCTGTGGGCATGCGGCATCCACAGTTGGCCTTACTTACCCTATAACTGGACTGGTAGATGCACCTGGGGACATCCTCATTTGCTGGGATACATCGTGCCCAGTTTAGACACCATTCTTACTAACTGGGAAATTGTAAAAGCCAGGCACTGCTGGAAGCATGCATCCCAGTGGTTTTACCCGTTGGCCACTTTTGCCATGTCCCCCCCGCCACTCCCCCCACCACTCACCACCCAAGTGGTGACAATAGACATACAGCTGCAAGTTGAGGCCCTGGCTTAACATAGGGCTGCAGTCTTTAATGATATCTGCCATGATATTACTCTTCTCACTGAAGAAACTGCCCAAATTAGGTGTGTTACTTTGCAAAATTGCATGGCCCAGGACATCTTAACCGCTTATCAGGGCAGAACCTGTGCATTAATTAAAACTGAATTTTGTGTATATATCCCTGATTACTCTCACAATGTAACACAGGCCATGTGGGCCCTAGATACCCAGATTTCTGCTATAGAATCTCTATCTTATGACCCTGTAACCACATGGTTTAATCAACTCCTGAGTGCTTGGAAAAACTTTCTATACAGTACAATTGTTGTTACATTCATTATTCTTTTTTGTTGTAGTAGTTTATGTTGCTGCTGAAACATCTGGTTGCAATGCTCCTCTGCATATCCTAGCCCCAGGGAAATCTCAGAAGAATGGTGTGATTAGAATGTAAGGGCTATTCAAGGGTATGCTGAGGTGGAGGGTATGGCAGACACATCTGGCAGCAATAACTTAACTTAAGCATACCCTGAGAATGATCCTACAATCAAAGAAGAATGTATGCTTGGAGTTCTGAGCTAAGGATCTGGGAGTGGCCAACTTGGAGATCCACTCCTTATCTATGAAGGACATTTGAATCCCCACCTCATCCATTAGAACACAGGTCATACTGGGGATTGAGGCCCTTTGTTTTGGATTAAATGGAGGTTGTTAGGTGGAGGGTTCTAATGAAAATACTGTGTGAACTGCATGCTTTTTACAAATAATAGCAGTTCTCCTGTCCAGATACCACCACTGGACCACCCTTGTATGTAAGTTCCACTAATAAACCCTGCATCATGTTAGCTTTCTCCAGGTCCCTTCTCTAGCTCTCAGACACATTGTCATACTTAGTGGAGTCAATGGGGGTCCAGGATGACAATGTGTCATCTGGGCAAAACATTTCCCTAATTCTCTTCCAGTACCACTTCTAACCTTGCTGCTGAAAGGAAAGTTCATTACTTATTTTTTTAAATCTGTGTTTAATATGTATAAATGTAAGAGGTTCAAATGCAGCATTGTTACATGGATATATTGCATAGTGGCATGAAGTCTGGGCTTCTACTTTAATATATGTTTTCTTTCCTGTCTAAAGACCATGGTTTACTGAATCCAATGAGCATAAAACTCATAGTAGAGGCTACTTACTGCAGACTGAGGAGACCTGGATCTCAGACCTCATATGGTGACCTCATTGTGTGACCTTGGTACACTCTCAGGACCTCAGCTGTAGAGTGAGGGCATAGGCCTACATATTCTCCGCAATCCCTTCCCGGACTCTACAGATGCAACGACTAATTCCAAACAAATTACAAATATAATAATTGCAATGGATCCTTGAAGAGGGTTTTACAATCAAGGTAGAAGTTGAGTTTGGATTGGAAGGATGAGGAGGGCATTCCAGGTGAATGATGACACATCAAAACCAAGGCAGGAAAGCCCAGGTCCTAGTCAGGGGAGAGTGACCACACCAGTGGCCAGGGATCTGCATTTCGTGTGGTCCCTGCTCATATGAAAAACCACAAGCCTATCTTTAAGTGAGTCATGGAAGGAGCTATCTGTGAAGCAGATGACTACTGGTCTGCACTAGGATGATGCAATTAACCTGCTACCATCATGCCCATGTGCATTAATAAGGCAAGTCACTGCTTGGGTGCCGGTGATGGGAGCCTTTGAAGACAAGGAAGAACATGCTAATTTTAGCGCCAAAGGGCAGAGCGATTAGACACTAATTTAGAAAACACATTCTTTTCTCTCTTATGGGTTAGGAATATTTCAAAGGAAAATTAATCAGAAGTGAATCCAATGTCTAAATTTAGTGAGGATAAACAATACAAGAAAATGAGCGAATATTTGTGGTGTATGTACATGAATATGTATGAGGTGAAGAGTGACCAAAATACCATTAGTCAATGCTAAATCTTCACTTAATTGGCCAGAAGATGCACAAGAAAATGATCATATGTTGAAGGGTCATCAGCTCCCAGCCAGGGTATATAAAGGGCCCAGAGGGGGAGGAGGACATTCACACCTGAGAACATCCAGCTCCTCTCAATAGCCCAACCCACACCAGCCTCAGACACCACCATGACCGGCTCCTGCTGCGGCTCCACCTTGTCCTCCCTGAGCTACGGGGGAGGCTGCTGCCAGCCCTGCTGCTGCCGCGACCCCTGCTGCTGCCGCCCCGTGACCTGCCAGACCACCGTGTGCCGCCCCGTGACCTGCGTGCCCCGCTGCACGCGCCCCATCTGCGAGCCCTGCCGCCGCCCGGTGTGCTGCGACCCCTGCTCCCTGCAGGAAGGCTGCTGCCGCCCCATCACCTGCTGCCCCTCGTCGTGCACGGCTGTGGTGTGCAGGCCCTGCTGCTGGGCCACCACCTGCTGCCAGCCTGTGTCTGTGCAGTCCCCCTGCTGCCGGCCCCCCTGCGGCCAGCCGACCCCTTGCAGCACCACCTGCAGGACCTCCTCCTGCTGAGACCCCAATGCCCCCACAGAGCAATACACTGAAGCCTAAACATCTATCTGGTGTTTTTAAAAAGTTAAAAGAAAAATAGATTTTTTTTCACAAGGTGACAATAGTGATTTTTACCATCTGGATACAGCCTGGTGTAAGCAGACGTCCATTACCACCCTCACCCACATTTTCAGGTGTCTACATCAGCCTTAGTCATTATGGATAGTAAATCGACCTTTAAGAATTCCTGGGGTGGACTTTGCAAACACATTCTACAACCTGATGGTTTTTACTGCTCAAACTGTCACCATCATCTTTTGCAATGTGTTGCTCACTGTTGTCAATAAACTAATTTTTCCTGGCATAGCAGACTGCCCTGCTCCCTGATTTGTTCGTTAGTGCATGTTTATTAGCGTACACAGATAAGCAAGATTTTGGAACCTGCACAAGGGAAACAAAGCTCAACCTAAGCAAAACCTTATCCATAGAAATCTCATCTATTCAGTCATTCAGGAATTGTTTATCAAGGGACCTCCAGTTGACAGGTGCTGCCTGATTAGTGATGAACAAGCTACATGCCTTGTATCCAAGAAGCTTATGGTCTAATGGAATAGACAAAAGGAAAGACAATGTTCATGAAGAGGGGTAGAAGTGGGAATAGCATATGCCAAGCCCAGAATGACCACTGGTAGTAAACTGACCAGCACAGCGCATCTCATCTTCTTACCACAGTTCCTAGAGTAGCATTTTTCAAAGTGTGGCCCATGCGTCATACACAATAGAATCTCTTGCAATTGCCTATTAAAATGCACATTCTTAGGCCCCAAACCAAACCTAATGAATCAAAATCTCTGGGAGTGGGGCCCAAGGCTGTTTATTTTCTATCACTTCCATGTAATTCATTAGAATTTCAGGACCATTATTTCAGAGGAAGACCAGGATTTGAGCTCCTTGAGGGCTTAACAAGCATGGCCTGGAAGCCTTCCAAGAATAGTCACAAGGACAAGCCACAATGAAGACACCCAAAGTGAAGAAAAAAATGTAATATAATAATAAGTATGAAACAGCACCTGCTAAACTGTAATCAGAAGAATCGGTTTGGCAGAGAAGTGAATGTAAATGAATGTGCAAAAAAACAGTATCTTGAGTTTGTCATAGGTGGAATAAAATGACAACAAAAAAAGAGAGACAAAAAGTAAGAGATAAGGGATGAATAAAAAGTGAAGAGGGGAGGCAAGGCAATGAATAGGAGGAAGAGTGAAGAGGAAGATGATGGAGATGATGAGAAAGACAGAAGAGGAACAGAGACAGGCACTAGGATTCCTGGTACAAGTATTTGGTATTTGAAGATGTTACAGGAGAGCTAGGCCAGTCCTCAGATTACCCATGTGGCTAGGAAGTGTGTGCACATCAGGTGGTCTGCTGCCTGTCCTTTGCCCATCTCTATAGATCCATGTCTCACTGCTCCCCACTAAGATTCACTTCAAGCAACACTGACCTTATAGTTATTAAACATTTGCAGTTCCAAATGTTTCGCTTTTCCTCATGTTCTTTCACTTATCTGTTCTTTTACACACTCTTTCTCTTCACCTTCATCACCTACTTAACTCTGATTCATTTCCAAGATTCAATTCAGTCTTCTCCAGTAGTCCTGTCCCAACCCCTGTATCACACAAACACATGTGCAAATGCATACACACACACACACACACACACACACACATACAGGTTAGGAGCTCTCAGCAAGTTCCAATAGCTTACCTCCCTCCCCATAAGGCATTGTATTGAGATTATATGTTTTTTTGCCTCCAAGGAGGGGACCACAGTTTGTTTTTGGCTTCCAATACTGAGCTCAAAGTTTAATACGTAGCCGGTACTTAATTTCTGTTTGTTTAGTTGTCAAAATAAAAGGAAATTGTCTTTACCACAAGAATTTTAAAAGGTAGATAATTATTTAAAGAAAAAATTTTGGCATTAGTGTAACTTAACCTCTCTGACTCTCGAGTTTTCTCATCCGCAAAATGGGAAAAGCAACATTTACCAATGTAGATTGCTAGGGAAGTTAAATAACAATTATAACTTTTTATGTATGCAAGATGCCTGGCACATAGTTAAATGCCCAGTAACATTCATTTATATTCCTTGTGGAGCATTTGGACATCACTGTATCGAACAGGCTCAAAAGATGTGCTATCTACTACATATCAACTCACTGGGAATGGGAACAAATTCAGGGGAGGGCTTTACTAACCAAACTTAAATTGTAATTTTTTTTCAGGATAGTCTACATCTACCAGTAGGAATAGATTTTCTAATAAATATAATGAAGAAGGCAAAAAAAAAAACCCACAACAACTTGGCATCAGATTAAGGCTGTCTCAGAATGAAAATAATCTTTAAAAATTCATTCTACAAGTCCACAGGAATGAGTCCTAGATTATAGGATTTATGAATAGGAGTGCAGCATCAGGTAAAAGAAGGATTGAGCAACATGTAAGTATCTGATGGTTCGACTCTTTCTTTCACATTGAACCTTCCAAGGGAATTAAACAACTCAAAGCTGTAATAGACCTCAAAAGATTACTTTGCCTTCCCTGACTTTAGGCAAATGAATATCTAAAAAACTCAGATGAAATTTTTAAAAAAATTCTAGCAACAAATTCCACCAGTCCCCTGATCATTTAGTTTTTCTGTCTCTCACAACTAAACTCTTTTCTTTTCTAATTATATCTAATTAATTATATCCCTTTCTCTGTCTTCCATGTTTGTATGGATTTTATGATAAGCCAGCCTCTGAAGAACACCAGGCACCGAAGACTCTGCCCATTTTACAGATGAGGAAACCTGGCTAAGGGTAAGTCATTTACTCTAAGTTAGACAACTGCAAAGAGGTGGAGAAAGGACTGGAATCCTTCTTTATCTTCTCCATTTTCCTCCTGCCCTGTGCCCGTCAATATTCCCCATCCCATCCCTGACTCTTATGATTGGAGGATATTTTTAAGATTATTTCTGAGAACGAAGTCCTTAAGGAATGTATTTTCTAATTTTAGAATTTTAATAATTTTCCTAACATCTAGTGGCTTCCAGACTAGTTCCTAACAAAATATAATTCATAAAACTATTAAGAAGAGGGCATGGCCCACCATCACAAGAGGTCACCAACACTACATTCTTTATCTATCCAACTACAAAAATCTCACAAGTTATTTTCACTGTGCTTCAGATTTACTTGTTTCCATCCTGGTGATTATGCACTTGAAGAATGTGTGGAACTTGAATAACATGACTAAAAAAGTCCATGTGGTAAAGACCAGGGATACATCTCTTGTCCAATAGCTTAGGACTATTAATGTGCTACAGCAAGGGAGACCACATGGCTGAGGACCATGGGGCATCCTCCCAAACAAAGGAGGAGAAATGTTATTATAAAATGTTGAGGAATGGTGGGGTAAAATTACGTGACATAGTGTTTTCATAGGCTCAAGAAAAACAGGGCTGTGTATAAAAAATAATTAACACCAGACCTGAGCTGTGAAACAGACTTATGGTCCTCTTTCACTGGAAACTGTATAGTTGAGACAAATGGGGAATGTTGTGTCTGCAAGTCACTTGTCTGAAATTCTGTACCTGGGTTGGGTACTGAGGTTGCTTCTCTGTCCAGATGACTTAGATCCTGTCTAGGCAAGAGTGAAATGTTTCCTTCTTACTGATGTGGCTTGGAAGAGCAAGGTTTCTAACAGCCTATAATTTTAGAAAACAGTATTTCTTAGTACTGTGTTCTTTTGTTAACAAAAGCAGTGGATTTACAGACATATTTCTCTTTTTAGTTTGGCATCTCTGTATACATTCCAAAACAAAGAACAGAATGCTAAACCATGTATCAAGTGAGTACTTATTTTATTTCACTAAAGGGAATAAAACTTTTTAATAACTACTGCTACATGTTATCTATTTTGAGTGACTCCGAGTTGGAAAAAGACTGGGAGACATCACCAGTGTTTCTACTCCACAGAAGACCTGTGGTATTGCTAAATATTTGCCACTCTTTGATCCGTACGACTTTGGAGGAATTCATTTTGTAAATCTGGTCTTCCAAAAACTGTGATGGACTATGATGGATCATAGACTCAAAGGACTTCAAAGATCAGGGATATGATAGACCAAAGGGTGTATTTTTAAAAAGAGAAAACAAAACAAAACACACCTCAGAGGTAAATTTGCACTGAAGACCATCAGCATTCCTTGGACAATGTTATCTTTAATCTACCTTCCAACTCTAAATTTATTTTCTGTATTCCTATTCATCTTTGCTATGGCTGGAAAAGACAAAGCTATTTTATTGGTCACCAGCTAAACTAATTCCCCTTGTCTTTTTCATAATGCCACCTTCCCACCTCATAAACAAACAAAACCCTCAGCCAACAAACTAAAGAAGCTGTGACAGAAAGATAATTGATTCCTTTGTAGATATTGTCCATAGATTTTTAAGTATGTAATACAAAGTGCATATGTCAAAGCAAGAAAGCAAGAAATAGCCCAATTTCAATTTTATTTCTAGGTCAATAATCAGGGAAGGGCATTCAGAAAGGCACAGAATGAATGAAATCCCCATTTAGTTTGACCTTATTGTTCCCAGAAAAGTTCTTTCCCTTTAATTGCTTGATTTATCTTTGTCTTGCCTTACTAAAAGTTATGATTACTATGTGATAGGAAACTATTTGAAAGCTATTTTTCTTTCCTTTCCCCCTCCACCCCCAAATAGTACAGTACCATCTACATAATAAGTGTCTCATAAGTGTTAATGAGTTATAAACCAACTCAGATTACTAAAATAAAATCAGTCTAGCAGCTTTGGTGATGATTTTCTTATAAACAAGGTTAGGCACTGTGTCATTAAACACTGGGCCATTCTTTCCATAGCAGAATCAATACACATCTGCTCTTATGAGCCATTTTGGTTTTTAAGAAATTCTTGCTTGATCTCAATGCCAATCAGAAACCCAGCCTGTGACTCATGAACATTCCAGTCCCATGCTTAAGTCACGGATGGCAGCGAACAAGAGGAAAGTGTGATGGTGGCTGGATTCTTCAAACTTGCACCTTCTCACATGGCATGGCCTGGAAGGACTAGCTGATAGATGAGCAATTGTTCTGATGATATACATGACCAGGTATTCCGTTCTAGGGAAAAAGTAGACAGGTAGAAAACAAAGCATTCTTTAGTGATTTAGGGATCGCTGCCTCAGCAGTTAAATCCAGAGTTCTCATTTCAACGGGCAGCTACAACTCCAGGAAATGACCTCATGTCCTGGGGGTCATCAGCATCCAGCTAGGATATATAAAGGGCCCAGAGTGGAACGAGGACATTCACACCTGAGAACATCCAGCTCCTCTCAACAGCCCAACCCACACCAGCCTCAGACACCACCATGACCGGCTCCTGCTGCGGCTCCACCTTGTCCTCCCTGAGCTACGGGGGAGGCTGCTGCCAGCCCTGCTGCTGCCGCGACCCCTGCTGCTGCCGCCCCGTGACCTGCCAGACCACCGTGTGCCGCCCCGTGACCTGCGTGCCCCGCTGCACGCGCCCCATCTGCGAGCCCTGCCGCCGCCCGGTGTGCTGCGACCCCTGCTCCCTGCAGGAAGGCTGCTGCCGCCCCATCACCTGCTGCCCCTCGTCGTGCACGGCTGTGGTGTGCAGGCCCTGCTGCTGGGCCACCACCTGCTGCCAGCCTGTGTCTGTGCAGTCCCCCTGCTGCCGGCCTCCCTGCGGCCAGCCGACCCCTTGCAGCACCACCTGCAGGACCTCCTCCTGCTGAGACCCCACCTCTCCTCTCAACGCACGAAACATTCCCAGGTGCACAGAAGCTTGTGCAGACTCTTCTACCCCTTCTGGATCAGATGAGAGACTCCACCTTTGCAGCCTAGCTGATCCTCAAGCACGAATTCAACAATAACATCCTATCTATTTCCCCACATAATTATGCAGCTAATCCTGGCCCTCTCTGACAATCTTGAGAAAAATTCCAGCTTTCATCATTCGAATTCCTGGCTTGAAAAAAAAAACGAGTAAATAAAAATCAAAGCTCCTCTTGAATAGAACTCTGTCCCACTGACTCATCACCCTTTTTTCTACTGTTTCAAGGTTCTCAGATGAGATTTTTTTCTTCCAGGATAATACTATTTGTATGCTGTATTTTTGCACTGTAAAAAAAAATAAAATTATATTTCTGGGGAAGCAAACATTTCTTTTTATTTATTGTTTATTGCTCTTCAAAAGCTCATATTTAGCTTACATTACAGCATGCAGAACCAGAAGAACGAAAGGAGAGATTTTCTAAGGGCCATTTTTGAGCTTTAGAATAGGAACAACTCAGGTGGAAGGTCTATAATTTTAATAGCATTTCAAATAAATCTGATCATCTCATGATTCACCTTCATATTTCGAGTCGCAGGTTTTATGGTGATGCTGACGAAATGGTGAGACTACAGTAGGTCTCTGTAAACATAAACTTGACTTATGAATAATTCACACACATGATAAGGGGGAGGAAGTCTAAGCTAAGTTATAGCCCTATTTGTTCACCAATGTAGGAAACTGTACGGTAATTGATGTCAAACAAGACCTGGGAATCCCTAGCCACTGAACATCCTATGCTGGAGGAACCACTATCCCATCTTCTCCATGGTTCCCGTCAGCACCACCATGGCCAGTTCTACTTCCAGTGGAGTGGCTGCTGCTGAGAAGACAGGGAGAAATGAAGCCTTGGTTGTAATCATCCTAGTTTTGAGCTCCGCATACATCTTAACCATTTAAACAACTGCAATGCGGTTGAAATGCTGATAACATTAATCCATACTGCATATATTTTTGATTTTGTTAAATACTTGTATGTTGGTAAGGAAGGCTAACCACTATCATTTTCCTGATAAATATCTTTTTAGTTCCTAGCATGTGATAGAAAAGAGATTTCTTTGATTGTTCAGCATGTATTCCTGGGCATATCTACCTGCCCATTGAGAGAAGTGAGGCAAGGGAAGCTTTGTGAGGGCAGGGGTCTTTAGTCTTTTTAATTTAAATTTATTTCAAGTTCAGGGGTACATGTGCACGTTTGTTATATAGGTAAATTGTGTGTCACAGGGTTTTGGTATACAGATTATTTCATCACCCAGGTAATAAGCATAGTAACAGATGGCCAGGTGCAGTGGCTCAAGCCTGAAATCCCAGCACTTTGGGAGGCTGAGATGGGTAGGTCACTTGAGGCCAGGAATTCAAGACCATCCTGGCCAACATGGTGAAACCCTGTCTCTACTAAAAATACAAAAAGTAGCTGGGCATGGTGGCATGCGCCTGTAATCCAAGCTACTCAGGAGGCTGAATCAGGAGAATCGCTTGAACCTGGGAGGCAGAGGCTTTGGTGAGACAAGGTTGCGCCACTGCACTCCTGCCTGGGTGACAGAGTGAGACTCTGTCTCAAAACTTAATTAATTAATTAATTTAATTAAACAAAAGCATAGTAACAGATAGATGGTTTTTTTATCCTCACCCTCTTCCCACCATCTGCCCTCAAGTAAGCTTCAGTATCTGTTGTTCCCTTATTTGTGTCCATATGTACTCAATGTTTAGCTACCACTTATAAGTGAGAACATGCCGTATTTGGTTTTCTGTATCTGTGTTAGTTTGCTTAGGATAATGGCCTCCAGCTTCATCCACATTGCTACAAAGGACATAATTTCCTTTTTTATGGCTGTATAGTATTCCATGGTGTATGTGTACCACATTTTCTTTATCCAGTCCACCCTTGATGGGTATTTAGGTTGATTCCATATCTTTGCTACTTTGAACAGTGCTGCAATAAACATATGCATGTATATGTCTTTATGGTAGAATGATTTCAATCCCTCTGGGTCCATACCCACTAATGGGATTGCTGGGTTGAATGGTAATTCTGTTTTAAATACTTTCAGAAATTGCCAAACTGCTTTCCACAATGGCTGAGCTAATTTACATTGAGGGCCAGGATCTCGACTAACTTTGTTCACTACTAGATTCCCACTGATCTGCACGATATTTGGCACATTGAGTATAATCAGAAATGATGTGTTGAATGATAAATGAGTAAGTTCTAAGGGGATTGGTTAAAACAGAGAAAGACATTATCATTCCATCCCAACTCTCAACTCATGCTGGATATGCATATTCTTAAAATAAAACAATAAACCAATCATGAAGAAAGATCTTTTTTCTGGAAATATGGTAAAAGTTTCTCAACAAGAAGACTGTTATATTCAAAAACTTTACATTTGCAGTACGTGCACAATGGAGTTTTATCTTTTTTAACGGTTTGGTAATTAACCAATGGATAGGCTCACAAGTCTAATTTCTTTCTATATATTCTTGATCACTGTTTTCAAAATTCGTTAAGTACATCTGTTTTTCTCCTCTCAGAGTTTTTCTTGTTAGCCTTCTAGAGACCTCCTTATTTAAAAGTGTTTTCTCAAATGGACAATGCCTTGTTTCCCCTCAAACCTATCATTATTATTGGATCTCATTTATTCCCACAGTCACCCCATTCTCTGGTTGGCTGAAGTGGCTGGTGCAGATCTGGGTAAGCCTATAAGAAACCATGCAAGTGGTGTGATCAATAAGAATGCTTACACTTGAACCTTCAACTTCAGATCTATTAGGCTGGTGCAAAAATAATTGTAGCTTCTGCCATTGAAAGTGCCAAAAACCACAATTACTTTTTGCACCAACCTAATAGAACAGTCTTAGTTGTAAAGGAAAAGGTCAGAACCAAGTAAATTAAGAGGCAAAGACTCAAAAGTGATTGAGTGACATAATTTGCCTACAAGTCATGACAGTTTGAAACAATTAAAAATGACAATTGGTTCCATAAGCAGAAATGAGCCCCAGCATAGCACACAGGGAGATGTTGAAGACACTGAGGTATGGGCCAGATGAGGCCCGAGAACACGTTCAAGTGGGATCACTACTGAAGGGTTTTGTTATACCGCAAGACTGCAACCTTCCTCTACATAGACTTGTTTGACTTCCTCACCATATTGGTGGCTTTGTTCACAATACCCCATAATCATTCAGTTATGCCCAACTATGACACTATCTCCTTAGGGTATGTTTCGACATTTTCAGAAGGCTGAATAGAAGGTAATTCTTCCCACTCCTGAGGCTGTTGGTAAGACATAGAGTCCTTTCAACCGACTCTAAAAATTAGACATATCATAAATAACAACTGTTTTCAAAGTAAATACACTGTAAAAGCTCCTAAATAAAATAGACATTCCTTAATACCTGGGAATGTGGTACCTACAATCCATTCTTTAGCTACAGTGAGTTCTTCAGCTTTTTGGGCTGATAAATAATGTTCCCACAGATATTTCTGGAATGAGTATTGGCTCCAACACTTACTAGGTACATGACCTTGGGTAAGTCACTTATCTGGTTCCTTATGTGTGAAATGAGAAATAAACAATATCCACATCCTAAGAATGTTATGAAGATTAGATTAATGCATGTATTTTTTAATATGATGCTTGGAACATAGTTACAACTTAATGATACTGGCTATCATGAAGATTACAGTGAAATTTACCTTGGTCTGGAAAGATACAACCATAGAAATCAATGAACATATCTCTAAGACAAAAACCACTGGATGATGGAAACCTACTAAAATGCATTCTTGTACCTCCAAAAAGGGGACAGGAAAATTCTTCTTTTACTGAGAAATCCTGACTTTTAAACTATCCCTGTAGTATTATCCTCAACTTGTTTTGCCCAGGAAGCTTAGCAGTGGCAAAGAATACTAACAACTTGAGATGCTCGCTTTACTTCAACTGCTAGCAAGTAATAACCCTCAGAGCATGCAGAGCACAACAGCTGCTTTGAGCTATCAAAACAGCAACTAGCAAAAGCGTCATTGAATTATAACGATAATTGGAGACTTTGAAGTTAGGGTCATTAAATTCATATTTGAACCATAAATAGCAAAATATAATGGGTCTACACTAAATAAGGAAAATAGACTTTTATGTGTACCTGAGCATCTAAACAATGTCTACAAAACTTACTAATCTGCTGGTGTTATTTCAGGAAGAATAAGTGAAAACAAGGAAATGACCTTGTGTCCTGGGGGTCATCAGCTCCCAGCCAGCGTATATAAAGGGCCCAGAGGGGGAGGAGGACATTCACACCTGAGAACATCCAGCTCCTCTCCACAGCCCAACCCACACCAGCCTCAGACACCACCATGACCGGCTCCTGCTGCGGCTCCACCTTCTCCTCCCTGAGCTACGGGGGAGGCTGCTGCCAGCCCTGCTGCTGCCGCGACCCCTGCTGCTGCCGCCCCGTGACCTGCCAGACCACCGTGTGCCGCCCCGTGACCTGCGTGCCCCGCTGCACGCGCCCCATCTGCGAGCCCTGCCGCCGCCCGGTGTGCTGCGACCCCTGCTCCCTGCAGGAAGGCTGCTGCCGCCCCATCACCTGCTGCCCCTCGTCGTGCACGGCTGTGGTGTGCAGGCCCTGCTGCTGGGCCACCACCTGCTGCCAGCCTGTGTCTGTGCAGTCCCCCTGCGGCCAGCCGACCCCTTGCAGCACCACCTGCAGGACCTCCTCCTGCTGAGCCACCACCTGCTGCCAGCCTGTGTCTGTGCAGTCCCCCTGCGGCCAGCCGACCCCTTGCAGCACCACCTGCAGGACCTCCTCCTGCTGAGCAGCCCGTTATCACGAAGGGCCCCTCAGAAGATGGCCAGGTCCATCCCGCTGCCCCTCAGGGCTTCACCGCAGAGCAATACACGTTTCCTTGAGAAGCCCATTTCTCATCTCTTCATACTAGCTCACACTATGCATTGAAGACACCTTTTCAGACCAACCACAGATGAGAAATACTTTTCCTAGGACTCCAGTCTAACTCCTATATCATGTTGTCTGCTTTCTAATAAACTCAATACTCCTACCATAGAAATCATGGTCTTTGTGATATTTTCTTCTGGGAGATTGTCTCTTTTTTTCTAGAGATACTCAAAGCAAGATGCAGAATAATCCTCTTATACAGTTCTCATAACTTAAGTCTGAGTAGTTTTCTTATAATCATTGTAAATGGCATTTATGGAGCACAGCTGAGTCAGGAAGATGGATACAACTATGACTTTATCATGTGTACAGAGTCACTTGTGCCCAAAATTCCAGGCATGCATTGAACACCTGAGAAATGTTCTGCAACAAGAAACACGCTAGGAGGCCGCACCTGGGTTGAAACTTACATTCCCAGCCTAATGGTGTGTTTACTGATCCGACACCTGTTGGAACATCATAGAACGCCCAGGGTGTTAGAGGTGGAAGAAGCCTTAGGCAACCTCTGGCCAATTACCTCTGTTTTTGAAGTTAAAGAAACATGAATAATGTAAGAGTAAATAAGTTACTTACTAATGTAATTATAATCCCAAAAGTTCAGAAAAGACCCTGGAGAATACAAGTTTCCTGCATTTAGACCTCAGGTCAAACACTTCTTAGTATGGTGAGAGACATGTTAATCACAAAATGGTTGTACATTCTACAACTTTATTTTACATTTCAATAGCCACACACACACATATACACACTTCCTAGGAATACATCTAGCCAAGGAAGTGAAAAATCTCTACAGAGAAAACTACAGAACACGACTTAAAGAAATGATAGGTGACACAAACGAATGGAAAAACATCCCATGCCAATGGATTGGAAGAATCAGTATCATTAAAATGACCACACTGCCCAAAGCAATCTACAGATTCAATGCTATTTCTATCAAGCTACCAATGTCATTTTTCACAGAACTAGAAAAAAACTATTCTGAAATTCATAAGGAACCAAAAAGAGCCCAAATAGCCAAAGCAATCGTAAATAAAAAGAAAACTGAAGGCATCACATTACCTGACTTCAAACTATGCTATAAGACTACAGTAAACAAAACAGCATGGTACTGGTACAAAAACAGAAAGTTGTAAAATATAAAGTGGCATAGACAAAAGGAACAGAATAGAGAACCCAGAAATAAAGCCATGCTCATACAACAATCTAATCTTTGATATCATTAACAAAAATAAGCAATGAGGATAGGACTCCCTATTCAATAAGTGGTGCTGGGATAGCTGGCTAGCTTTATGCAGATGATTGAAACTAGACCCTGACTTTCACCATATAGAAAAATTAACTCAAGATGGATTAAAGATTTAAATGTAAGACCTCAAACTTTAAAAACCCTAGGAGAAAATCTAGAAAACATAATTCTTAACATCAACCTTGGGAAAGAATTTATGACTAAGTCCTCAAAAGCAATTGCAACAAACACAAAAATTGGCAAGTGGGACCTAATTAAACTAAAGAGCTTCTGCACAGTAAATGAAACTATGAACACAGTAAATAGACAACCTACAGAATGAGAGAAAATATTCACAAACTGTGCATCCAACAAAGGCCTAACATCCAGAATCTATAAGGAACTTAAACAATTGAACAAGCAAAAACAAATAATCCCATTAAAAAGTGGGCAAAGGACTTGAACAATCACTTCTCAAAACAAGACATACAAGCAGCCAAACACACATGTGAAAAAATGCTCCACATCATTATTCATCAAAGAAATGCAAAATCAAAACCACAATGAGATACCATCTTACACCAGTCAAAATGGCTATTATTAAAAAGCTCAGTAACTGAAGCCCCATACTTTCAGAATAAAGAAAAAAATAGTTAAAAAACAACAGATGCTGACAAGGCTGTTGAGAGGAGAGAATGCTTATATGCTGTTGATGGGAATGTAAATTAGTTCAGCTACTATGGAAAGCAGTGTGGAGATTTCTCAGGAACTTAAAGTAGAACTATCATTTGACCCAGCAATCCCTTTACTTGGTCTGTAGCCAAAAGAAAACAAATCATTCTACCAAAAAGACACATGCACTTGCATGTTTGTCACAGTACAATTCACAATAGCAAAGACATGGAATCGACCTAGGTTCCCATCAGTGGTGGACTGGATAGAGAAAATATGGTACACATACACCATGGAATACTACTCACCCATAAAAAACAATGAACTCATGTCCTTCACAGTAACATGGATGCAGCTGGGGGCCATTATCCTAAACAAATTAACCCAGGAACAGAAAACCAAATGCCATATTTTCTCACTGACAAATGGGAGTTAAACATCGGGTACTCATTGACATAATGATGGCAACAATAGACACTGGGGACTACTAGAGCAGGCAGAGCGGGAGGGAGACAAGGGCTGAAAAACTGTTGGGTGCTACACTCAGTCCTGGGTGACAGGATCGATCATACCCCAAACCTCAGCATCACACAGTATACCCACATAACAAACTGGCACATCACACAATATACCACCTGAATCTAAAGGAAAAGTTGAAATAATGAAAAAAAAATTTGTTCATAATGTTATTGTTAAATGATAATGTGAAATAAAGCTCTGGAGTTTGTTACACAAAATCTGTTGTCCATCACCATGAGAAATCTGTCTAAATCAATTTGAAGGCTTTTTTTTTTAAGGATGCTTCTCTAAGACCCCATTCTGTATTGCATGGGCTGTGGGGTTCTCAGTAGGGGTCTTGTTGCTATACACAGTCCTGACAGATATGCCTTCTGTCAGTTCAACAATAGCCTGACTCCCTTCACAGAGGTAAGTGCTCAATGAGAAGGTGCTCTGTTTCTTCCTTCCAGGTGCTTTTATTTTATTTCATGCTATTAATGGAACTTACTACTGAATAATGTTATTTCATGTGTATTGTTTGGTGACTGAGCAGAGAACTAACCATTTGCCATAACAAATATGTTGGTCTTTTTTCTAAACTTAAAGTTTAGAATTTAGAAAGTACCAATGTAACATGACCTTTTGCTATATATACATATGGTATACATATAGTAAATATATATAGTATATGTAAAATACATATAGTAAAATATATATACATATTTGTATATATACATATATACTATATATAGTAAAATATATCTAGTATATCTGTATATATAAATATATAATATATTATATTATATATTTTACTATATATAATATATTATATATATTTTACTATATATAATATATTATATATTTACTATATATAATATATTATATATATTTTACTATACATAATATATTATATATTTACTATATATAATATATTATATATATTTTACTATATATAATATATTATATATTTTACTATATATAATATATTATATATTTTACTATATATATAATATATTATATATATTTTAATATATATATAATATATTATATATATTTTACTATATATAATATATTATATATTTTACTATATATAATATATTATATATATTTTACTATATATAATATATTATATATATTTTACTATATATAATATATTATATATATTTTACTATATATAATATATTATATATATTTTACTATATATATAATATATTATATATATTTTACTATATATAATATGTTATATATATTTTACTATATATATAATATATTATATATATTTTACTATATATAATATATTATATATATTTTACTATATATATTATATTATATATATTTTACTATATATATAATATATTATATATATTTTACTATATATGTAATATATTATATATATTTTACTATATATGTAATATATATGTACCATATTATCGGGGAACCTGCCCCGATAATCACGTATGTTCTTTTCTATTTTCCTAAGCATCGGCTGGCTTGAGAAATAAAGGGACAGAGAACAAAAGAGAGAAACTTTAAAGCTGGGTGTCCGGGGGAGACATCACATTTTGGTAGGATCCGTGATGCCCCACAAGCCACAAAAACCAGCAAGTTTTTATTAGGGAGTTTCAAAAGGGGAGAGAGTATACGAATAGGTGTGAGTGACAGACATCAAGTACTTAACAGGGTAATGCAATATCACAAGGCAAGTGGAGGCAGGGCGAGATCAGAGGACCACAGGACCGAGGTGAAATTAAAATTGCTAATGAAGTTTTGGGCACCACTGTCATTGATAACATCTTATCAGGAGACAGGGTTTTGAGATCAACCGGTCTGACCAAAAGTTATTAGGTGGGAATTTCCTCTTCCTAATAAGCCTGGGAGCGCTATGGGAGACTGGAGTTTATTTCACCTCTGCAATCTCGACCATAAGAGACAGGTACACCCCGGGGGGGCCAGTTCAGAGACCTACCCCTAGGTGCGCATTCTCTTTCTCAGGGACGTTCCACGCTGAGAAAAA